>NC_000014.9:105065716-105368716 GCF_000001405.40 Homo sapiens
AGGACAGGGGTCCTGGAAAGGCTGCAGGGAGGGGTCCTGGAAAGACAAAATCCAGCTCCTCTGCAGCTCAGGCCTGGTGTTGCCCACTCTCGGGCCAGGCAAGCACGGAGCAGGGTGACTTCCCAGAGGCTGTGTCCTCCCAGGAGTCCCTGTCCGGGGTGCCAGGAGTAGAGAGGCTGAGTGCGCCCACTGCAGCCCCGGGACCAGGATGGCACCTGCATGTCCTGGAAGGCTCGGCACAGCCACTGCACACAAGCACCCTCCCCTCCCCGCCTCCCTCTTCCTACATGGGGCAGGGCCGTGTGGGAAGAACAGCCTACTGCACACTCCACATTCCTCCCCCAGCCCTACCTCAACCCCTCCTGCATCCAGAACCAAGCCTGGCCTGGCCCAGGAGCCCTGCGGGTGGGCTTCTCTGTGAGGGGCCCTGTGGGAACTGGAGGGTGGGCAGGCAGGGTTGCCTGGGACAGTCCCCCTCACTGTGGGGCTTCCGGCCATGATGGGCCCAGTTTCCTTGGACAAAGCCAGCTGGCTGTGGACAGCACCTACAACTCCACTCACCTCCAGGCTGCTTCTGAGTTTCAGGGCACAGACCCACCCTGGTGCCCACTCCCGAGCCTGCCAAGCTCCATCCAAGCCAGGCTCTTTCAGCAGTGGGGACAGGGCCGGGCTGAGGGAAGGAGCTGGGGACCACAAATGTCTCCAAGCGACACTGCCCAGCACCGCAGCAGGGACGGTCACTGAGCGAAGAAGCCGCCATCCTGGGTGGGTACACCCACGGCCAGGAGAGGCCGGTGGAGGCCGAGCCCCCAGTCTACACTTTCCCCCAGACACGTGGATCACAGCTGCCCCCTGCTGCAGGGCCGCATGGCTGGAGGCTGCCTCCGAACAGCGATTTCAGAGGGTTTTGTGTGGGTGGCAGTGGAGTCCCTGGAAAGCTGGGCTTTCCCATTGCCCTGGCGGGGAGGCGCAGGTCTCAGGGCAGGGCCTACCTTGGCTTTCCAGAAACACTTGCCCAGGGGACAGTGATCCTCTAGGGGATCTGGTGCAAACACACGCCTCCACAGGCCACTGCTCATGGGGTCACTGGCCTCCCGGGTCTTTGGGCCAGGGCAGCCCCACCCTCGGAGCAGCAATAGACGAAGCCCACATCAGGCCAGTGGGGGTGATGGCCAGGGACAGCTGTGGGTTCCTGTCGCTGGCCCCAGCAGCCTCCTAGGACCTGCCCCGTCCTGCGCCCCACTGGGTGGTCTGTCACGTTCACCAGGCCTCCTCTGCGCCCCCGGTGAGGGGTCCAGGAGTGACATGCGGACCCGGCTCAGGCCATTGTCACCCTCCATGCCTTCTGGCCTTTGCCAGGCAGTCCGGGAATAGCCGATTCAAGTGAGGTCAGTTGAATCCTCTCTTTGGGTCCTTCACTGGGGTCTGGGAAAGGAAAGTTGGGTCCCTTGGGTGGCAGGAGCTGTGGGTATGAACTGGGGGGTTGGCAGCCGTGTACCGGCTCCCCTGCCCCTGCCAGGTGGAGAAGCCAGGCTGGGGTGGAGGGCAGGCAGGAGCCTGGGAGTCCAAACACTGACAGCCTGGGGGTGTGGACTGGCCCTGCCTATTCCCACCGGGCCTTCGGGACCAGTGGAGGCTGCCCCGGGCTGTGCGGCACCTGGGGTGTTGTCTCTGAGAAGCCCGTCAGGGAGATGGCTCTCCCTGCTCTGACCCCAGCAAAGCGATTCATACCCAGAGAATCCCTCACCAACAGGAGAGCAGGTTTCAGACAGGAAGTCACCCGAACATCCCACGGCTGAGTCACGTGCCAGAACAGCTCCCTGCGGCCCAGACACAGCAGTGGTGAGGTCCAAGCTGCAGACATGGGGTACAACTTCACATCCCGATGTGTGCACCAGAAACCGCCCTGCTGTCCGGTGGGTTCACCAGCCGTTCTCCTGGCCTGTCTGGACCCTGCAGAAGCCAAAGCTGGTGATTGCTTGCTAATTTGTCCAGTCAGTCTGGGAAGGCCTGGGCCCAGGGGGAGACAAGGCCAGGAATAAGGGAAGGGAGGGTCAGAGCAAGAAATGTCCAGGGGGCAAAGTTGGAAGGAGCTGGAAAGATGGGACGAGGGACCCAAAGAGCCCCTGTGCATGGGGCCAGTGTGGTCTGCTCTACCTCCCGGGCAGACACAGGGCCTTGCTCTTGTCTGGCCCTAAAAAACCCTGAATGGCCAGCTCTGGCCTTCCCCACCTGGTGCATCTGGAGCAGAAGTTCCCAAGGGCTACCTTGCATGTGGGGTGCGGCTGTCCCCCAAGCCAGGTGTGACCACGCTGTGGGGGCTTGTGGGGCTGCTCCTCTGGTGACGGCGGCAGGGTTGGGTCGGGGGCCTTTGCTCTATAACTGTAGAGAGACAGTGGCCGGAAGGGTAGGCTTTGAGAGTGGGGGCCCCAGGCCTCCCAGCCTCCCAGGAGGACAGGTGTGGCGGGCAGATGCCCAGATCCCTGTCGGTCCCGTCGCCCAGGCTGGAGTACAATGGTGCAATCTCGGCTCATGCAACCTCCGCCTGCCTGGTTCAAGTGATTCTCCTGCCTCAGCCTCCCAAGTAGCTGGGATTACAGGTGTGTGCCACCACACCCAGTTAATTTTTTGTATCTTTTAATAGAGATAGGGTTTCATTATGTTGGCCAGGCTGGTCTCGAACTCCTGACCTCATGATCTGCCTGCCTCAGCCTCCAAAAGTGCTGGGATTACAGGCGTGAGCCACCACGCCTGGCTTTTTTTTTTTTTTTTTTCGAGACGGAGTTTTGCTCTTGTTGCCCAGGCTGGAGTGCAATGGCAGGAACTTGGCTCACCGCAACCTCCACCTCCCAGGTTCAAGCGATTCTCCCGCCTTAGCCTCTTGAGTCGCTGGGATTACAGGCATGTGCCACCACGCCTGACTAATTTTGTATTATTAGTAGAGACAGGGTTTTGCCATGTTGGTCAGGCTGGTCTCGAACTCCCGACCTCAGGTGATCCTCTCACCTTGGCCTCCCAAAGTGCTGGGATTACAGGTGTGTGCCACTGCACCTGGCCTTCTCTCTTGATTATTAAGGACTCATAGATTTGTATTTTATGGTAAAATACAAGATGAAAATTACACGAGATGAAAATTACCATCTTAGCCATTTCTAAGTGTACCGGTCAGTGGCTCTAAGCACATTCACGCTCTGCAACCGCCCCCACCGTCCATTTTCAGAAATTTTTCATCGTGTAAAACTGAAACTGTCCTCACTACACAGTAACATCCCATTCCTCCCTGCGCCCAGCCCCTTCCACTTTCTGCTCTATACACGCGGCTACTCCGGGTACTTCATCGTAAGCGCAATCACACAGCCTTTGTCCTTTTGTCCTGATGTCTGGCTTATTTTACTTAGTGCAGTGTCCTCAAGTCTCATTCTTGCAGCACGTGTCAGAATTTCCTTCCTTTTTGAGGGTAAATAACATCCCTTCCATGTCTCTGTGTTTAGCCATTCAGGTGTTGATGGGTGGATGTCGCTTGGCTGCTGTGAATATGGGTGTGTGGGATTCATGGACTTTTATATCTTCCAAGTGTTTCTGTCCAACCTAGTCATTATTCTTTTTTTATTTTTATTTTTTCTTGAGATGACGTGTTGCCCTGTGGCCCAGGCTAGAGTGCAGTGGCATGATTTTGGCTCACTGCAACCTCCGCCTCCCGGGTTCAAGCGATTCTCTTGCCTCAGCCTCCCAAGTAGCTGGGATTACAGGCGCCCACCACCACTCCCAGCTAATTTTTATATTTTTAGTAGAGACGGGGTTTCGCCATGTTGGTCAGGCTGGTCTTGAACTCCTGACCTCAGATGATCTGCTCACCTCGGTCTCCCAAAGTGCTGGGACTGTGCTCGGCCCCTAGTCATTATTCTTGATGATGCTCAAATTGTCCCAGATTTGACAAGTCACCCACTCTGCCTCTGTGCTGATGACTATAGGGCAAATCCTGTGTGTCAGTTTCCAGGCACGGAGCCCCCCTCCATCAGGTGTGTCTGTGTATTCACGCCTCGCCGGGCCCCCCTGCTCAGATGGTGATTCCATCCCTCCCTCCATCAGGTGTGTCTGTGTATTCACGTCTCGCCGGGCCCCTCTGCTCAGATGGTGATTCCATCCCTCGGAAGAAGTCTTCCCAGCCTTTTCTGACTCCTTGTTCGCTCCCTTGGAGGAGGGCTCTGTCCTGGCCTCTCCCACCCCTGGGTGTTAGTGATGCAAGCAGGGGGTGGGGACCGGATGACAGGCCAAGTGGGAAGAGGAAAGGCGGAAGTGTCCTGAGGTTTCTGTTGGGGGACAGCTGCTCTGGTAAGAAGGCAAGAGGCCCCAGGTCTCAGCCAGGGAAGGGGTTTTTAGGGAAATTTTGAAGACAGCCTCCCCGAGACAGAAGAGGCAGGGGAAGATAGGGGCTTTTGAGAAGTGTCAACCCAAGAACTGGATCATTCTGAAACTCCTTGTTGCCAGCGCATGTTCCTTTGACCAGGGCATACCCCCAATGTGAATCATGAGTCATGGTTTCAACAGTCATAGTGTGTCCTAGTGAGGCCAGGGAGAGGCTGCCTGTGACCCCAGAAAACCCAGACGACCATGCCTAACCCACCTAATCCACAGAGTTTCCTCTTTCTCAGGGCTGGCACGACAGCCTCCACAGCCATGGGAAGCCCCCAGCCTTACCTCATGGTCCCAGATGGCAACTTGATCTCCAGCCTTCACATCTGTGTTCCAGGAATGAGGAAGGAGCGAAGGAGAGCAGGGCACGGCCCGTCCCCTGTGTGGAGAATTCCCGGAATTCCCACCCAGTTCGCCTGCTCCATCTTCCCTCTTTCCTGGGCCCAACGTAGTCTTGTGACCACATCTGGCAGCGAGGGAGGCTAGGAAACGTAGTCTTTGATGTCACTGCGCCAGCTGATGCTGGGTGTTCTCCTAATCAGGAAGGGGGCGCGGAGTCGGCGATGTGTGCTGCAATGGCACACACTGTCACCAGCTTTTCTTCCACCCAGCAAGGGCAGGTCCCTGGCAGCTGAGCGAGGGGCACGCTGGCCAAGCCCAGGGACTCAATTACCCCAAATGAGAAAAGGGTCAGGGGATGTTGAACTGGGAAGAAGGAGGTGGAGCCCCGAGGCCAGAGAAGCTGGGCGTATGAGAGAAAGCTTTTCTTCCATACTGTAACTCACAACGCCTCTGGCACTTCACTTCTGGGGTTAGGTTAAGGGCTCAGTCACCCGTGACTGCCCTGACTTCAGACACCAGTCATGGAGGGGTGGGTCCCCAGGTTACCCACTACTTCTGAATGCCTTGGCTGTGACAAATGGGAGGTCTGATGACTCTCTCCTCGGGTTCAGTCATTTGCTAGAACAGCTCACAGAGACTAGAACAACTGTTTGTTTCCTACTACTGAATTTTTTTTCTGTCATGCTCTCTCTCAGCAGAATGTTTTATATTATATATATCTATTTTTATTTTACATTTGCAGACAGGTCTGCCTCTGTCACCCAGACTGGAGCACAGTGGTGCAATCTTGGTTCACTGCAACCTCTGCCTCTTGGGCTCAAGCGATCCTCTCACCCCAGCCTCCCAAGTAGCTCGGACTACAGGCATGAGCCGCCACGCCCAGCTAATTTTTGTATTTTTTGTAGAGAGAGGGTCTCACCATGTTGCCCAGGTTGATTTTGAACCCCTGAACTCAAGCGATCTGTCCACCTTGGCCTCCCAAAGGCGTGAGCCACCGCACCCGGCCACTTCTGGCTTATTACTAAAGGAAACAACTCAGCCAGCAGAGATGCTCAGGGCAAGGTATGGGGATGCGGGTGGAGCTCCCACGGCCTCTCCGGGCGCCTCCCTCCGAGAGCCTCCACGCGTGCACCAACCCAGACGCTCTCCAAATCCCATTGTTCTGACTTTTCATGGAGGCTTCATCACACAGGCTTGGTCTCCAGCCCCTCCCTTCCCCAGAGCATGGCGGGTGAGGCCAGAAGTGTCAAGCTGCTCATCGTGGCTTGGTCTTGCTGGCGACCAGCCCCCATCCTGGAGCTACCCAGGAGCCCAGCAAGAGCTGCCTCATTGGAACAAAAGATGCTCCCATCACCTAGGCAAGTCTAAGGGATTAGGAGCTCTGTGTCAGTAATGGGGGACAGAGACCAAATATATATGTCTTATGATGTCATAAGAGGAGCCAAAAGAGGAGAAAAAGATGGAGGAGGAGGAGGAACACCCAGTGGGAGCGGGATTTGGTTCATTGTGAAGGAATTTTCTCCCCACGGGAACCCCGGGAAAACCCACATCAAGCCTTTGCACGCAGGATTGGTGTCAACCACCAAAACCATCCATCCACACTCCCGCCGTCCATCCACACGCCCGCCTGCCCGTCCACACGCCCGCCCGCCCGTCCACACGCCCGCCCGTCCGTCCACATGTCTGACCGTCCGTCCACATGCCCGCCGTCCATCCACATGGCCGCCATCGACTGACGTCAGCAGACCTCAGTATTCCCTGTCTCCATCCACATCACTCGCTCTTCCAGGGCAGTCTTGCCTAGGGAGATGAAGATGGCAAACAACCTTGCTGTTCAGCTCAGGAACTTCCAACATGCAATGGACACTTCTGTAGGAGGCATCAAGCCGTTCTTGGTGATATCTGTGTCTTCATCACGTGCTGGTTGCACGGGTGTTTAGGTAGGAACTCTCTGTGGAGCTGTGGGCATGACTGTGTCTGTGTCTTCAGTAGAGTTGAGAGGTTTGAGAGCAGTCATGAGGATTAACAGCAGATACCAGGAGGCTGCTCGCTGGTCCTGTCAACACGGCCATGTAGTCAGGATGCCAGCTCCCCCACCAAGTCAACTTTGGGGAGCTTGGCAGAGCCGTGACTCCAGGAGGCATCCCTGGACTCTCGAAGCCCCCTGCTGTGTGTGTGTCAGGGGGCTCTGAGCCCAGTGAGTGGCTGTCCCTGGGGCAGGCAGGGGGCACTTGAGGTGCCACAGAGGACACGGACCGTAGGAACCACGAGAGGGGCGGATGGCCCAGAGCCAGGGTGTGGATGACTGCCCTGGGCAGCTGGGGTCGGGAGGCAGCCTTTTCACTTCAATGAGAATGGTGTGCAGCTGGGATGGGACAGCCTCTCAGAAGGAGAGAAGGGACGTAACAGAAAGGTATGGTGGGGACACCAGAAAGCAGAGGTGCGGACAGGGCACTCCCTTGCTCTCACACCTGTGGGATCATCCCATCCCTGGCCGGCTCCAGCTCTGCCCACATTTCTCATTCCTCCTTTGGGTCTCATCAGAGTCCCCGCATCCCGCAGGAAGTGCCCCCACAGGCAGGCCTGGGTGGAGCTGGGTAGTCTTCCTCTGTGTCCCCCTCACCGCCCCCGCTTCCCAGCTCCAAGCAGGAGGCTATGTCCCTGCCGCCTCTGCCCCTACAAATGGACGGTTGCCAGCTGAAGGAATGAGCCCAATCCCGGCTCCTGCTCCCTGCCCGTGGGATCTGGGCAAGCTGCCGGACACTTTGGGCCTCAGTTTCCCCCTTACAATGTCTGCCTTTTTGTGGGGTCCTTGGGAGCTCCCTGTTGTTGGTTACACCAGTGGAGTGGACAGAGGCTCAGCCTAAGGGTGTTTCCAGAAAGGCCATCTGCTGGAGGGGGGCTGGGAGCATCCCTGGAGACAGAGAGCTTTAGACTAGCTGCTGGGGTGGGTGCGGTGGTGGGAGTGGAGCTGCTGGGGGCAGAAAAAGGGGCTTCCAAGGGGCATGCGGGTTCTGGCAAGCTGAATCCCTCACCGTAAACCATGCACCTGTCCAAGTGAAGAACTGCTCCAGGGCTCGCCTGGGCCAAGAAGGGGCTGCAGGGCACCCTACGAGGCCATGGTGGCTAAAGATAGGCTGAGCAAGCCAAGGGCCCTAAGCCGGCAGCCAAGGGTGGCCTGGGGGCTGCAGTGGGGGCCTGGGGGCTGCAGAGCCGGCCCCCAGCCTCTCTCCACCTCTGGCCTCTCAGCTCCCTGAGGGTGGTGTCCACGGCCAGCTGCTCTCCCCTCAGGGTGGAAGACCTGGGGAAGCCCCCAGTCTCAAGCTACAGCCTTGATTTCTGGAACAATCCCAGGACAGGACTCTGGCCCATCAGGTTCTGCAGCCCACCCTGGGCAGAGTGGCTCCTCTTCTGGGCAGCCCATACCTAGTGTGGTCGAGGCTGGGTTGCCCAGGCCTGGCCAGACGAATCTGGGTCCTTGTGTCCAGCTGGGCCTCGGAGCCTGCCACGCCCCCGGCACCACCACCCCCCTAATAAACTCCCCTTCCTCTACCTGTTTCCTCCACCAGCCTCTGGGTCTTGCTCCCTGCCAGGGTCCAACTCACAGCCACCTCCGCCACTGCTCCCGCGGTGACCATGCGTCCACGGCCCCCCAGGACCATGCTTGTCATTCTCTTGCCCTCTCTGCTTGGCGCGGGGTTTGGCTGCAGTCTGGGCTGCTCGATGCTCCCGGGGCAGGGGCTATTCCCCTGTGGTCTCAAGCTCTGGGCTGGCAGGGGATGCTCCGAGAACCCATCTGTTACCTGGAGGGTCCAGGAGAGATTGAAGCAGGTCCCTGGGGGCTTCCCAGAGCTGGGCTCCTGGCTGTCCCCTCTCTGGGGACTGTCACTCCCAGCTCTCCTCTCTAGGAACTGGTGGGGAGGAAGACCCTGCAGCAGTGGGAGGCCAAGGTTGGGGGGTCCACCCTCAGTGTGGGGTGTGGGTGGCTCTCTGGGGTAAGGGCTTGGTATCATGTGGCCCCCTGAACCCCAGAGCTGGCCCCTGAAAATTCTCCTCAACCGCAGAGTACACCCCTCCACCTGCAGCTCAGGGCCCCTGCCCCGAAGCTCACCCTCCTCAGAGACCCTCCCCTGGGGCCCCAAGGAAGGGCTGGGCCTGGTGGGGGCTGCATCCTTCTCATTGCCCTTCACAGCGTGGGGGGCTGATCCCCTTTGGAATGCACTTCCCTAGGGAACCCGCCTCGAGCCTGGCTGTCCCCCCAACCCCTGTGGAGCTGGGCCTTGGGGCGTGTCCACTCGCCCTGTATCTGCTCCTGCCCCCGGCGGTCCCTGGTCTCCACTGACCATCCTTTTTCGTCCCTGGGGGGGTAGCAGCAGCAGGCAAACCCCGGCCGAACAGTCCCTGTGACACTCCTTGAGGGCCTGGAGCCAGCTGGAGCCAACAGGTGCCACATCCAGGGCCAGCTTCCAGGACTCAGGAAGGAGCGACGTGCAGCCGGCTGCGGTGGCTAGGTGGGGCCAGGGATGCTGCTGAACGTCCCACCACACCCAGGAGCCATCTGCCCAGGCACAGCTCTTCTGTGAAGTACCTGCTGGGTGCCAGGTCTGGGCGGGGACCCACAGAGTCTCCACAGGTGGGGGACTTACCCTCCTCATGGCCCTGGGCCTCCTTTGCAGCCCCGCTGCCCCGAGCTCCCCCAGACCCTCCCTCCCACCCCCACAGCCCCTGCCCCGAGCTCCCCCAGACCCTCCCTCCCACCCCCACAGCCCCTGCCCCGAGCTCCCCCAGACCCTCCCTCCCACCCCCACAGCCCCTGCCCCGAGCTCCCCCAGACCCTCTCCCACCCCCACAGCCCCTGCCCCGAGCTCCCCCAGACCCTCCCTCCCACCCCCACAGCCCCTGCCAAGCCCTCAGGGCCTATTCTCAGCCGCTTTTAGGAACTGCTTGTTTTGCCCTAATGGTGCTTTGAGACAGGAAAGGCCCAAGATAAGGGCCACCCCCCAGGCCTCAGGGCGGGGGATAGGGATGGGGCGGGGCAGCGGAGGGAGCAGACTGCTCCCCACAGGCCCTCTGCGGATCAGCAGAAGTGCAGCTGCTTCCCCTGCCCCCATCCAGGCCAGCAGGAGCTCAGCACGGAAACCCTTATGGGGGAACCCGGCCCAGTGGCTCCCAACAGGCACCTCCCCTTCCCCGTGCCAGTGAGGGGGGGGTCCAGTGTCCCCCGTTCCACAGAGGGGACAGTTAGGGTCTCTGGAGACATCTTTGGACTTCACGGCAGGGAGGGGTGCCACTGGCTTCTAGTGGGTGGAGACCAAGGAAGCTGGAAAATGTCCTGCAACACACAGGACAGCCCCTCCCGCCACCACAAAGAAGTTTCCAGCCCCAAATGTCCAGGCAAGAAGTCCTGGTAGCCTTCGGGCAGCCAGGGGAAAGCTCAGAGCTGTCCTGTTTTAGAATCATTGTTCCGACGCCCCCACGGGAGGGCTGGCGGCTGGGAGGGTGGCTGGGAGACGGCTAGTGCCAGGAGGCCACGCGATAGAGGGGCAGCCCTTGCGTCCCTGCCAGTGTCCTTCAGCCCGGGGGAAGCCCCTAAAGGTGCAGTGTCCAGGTTGGCAGCTGAGGCCAGGACAGCAACCCAGACACCACTGGGGAGACAGCAACCCCAGGTGGAAAGCACCCTGGCTGATGCCAGCGCTCAGCACCCATGCTGGAAACATTTTGGTTCCCTCTGCAGGCTGTCGGGGTTCCAGCCAAGCTCAGCTGCCAGGGGTCTGGTTAACAATCCAGGGTCAGGGACCCAAGGCTTCTGGGCTGCGGGACCCCTCACTGTCACTAATAAAGGAGGGCCAGTGGAGTCGGGGCTGACCCCACAGAAACTGGGGGTTTCTGGCAGACAGACCTGCAGGCCCGCGGCACGCCCCACCCCGGGCAGCTTCTGAGGTGGGGGAGCTCTCTGCCTCCAAGGACCCACAGTCCTGGGAGGGGGCTCCTCCCGTCAGCAGGCCCTGGAGAAAGGCCACCATCACCACCCTGGGCATGCGGGCCAGGCCCAAATCCTGGAGCAGGACGGGAAGCTTTGCAGAGGGGCTGGGCTTGAGCGGAGCCCGCTGAGGCAGGCCAGGGCATCCCGGGCCGAGGGGACAGTGAGGGCAAAAGCAGGGAGGGGTGAGGGGTGACGCAGAGTGGGCAAGGCCATGGGCCAAGGAGGCTGGGCCAGGAGACGGAGGGCAGGGGAGCAGGAGGGCTCAGGGCTGTCCGTGGGAGAGGAGGACTGGGGGAGTGGACATCCCCAAGCCACAGCCACCCTCAGGCTGTGGGAGAGGCGAGGCCTAGAGGACATCCAGCCTGAAGGCACTGCACAGGACATCGAGAGGGCTCAGAGGATCCTAGGGCCTAAGGGCTAAGAGGCCACGTGAGGCTGGCAGGGCAGAGTTGCCCGCCCACGGCGGGGGAGGATGAGGGGCAGGCCAGAGGGCGGGTGGGGGGCATTTACCAGGTGCTCAGAGTTGGTGGAGTCCGGGCAGGAGCTGGAGGGCTGAGGAACAGCCTGTGCATGTGAACACGGGCATGCCAGTATGTGTATACGTGTGTGTGTGAGAATGCACACACGTGTGTGCGTGTGAAAGGAGTTCTGCTGCACGGCTCTGACCGGCCCGCGGCAGGGCAGTGGAGGGCACTCCTTTGCCTCACAGAAAATGCAGGAGGTTGGGGGGGTGCTCCACTTCCTGCCCCCTCACCTACAGACTCCACAGCCTTGGCCTGTGTCCCCTGCTCAGGGGTGTGACTTCCTTCCGGGGTGGAGGAACCCAACACCCGCCTGGACAGGGCCTCACCCCCAAAGCTGCATCTTCTAGCCCCCTCACCCCAAAGCCACACCTTCCAGCCCTGCTCGTGCTGGCACCCATCCACTGCCTCACCCACCTGAGAGATCTCATCTTTACACACATGCACACTCAACACACAGGTGCACACACACAGGTGCACACACACACTCTCACACAGGTGCACACACACTCTCTCACATACACAGGTGCACACACACACACACACAGGTGCACACACACTCTCACATACACAGGTGCACACACACTCAGACACAGGTGCACACACAGGCATGCATTTGCATATGTGTGTTCAGACACACACTCACACAGGGACACACACACAAACCCCCACACATGGCTCCAGGCCAGCCAGGAGCATGGGTGGCCACAGGCCCGGACCCCTGGGCCATCTTACTGCTGTGAGACCCCAAGCAGGCTGCCTCAAGTCTCTGGGCTGGGCTCCCTCAGGGCAAGACGGGGGTGTGGACCGGACCCACGGGGCCCGATGCCATGTGCAAACTGCTCAGAGGTCCTGGGGGCATCTTCCCAGCTGCAGCTGTGGGCTCCAGCTCTGGCCTGGGCACAAGGCTTGCCTCGGCCTCAGCCAGGCAGCTCCTGTCAATCCTCCACCTTCAGAGAGAGCAGTTCCATCGTCAGCAGAGCCCCTTCCTTCGGCTTTGAGGCAGGCAGGCTCTGAGGTTGCTGTCCTCTGGCCTCTGTGACTTCACTCGAAAAACGGGTCCTTCCAGCCCAAAATGTCTGCATGGGAAGATTATCTTTTCTTAGAATTGCTTTTTTTTTTTTTTTGCATAAAAAAATCTTAATATACATATCCAAAAAATGCACTGTCTGGTGTTCAGTTCTACAGGTTTTGACAAATGCACAATCACGTCATCCACTCCCACAGTCACGATTCAGAACAGTCTCGTCACCCTCAAATCCCCCTGTGCTGCCCCCATCCCCAACCCCTGCAACCACCAATCTATTTTCCTTCTCTCTAGCTTTGCTTTTTCTGGAATGTCATATTAATGTAATTAATCAATCAACCAATATGCAGTTTAGTCAATGCATTTAATTAATGCAATTAATCAATTAATATGCACAATAATGCTTATTAGTACAGATAGTAACCTTTTGAATCTGGTTTCTTTCACAAAGAAAAATGCATTGGAGACTCATGCATGACATTTGAATTGATGGCCTCTTCCTTTTTGTTGCTGAATAGTATTCCATTCCACCCATGGGCTGCAGGTTTGATCTACTCACCGACTGAAGAACAGTGGATTTGCTTCCAGTTTTGTTTTTTTTTTGTTTTTTTTTTTTTTATTGATAATTCTTGGGTGTTTCTCACAGAGGGGGATTTGGCAGGGTCATGGGACAATAGTGGAGGGAAGGTCAGCAGATAAACAAGTGAACAAAGGTCTCTGGTTTTCCTAGGCAGAGGACCCTGCGGCCTTCCGCAGTGTTTGTCTCCCTGATTACTTGAGATTAGGGAGTGGTGATGACTCTTAACGAGCATGCTGCCTTCAAGCATCTGTTTAACAAAGCACATCTTGCACCACCCTTAATCCATTTAACCCTGAGTGGACACAGCACACGTTTCAGAGAGCACAGGGTTGGGGGTAAGGTCACAGATCAACAGGATCCCAAGGCAGAAGAATTTTTCTTAGTACAGAACAAAATGAAGTCTCCCATGTCTACTTCTTTCTACACAGACACGGCAACCATCCGATTTCTCAATCTTTTCCCCACCTTTCCCCCCTTTCTATTCCACAAAACCACCATTGTTATCATGGCCCGTTCTCAATGAGCTGTTGGGCACACCTCCCAGACGGGGTGGTGGCCGGGCAGAGGGGCTCCTCACTTCCCAGTAGGGGCGGCCAGGCAGAGGCGCCCCTCACCTCCCGGACGGGGCGGCTGGCCGGGCGGGGGGCTGACCCCCCCACCTCCCTCCCGGACGGGGCGGCTGCCGGGCGGAGACGCTCCTCACTTCCCAGACGGGGTGGCTGCCGGGCGGAGGGGCTCCTCACTTCTCAGACGGGGCGGCCGGGCAGAGACGCTCCTCACCTCCCAGACGGGGTCGCGGCCGGGCAGAGGCGCTCCTCACATCCCAGATGGGGCGGCGGGGCAGAGGTGCTCCCCACATCTCAGACGATGGGCGGCCGGGCAGAGACGCCCCTCACTTCCTAGATGTGATGGCGGCCGGGAAGAGGCGCTCCTCACTTCCTAGATGGGATGGCGGCTGGGCGGAGACGCTCCTCACTTTCCAGACTGGGCAGCCAGGCAGAGGGGCTCCCCACATCCCAGACGATGGGCGGCCAGGCAGAGACACTCCTCACTTCCCAGACGGGGTGGCGGCCGGGCAGAGGCTGCAATCTCAGCACTTTGGGAGGCCAAGGCAGGCGGCTGGGAGGTGTAGGTTGTAGTGAGCTGAGATCACGCTACTGCACTCCAGCCTGGGCACCATTGAGCACTGAGTGAACCAGACTCCGTCTGCAATCCCGGCACCTCGGGAGGCCGAGGCTGGCAGATCACTCGCGATTAGGAGCTGGAGACCAGCCCGGCCAACAAAGCAAAACCCCGTCTCCACCAAAACCAGTCAGGCGTGGCAGCGCGTGCCTGCAATCGCAGGCACTCGGCAGGCTGAGGCAGGAGAATCAGGCAGGGAGGTTGCAGTGAGCCTGAGCCGAGATGGCAGCAGTACAGTCCAGCTTCGGCTCCGCATGAGAGGGAGACTGTGGAAAGAGAGGGAGACCGTGGGGAGAGGGAGAGGGAGAGGGAGAGGGAGAGCTGCTTCCAGTTTTTAGTGATTATAAATAAAGCTGCTGTGAAGATTTATGTGAGTGGCATTTCTGGGTGAGAAATGGCCAATTTCTTTTCCACAACGGCTGCACCATTTTGCATTCTCACCAGCAGTAGATGAGAATTTCTCGTGCTTCACATCTGTGTCAGCATGTGGCATTGTCATTTTACTTGTGTGATTATGTTTTAGCCATTTCGTGACTGTGCGATGGGATGGCATCGTGCTTTCAATCTGCACTCGCCTAATGAGAAATTATGTTGAGCGTCTTCTCATGTGCTTATCTGCCATCTGTATACCTTCTGTGGCGCTCTGTTTGCGTGGCTGTGCAATGGGATGGCATTGCGTTTAATCTACACTCGCCTAACGAGAAATTACGTGGCGCGTCTTTTCATGTTCGTATCTGCCGTCTGTATACCTTCTGTGACTCTGTTTCTTCAGATCTTTAGCCTTTTTTTTTCCTTTCCTTTTCTCTTCCTCTCTTTTTCTTTTTTGAGACAGTCTCACTCTGTCTCCCGGGCTGGAATGCAGTAGTGCAATCATAGCTCACTGTAACCTGCAATTCCTGGGCTTCAGCAATCCTTCCACCTCAGCCTCCCAAGAAGGTAGGACTACAGGCACATGCTACCATGCCCAGCTAATTTTTTATTTTTATTTTTGTAAAGACAGGGCCTCTCTATGTTGTCCAGGCTGGTCTTGAACTCCTGGCTTCAAGCTATCCTCCCACCGCAGCCTCCCAAAGTGCTAGGATTACAGACATAAGCCACCACACCCAGCTGTTAGCCTTTTTTTTTAAGACAGAGTTTTACTCTCGTTGCCCAGGCTGGAGTGCAATGACGTGATCTTGGCTCACTGCAACTTCTGCCTCCCGGGTTCAAGCAACTCTCCTGTCTCAGCCTCCCAAGTAGCTGGAATTACAGGCATGCGCCACCATGCCCAGCAAATTTTGTATTTTTTTTTTAGTAGAGATGGAGTTTCACCATGTTGGTCAGGCTGGTCTCGAACTCCTGACCTCAAGTGATCCGCCCACCTCGGCCTCCCAAAGTGCTGGGATTACAGGCGTGAGCCACCGCGCCCAGCATTAGCCCATTTTTAAACTGGGTTTTTTTTTTTTTTTATTGTTCAGTTCTGAATTCTTTATATATTCTGAATGGAAGTCCTTTATCTGATAAATGATCTGAAAATTTTCCACCAGTCTGTGGTAATTATTATCTTTTAAATCTGCAACTTGGCCTTTTTTTGTTCATATTATTTGTGTCTTTCCTTTCTTTGCTCCTTCTTCCCAGAACTGTTGATCCATTTTGTTGGATAATTTTTTTCGAAGAACCAATTTTTGTCTTCATTGTTCTTCTCTATTGCATCTTTGCTATTTCATTGATTTCTGATCTTATTTTTATCTCCATTTTCTCAACTTTCTGGGCTTACACTGTTTTTGCTTTTGTTTACCTCCCAACTTCCTCTTTTTAAAATTCATTTTTTAAAATTTAAGGTATAATTTACATACAGTGCAATTCACTCCTCTGGTATGCACAGTTCTGACTTGACACATGCGTTTAGCTCTGTAACCACCAGCACAACCGAACTGTAAAACATTTCCATCTCCTGGCCGGGCGCAGTGGCTCACGCCTGTAGTCCCAGCACTTTGGGAGGCCAAGGCAGGTGCATCACCTGAGGTCAGGAGTTTGAGACCAGCCTGGCCAACATGGTGAAACCCCATCCCTACTAAAAATACAAAAATTAGCCAGGCGTGGTGACGCACGCCTGTAGTCCCAGCTACTTGGAGGCTGAGCAGGAGAATCGAAATTTCGCCACTGCACTCCAGCCTGGGTGACAGAGTGAGACTCTGTCTCAAAAGAAAAAAAAAAAATTGCCATCTCCCAAAAGGTTCCCTCATGCCTCTTCACAGTCAATCCTGCCCCCTAACTTTCTGAGATGGAGACAGCTTACAAACCTTAAGATTTCTTCTTTTCACTGTAAGCATCTGTAGCAATGCTTCTGGAAGCCCCGCTTCTGTGGCCCCCCACAAGCTGGGTGTGCAATGTTTTCATGATCATCCAGTTCTGTTTGTTTATTTATTTACTGAGATGAAATCTCACTCTGTTGCCCAGGCTGGAGTGCAATGGCACGATCTCGGCTCACTGCAACCTCTGCCTCCTGGGTTCAAGTGATTCTTCTGTCTCAGCCTCCCGAGTAGCTGGGATTACAGGCATGTGCTACCACACCCGGCTAATTTTTTGTTATTTTTAGTAGAGATAGGGTTTCACCATGTGGTCAGGCTGGTCTCAAACTCTTGACCTCAAGTGATCCACCCACCTCGGCCTCCCAAAGTGCTGGGATTACAGGCATGAGCCACCACGCCCGGCCCAGTTCTGGGTTTTTAAGGTTTCTATTATGATCCCTTCTTTAGCTTATGTTATTTAGCAGTGTACATACGTGTGTGTGTGTGTGTGTGTGTGTGTGTGTGTGTGTAAAAGTCTTGTCTATAATTTCCCCAACATTGCATATTTTTAAACATATAGCAACATGAAAAGAATCACACAGTGTAACCCCACTCACCACTTGAATTCTAGTTAACAATTTACTGTACTTGTTCCTTCACACATCTCTGCATCTACCCATCCATCTCTCTATACACCCTTCCACTCCTCTATCCACCCCTTCACCCACCATCTACCCATCCATCCATCTCTATCCTTCGATCCCTCTATCCATCCATCCATCCCCCATCAACCCCCATCCCCCCCTCCAGCCATCCATCTATCCATTTCTATCCATCCTCCCCTCTATCCACCTATCCATTCCTCTATCCACCCCTCCACCCATCCCCCAGGCATCCATCCATCCACCCATCCATCCATCTCTATCCATCCTTCTATCCACCCATCCACTCCTCTCCACCCCTCCACCCATCCATCCATCTCTATCCATCCTTCTATCCACCCATCCCCTCCTCTCTCCACCCCTCCACCCACCCCTCCATCATCCATCCATCCACCCATCTCTATCCATCCTTCTATCCACCCATTCACTCCTCTCTCCACCCCTCCGCCCACCCCTCCATCATCCATCCATCCACCCATCCATCCATCTCTATCCATCCTTCTATCCACCCACCCACTCCTCTATCCACCCCTCCACCCAACCCTCCATCCTCCATCCACCCATCTCTCTATCCACACATCCATCAATCCCTCTATCTGCCCTTCCACTCCTCTATTCACCCCTCCACTCACCCCTCCATCCATCCACCCACCACTCTATCCACCCAACCGCTTCTCTATCCACCCCTCTACCCACCCCTCCATCCTCCATCCACCCGTCTATCCACCCATCTATCCCTCTATCTGCCCTTCCACTCCTCTATCCACCCCTCCACCCACCCCTCCATCCATCCACCCACCACTCTATGCACCCATCCACTTCTCTATCCACCCCTCCACCCACCCCTCCATCTTCCATCCACCATCTCTCTATCCACACATCCATCTATCCCTCTATCTGCCCTTCCACTCCTCTATCCACCCCTCCACCCACCCCTCCATCCATCCACCCACCACTCTATCCACCCATCCACTTCTCTATCCACTCCTCCACCCACCCCCCAGGCATCCATCCATCCACCCAACCAACCATCTCCATCCACCACTCTATCCACCCATCCACTCCTCTATCCACCCATCCACCCACCCCTCCATCCTCCCTCCACCCATCCATTCCTCTATCCACCCCTCCACCCTCCATCCACCCATCTCTCTATCCACCCATCCATCTATCTCTCTATCTGCCCTTCCACTCCTCTATTCACCATCCACCCATCCATCTCTATCCATTCATCCCTGTATCCACCCACCCACTCCTCTATTCATCCATCCATCCATCCTTCTATCCATTCCTGTATCCACCTCTCCATCCATCCATTTATCCACCCACCCATCCCTCTATCCATCTTTCCATTCCTCTATCTACCCCCATCCATCCATCCATCCTTCCACCCATCCACCCACCCATCCCTCTATCCAGCCTTCCACTCCTCTATCCACCCCTCCATACATCCAGCTCTATCCATCCATTCCTCTATCCATTTGTCCATCTTTTCATACATCCATATATCCATCCCTCTATCCATCCACTCACCACTGTATCCATCCACCTCTCCTCCCTTTGTTTTCCCTACAAGCCCCACGTCCTGGGGGGCTGACTCCAACTGGGGGTGCTGCTTCCAAGCCTCATGCCTTAGTGAATTGGAGACCAGCAGAGAAAGGCCTGACAGCCAGACCTAAGGGCTGCCACAGATTGCTGGTGCAGCCCACCCCCACATCCATCCACCACAGGCTGAGGACAGGGATGTCATCCTCTCCATGGGCACAGGGCTCCTCCCAGGAGCCAGCAGAGGCCAGGCTTTTCTTTGGACTGTGCAGAGTGTGCACTCCCAGGCCTGCTGAGTGACCCTTTTCCACGCAGATTCAGAGAGGGCTCACAGAGGCAGACGTCAAAGCCCAGCTTTGCAGGGTGAGTGGAGGGAGAGCTTGGAGAGGCTGAGCCCTCGATAGCTGGAACCAGAGGGGAGTGAGGGCAGGCCTTGGACATCCTTTTGTCAAAGTATACATTTTGGGTTTGGCTATGTCTAAGTTACTCTGTAATAAAAGTCATTTATTCTGCCCAGAGGTCTGTGGCAGTTCTGCCATCAAGTGATGGTGAGTCTCAGGACAGGGAGGACACAACACATCCCACCTGTCCAGTGAAGTGATGCTCAGTGGCCGGTCCCAGGGCTGGGCTTGGACGGGAGAGTGGGGACGCTTTGTCCACTAATCACTTTCTAAGTCACCACAGCCTTGGGACAGCCATACCTTGTGGTCTCTAGGGATCCTGGTGTTCTGGCCTGAGGTCTGAGGTCAAACAAGGTCTGTGCTCTCACACCAACCCTCCACTGGCAAGCAGGACCCAGGGAGGGGGTCAGGAGGCAGCTGGGTGCTCCCCTGGGACACAGGCCTGCCCTCTGCCTTCACTTCCCACAGCTGCCCAAGCCCATCATGTTCTGGGCCTCACCCTTCCACATCTGGGACCCTGAACAGCCGCCTGTGAACACCGACAGGAAGAACAGGGGAGCGTCCAGCATTGAGGCACGCGAAGAGCCCTGACCCCTGGCCCTTCCCTCCAGCTACCTGGGACAGCCTGAAACCAGCCTGAACCCAGCGAGGGAAGTCTCGGACCCTGGAGACGACCTTGTGTTCTCCCTGCGCGATGGTGAAACTCCAGGCACTGCCACAGCTTGGGAGAGGGGGTCCAGCCAGCCCTGCTCCTCCCTCCATGGAGCTGGCCCTGGGAGGGCAGACAGCTGGTAGTGCCCACTGCACTGGAGGCAGCAGCCCCTCAGACTCTGTGCCTGCAGCCCAGCCTTGGGAAACAGCATACTGGGCATGGGGCAGAGGCCCATTCAGTTCCCCGGACACTGAATAACTAATGACCCAGGCTCAGCCATTCATTAGAAATTTTCTTGATTCAGAGAAACCCCCATCACCCTCAGCCGGAAAATCTCTTGGTCCCCTGGTCACAGTGATTGAAGTACCCCCGACCACAACCACACAACAGGGAGTGATGTGGGGGAGTCCTGGGCTTCTAGAGGCTGGTTGTGGCTTCCTGCCTCAGTTTCTTTGTGGGCAAGAAGGCACCAGAGGCCTGTGACCTCCCCTGCTCTCACTGGGACTGGCCCCCATCAGGTTTATGCAGTGAGGCGCAGACCCTCAGCAACCGTGTCCTGGGCCTTCTCCATCCCCAATCCCTCCCATGTCACCTCCCGTTTCCCATTACTGCCAAGCTCCAGTGCCTGGGGCAGGAGGACAACCCATGCAGCCAGCCAGGCCATGCTGGCAGAAGCTGCTGGTGGGGGCATCTGGGCATGCTCAATGGCACCCCAAGAGCTAAAATGGACTCTAGGGGGGTGGCCAGGCCCTGGTGGGGGAGGTACACTCCCACTGCCCAGATCCAAACCCGATGGCTGGGCCCTGACCTGCAGGGTCCCAGGCTCACCAGCCCCTCCTCCTCTAACAGGCCGGTGCTCAGTTCCTCTTCCCCTCCGGAGAGACCCAGCTTCCCACAGCCTGTTTCTCTGGGGGACAATTCCCTGCAGCTTGGGAATTCTCACCGTCCCACCTCCCATTTTATCTTCTCTTCTTTCTCTCTCTCGCTCTCTTTTTTTTTTTTTTTTTTTTTTTTTGAGATGGAGTCTCACTCTGTCACCCAGGCTGGGGTGCAATGGCCCAATTTCGGCTCACTGCAACCTCTGCCTCCTGGGTTCAAATGATTCTCCCGCCTCAGCCTCCCAAGTAGCTGGGACTACAGGGACCCGCCATCATGCCCGGCTAATTTTCGTATTTTTGTAGAGACCGGGTTTCACCATGTTGGCCAGGCCAGTCTTGAACTCCTGACCTCAGGTGATCCGCCCACCTCGGCTTCCCAAAGTGCTGGGATTACAGGCGTGAGCCACCGCGCCCAGCCCACCTCCCATTTTCTTAGAAGAAACTGAGACACAAAGAGCCTGAGAAAGTTGCTTAAGGTCACACAGCCCATCAGAGGCAGGGTGCAGGGTGAGGCACAGGGACCAGAAACTTCTTCCACCTGATATCTCTGAGACAGCGGCCTCCCTGTTCCCCTCTTGCCACAGTCTCTCCAGGATAAGGTGAGGGTGTCAGGGGCCTGGGTCCCCACTTGCGACCCCACCGGGCTGCTCCTGGGACGGGCTGTGCAGGCCAGGAGACTGGCGGACCTAAGAAACTGAGACGTGTTTCTCAGCTCCCCCAACCACGTCCCCAGCCCCGCCGGTCCCGGAGCTGCCCTGCCGCCTGGTGGCTGCGGCTGCGCTGCGCCCGACCGGCCCGCGCTCCAGGGCATCCGACCTCCAGTTCCCCCGCCCGCGCCCGGGAGTGCGCCGAGAGCAGCAGAGGTCGAGACAGCAGCCCGGAGGTGGTGTTACCCGCAACCTCGGCTCCTGCGCTCGGGGCCGCTTCTCTCCTGGGTGCAGTCAGCTCTGCGCGGGGGACCCTCAGCACGCCGTCCACGGACACGGCTCCCTCGGCCACAGTCTCCTCCCCGCCATCAGACGCACTGCAGACCTGGGGCCTTTGTTTCCCAGGCAGGGAAATGGGCGTGCTGCGCCCACGGGCGCAGGGAGGACGGGGGAGCCCGCCCTGGGGGCCTGGAGGATTCGCGTGGCCTCCGCGGTCCAGAAGTACTCCTCTCCCCTAGCGATCCCCAGGATTCTCTTCCCCAGTTCCCTCCCTGGTCTAGAACCGAGACTCACAGCTCCCCACCCCTCGGTCCCGAGTTCCCTGTCCCCTCCCCCCAGGCCGGGAACCACCCAGTCCCCTCCGCGCCTCCCCAACCCCCAGCCCAGAGCATTCCTGCCCGCACCGTACCCTTCAATCTCCGCCCCCGGCCAGGAGCCTCCCTGGCCCTTCCCGCCCGGCGGGGCAGGCTCCGGGCAGGCGGGCAGCCTCGCGGCGGCGGCATCCGCGCCCACCTTCATGCCGCCGCAGGCTGGAGCGCGCCTGGGCCTGTCGAGGCCGCTGGCGGAGCAGCGGCGGGGCGGGCGGGGAGGCTGCGTCTGCGCGGCCCGGAGGAGCCCCCGCAGAGGCTGGAGCGAGCCCAGGCAGGCTGGGGCGCTGGCGCGGGGCGAGCTGGCGGGGGCGGGAGAGCTGGCCCAGCGCTGGGTTTCCTGGGTCCCAGCACGCACGCGCGCCTTAGTGGGGCGCCGGCCCGCTTCCCAGGCAGATCGCCCTTGGCCTCGCCTCTGGCTCTTTTATTTGCACAATCACCCCGAGGTGGGTGATGCTATTGTTCCCACTTTTCAGATTCGAAAGTCGAGACACAACTGGAATTCGTATCCAGGTTCCAGACACCGCCCGTCCTCGGGCAGAGGTTTGCGCAGAAACAAGCATCATTCCTGACCTTAGGGACCTCACCGAGCCTGCCTGCGGGCAGGGCAGGGAGGTGCTGAGAATTCGGGTGCACGTGCCAGCACCCGGGGCCCCAGAGCTCCCCTCCCCATGAAGCCCTCCCTCAGCCCCCTCCCTGGAGAAATGGCGAGCCATCTGGAAGGAGGTCGAGAGGGGACCCGCTCCCGCCAGGACCTCTCTTCTGGGAGTGGAGGAGTGGGCGGAGGAGAAGGGTTCCTGAGTCCCCAACCCGGTCCCAGGCCCTGGGAGCCGCCCCTCGCCCCCTCGGGAATCTAGTTCTCTTTGCCAAACCGCCAGCCCGGGCGGAGGGCTGGGGGCGGGGGCGAAGCCGAGCGCGCTGACACACGCGCCTGGAATTCCCAGGAGAGCCGGCCGCGGCCTGTGACCTCTTCTGCTCTTGGCCGGCCCCAGCCAGCGGGGCCGAGGGGAGGACAGGCTCCCTCCACGGGGGTGGGGCGCACACCCACCTCGTTCCTCCTGCTGGAGCCCGCCCTGTCCGTGTCCCTCCCCCTCCCAGGCAGCCTGCCTGGAGGTAGCAGTACCCTCTGTGCTCCGGACCCAGGCAGATGTGAACTCCCCTCACTCCACAACCACCAGAGACAGCCCGGGGCAGACCCTGTCCAGCTCCTGCCCCAGGGCCTTGAGCACATTACCAAATGCTCTGTGCCTGTTTCCCCATCTCTGCAAAGGGTGCTAACGGCCATCTCAGAATGGCTCGTTGAGATTCAAAGTGTCTTGTAAATGGTTGTTACAATTGCATGGAAGGTAAACTGAGGCCCAGAGGCCCCAACACCACAGAGCCACGTCTACTCACCAGCCCCCAGCCCCCACCACTCCCCGCACAGTGTCCTCCATCATGCTGTGGGTTTTGGAGGTTCAGAGGGCACCCAGCTGGGAGCTCGAGGCAGGCTGAGCTGTACACAGTGGTGTGAATGGGCGTGCATGTCATGCAAGGCAGTGTGCTGTGTGCCCTCCACGTGTGAAGGTGTGTGCCTGTGTGTGAGTGCTGGTGTGAACATGTGTGTGTACCCTGTGCTCATGCAAGTGTGCATCGTGTGTATGCTGGAAGCAGTGTGTGCGCGCACGCATACTCTGGGCAATCCACTCCTCGGGTGTGGTGTTGTGTAAACAGTGGAGGTCTCAGATGCCAGTCCCTGGGGACACTGGGCCCCCGCCCCAGGTTTGGCTGGCCCAGCTTGTCCCCTCCCCTGATCAGCCCTTGCCAAGGAGTGCTTTGCCATCTGGGGGCTAGAGGGAGTTGTGGTGGGTTCAGCGCCCTGCAAGGGCAGGCCTGTGCCCTGAGAGCAGATGGTCCCCGGCTTACCCTCCAGGCCAAGAAGTCCCCCAGCTCAGGTGACAGCAGAGCCCAGGAAGGAGGGCCAGCCAGGTCAGCCAACCCCAGGGAACCCCCCACCCCGACGGCGCTGGGCACTCAGGATGGGGGACTCCGCAGAAGCCTTAAGGACTGACAGTCCAGGGAGCTGGGGTCCTGCCGTGCAGACACACTGGGGGACCCAGGTCTGCAGGGACTCGCTGCAGAACCAGGAGTCCCAGGGCACACGAGCCTCCCTGCCCAGGTTGCTGGCAAGCCCCTGGGGTGAGTGGGGGCCCAGCTGCCCCGCCCTGAGCAGGCTCAAGCCCGCTTCCCAGATCCCCCCTGAACCCACTGCCCGCGAAGCAGGGTAGGAGATGGAGCAGGGGACCACAAACTCACAAACTGAGACCTGTCCCTTCACCCTGGGCCCAGAGACCAGGCAGACCACTTCCCACCCAGACCCAGAGCCCAGAGGGGTCTCATGGGCTGGCCCACCCCACCACATCCCCGTATGGCCTCCGCCCTGACAGCTCCCGAAGGCCAGGGATGCTCCCTCCCCTGGTGTGGGGGGCTGGGATGGGTGAGCCAGGGCCCCCACCCACCCCTAGCCTTGTCGCTCCTGCCGCAGGTTCCTCAGCACCTGCCCATCACAGCCTGCTGACTGACAAGGACCCCATGCTGCAGGAGGCAAGCTGGGGCCCAGGAGGGACCGCAGCCCCGGGAGGCTCCTCATTCATTCACATCTCCACCAAAGAAGCCCCACGGCTGCCCAGTGCCAGACCTGGCCTGATGCCTGGATGGCTGCCACTGGGATGATCAGGGTCAAGTAGTGTGGGCCTTTGAGCATCCTGGAGAGGGCGGGGAGGCCTCTAGAGGCACCCAGGGTGCAGGTCTGAAGAGGGATGGGCTCAGCTGGCCAACACACGGACACCTTGGGCCTGGCCTCCACTTCTCCCAGCCTGGCTGCCCACACTCCCCACCCTAGCAGCGGGCAGTGTCTGGCGCACCAGTCCTGCTCCCCCTGCTGCCATCCTCCGGGGGATGGTGTCCTTGGGCCCTAATGGGCTTCAACTGCCCATGGAAGCCCTGCCAAGGTCCCGACTTGCAGCCTCCTGGCGGGACCAATGTCCTCTCCAGGCCCTTCCTGCATGGACCAGCCCCCAGGGGCATTGCTCCAAGCCAGCAGCCCCTCTGCCCTGGCCTGCAGCCCTCCCAGCGCCTGCTCCAGGCTTGACCTCTCCCTCACCTTCTCCTCCTTCAGCTCCTATCACCCAAGGGCACAGAAAGGCACTGTCGCACCACCAGGGGGCGCCCTGCCTCAGGGGCGGGCTTAGGACACAGCAGTGCTGCTTATCTGGGAGCCCAGGGGCTGGGGACAGAAGAGGCTAACTGACCTCTGGCTGGTACCTTCCGGGCTTCAGGACAACTCAGCCAGGTGGTCACTGTGGGCCCACTCCCCAGATGAGGAAACAGGCCAGAGAGGAGGATGCCACCGGCCCTGGCTCTTGGGAGTGGGAGGTCTGTGTCTCCAGGATTCCTCCAAGCCACCAATTTGGGAAAGTCATCTGACCTCTCTGGGCTTCCGTTTCCCCACCTGTACAGTGGGGGTGGGAAGGCATCACTGCTGGGGCTGAGCATGGGACTACAGGACAGAGCTTGGGGCCCTGGCTCCAGCAGGCTGGTCTCCAGCCCCTGGGAGCAGGGACCCACCCCACCCAGCACAGGTGCCTAAAGGCTGTTGTCTCCGCCAGCAGGTGACCCTGCACCCATGGGTGGGGGTCCACAGGGCCAACTCAGCCCTGCACCTGCCAGCTGAGGACAAACTCTCCTGGGGAGCTTTTGGGCTGTGGCCAGAACAAGCGAGGCTGCCTTTGAGCGGCTGCCTTTCTGCTTTCTGCTGTGTGCGTGTGTGAGCATATCTGTGTGTGCCAGGGGCCTGGGCTCGGTGTGACCCCTAGCAGGTATGCCCCAGCTGTCAACACCCTCTCCCTCCTGTGGTCCCCACTGGCCCCAGATGGAGGCCGAGTCCCCCAGCCCAGAGCGCCCCGGGGGTCGGGAGTGCCCACTGCTTTGAGCCACAGAAACCCAGGCCCCAACCTCCTCAGGACCCCCAGGCCTCCTGGGCCACCAGGATGCAAACCCCACCTCCAGGCAAGGTGGAAGCCCATTTGGCAGCTGAGGCCCTGGTGCCTGAGGCCATCAAGGGAGGTCAGAAGGGACAAAGGCCACGGCTCGGCCGAGAGGAGGGTGCCGTCCGCTCTGCTCAGGCACTGGGCCGGGTGCCAGCAGCACCACGTTCCCACGCTCTATGGTGCCAATCTTGGCACCCCAGCCCTGCCCCACCCTTGCCTTGCAGGGACCAGGGCACCGGGAATGTGGCTGTGGATTCCGCCCCCTGGGGCCACGGATTCCTGTCTCAGTGGGCGGGGGTGGAGGACGGCTTTCCACCCTTTGATCCTTGCCAGTTCCAGGGAGCGAGGCCACGCCCAGGCCCTGCCAGCCAGGCCACAGGGGAGGCCAGGAGGCAGGCCCAGGCGAGACAGAGCTGACTCCCTCAGCTCAGGAACCCCAGCTCCCAGGGCCTGGGCCTGCTCCCCAGGTGCCCCAGAAGCTCCTGCCTCACCTCTTGCCAGCTGGGCACGGGGCCTGGTGCCCAGACTAATCGGGCAGAGACCAGCACTGGGCAATGGCCCAGTCCCCACCTTCAGCCTGTGATGGCCACAGCAACCCCTTCCCTCACCTCCCCAGTCTGCCACAGGGCACAGAGTCCCAGCCCCTCTCCGCCAGCCTGGCCTCACATGCTCACCCTCCTGCCCTAGCACCCCCCATTCGGCAGCCACAACTGCCCCACCCAGAGACTCCTGGGCGCCTGGTGCTGTTCAGGACACTGGCCTGCTCAGCATCAAGACAGATCCCAGAATGTCCTGGGCTTCTGACCACAAAGGAGCCAGCATAGGCTAAAGCCTGGCACGCGGCTCAGAACCCTCAACCCTATGTGCTTGTTTCCTGCTCCCCCAGCCTCTGGAGCCGGCTGACAGCTACCCCCTCAGTACACCTTCATGCGTCCCCGACCCCTGTTCAAGCACCACTGAGCACCCCAACCAGTGGACAAGGGGACAAGGGGTCCCACAGGAAACAGGACCACCCTCTGAGCCTGGGGGAGGGGAGAGCAATCTCAAAATCCCACGTGGGAGGGGCCCAGGGCCAGGAGTCCAGATAAAGGAGGGGCCCAAGGAAGGATCTCGCCCGGGCTCCTGAGAGGCAGGAGGATGGCTCCACTCTGCCAGCCGTCCTGATCTGCTAAGTGGAAATTACAGTCATTAGCGTCCCCTCCCAGAGGCCCGTGGTGCCCTGTGGGCCTGGAACTTGCCCCACCCCCTCTGCCACATATGGCCCAGGGAGAAGGCGCTAAAGGTGAGCGCCGGCTGCAGGGCGGAGGACTCTGGCCTCTGCGGGGCCGAGCCACGGAGCCACCTGGCTTGCGGGGATCCCTGGGACCCAGCCTTGTTCTACTGCCCACTTGACGCGGCGGGCACCCTCCTTCCTGGTGGGTCCTTACTCCCAACCCTGGCCTGGCCATGGGATT
Organism: Homo sapiens; assembly: GCF_000001405.40. Lineage (NCBI taxonomy): Eukaryota > Metazoa > Chordata > Mammalia > Primates > Hominidae > Homo > Homo sapiens. The sequence goes on from NC_000014.9 coordinate 105,092,949, forward strand.
GCCAGGGTCTGGTGGGGGGGGGGTCCCTTTCCAATGGGGCGCCTTCCTATGCAGACAGAGGAGAGGGGAGTGGTCAGGCTGGGTCCTCAAGGTGCCCAGACAGGGGTGCGAGGAGGCAAGTGCTCACCGGAGCAGCCAGGAACGCTCCCTGGAGGAGGGGGCCCGGAAGCTCCCTGGCTGCAAGAGTGGATTCCTGAGCAAAAGCTCCGCGGGTGGAGAAAGAGAGTATGGCGGGGGCCACGGGGGTCCGAGTCCCGACACGCGGCTGCGCACTCGCTCCCCTGCACCGCGGGCGGGGCTGGGGCCGGAAACGCGCGCGGCGGCCTCGGATTCCTGCGCGGTGGGACAAGCCCGCGCCTGCGCGCCGCCCGGACAGGGCACGTCGCCCGCGAGGGGGGTGGCGGGCCCAGGAGGAGGGGACCCCGACAGCCCCTCACCGCCTGCCGGGGCGGGCCGCCACGCTGGACGGGGGCAGCGCGGGGCGGGGTCGGGGGGCGGCAGAAGGCGCCTTTGTGCGTCGCGTCCCCGAGCGTGTCGCGGCGGGCCCGGCACCGGCCCCGCTCCAGCGCCCGCCCCCGGCCCGCGCCCCGGGCCCCGCGCGCATACCTGGCGAGGCCACGAGGGGATTCTGCGGGCCGAGCCCCGCCTGGGCTGCGCCGCCGCAGGCGGGAGAGGCTGAGGATTCTTTTGGGAAGCCCCTCCGCCGGCTGTAACCCCAGGGCCGTGCCACCCTCCTGATCACCGCAAGCATGGACCCCCCAGCACGCTGCGGGTGGGACAGGCAGGGCCCCTGTGGGGTGGCTTGACTGGCCTGGAGTTGGGGACGAAGTCCCCGGGCTTGGTCCCCCGAGGGCTTGGTTGGGCGTCCCGGGGTAGGTGGCTGCCGCGGCGATGTGGGCGGCTTGCGTGTGGCCGATCGGGGTCGCTGCTGAGCCCCGGAGAGCGGAGGGTCCAGGCTAGGCTGGGGGAGCGAGAGGCGAGGGCGGAGCCGCGGAGGTGTGGGCGGCTTTCGTGGTCCGAGAGGCCCCAGGTTCCCGGCAGGGCGGGGAAGGCTGGGGCGGGGCCAGAGCCGGAGCCGCGAAGCCGCGATGGAGAGGGCCTGGAGGGTGCGCCAGGAGCCGGCGTCAGGGCCTGCCTCCATCTCCTCCAACCCCCACCCCATTTATTCCTGTAACAAATCCCTACCGGGAGCTGGCACAGCAGCTGTGCGCTGGGGACACACGAGATGCTCACCCTCCCTGCCCTCCAGGAGCTTGGACTCAGCTGAGGTCTGCAGGGGCCAGCAGGAGCAGGGCCGAGGGCCCTGGTGGGAAGGTCGTGGCCCACTAGGGAAGGCTGGGCCCGGGGGGTCAGGTGGAGGGCAGGCTGAGCTGCGAGCTGTGTCTTCAGCCTACAGCAAGGCCACCACTCCCAGCGCCTGGCCTCCTCGCTCCCGAAAGCTCAGCTCAGCCTACATGTGCCGACCCCTCTGTCCCCCAGGCCCAGGTTGGGCACTGGTCAGGACGGTGCTCCCAGAGGGACCCAGTAACAGGAGGAGCTAGGGTGAGAGCATGAGGGTGGGGGGAGCGGCAGAGAGGAGGGAGAGGCAGGAGGTGCTCAGGGCAGGAGTGTCTGGAGTGAGGAGGGAGAGGCAGGAGGTGCTCAGGGCAGGAGTGTCTCGAGTGGGTCTGGACAGGAACAGGAAGGGCATTCCAGGCAGAGGGGCCCAAAGAAGCAAAGGTGCACCAGGGAGAAATGCCCGCTGTGCTCCACCACAGTGGAGGTGCAAACCTCAGCATGGAAGATGAGGCTGGAGGGAGGGGCCTGGGCTGGAACATGGCCAGGATGGCAGTGGGGAGCCATTGGAGATGTTTGAGCCGGGGAGTGACAGGGTCAGATTCGAGTTTTGGAAAGATAACATCTTGAGCCATTAAACAGATTTCTAGGATTTCAGGTTTATTTATTTATTTATTTAGAGACTCACTTCACTCTGTTACCCAGGCTGTAGTGCAGTGGTGCGATCTCTGCTCACTGCAATCACTCAAGGCCAAGTGATTCTCATGCCTCAGCCTCCTGAGTAGCTGGGACTACAGGCGTGCACCACCATGCCCAGCTAATTTTTGTATTTTTAGTAGAGGCGGGGTTTCGCCATGTTGGCCAGGCTGGTCTCGAATTCCTGGCTGGGATTACAGGCGTGAGCCACCACGCCCTGCTGGATTTTGGATTCTTGATACGTATCATCAACCACTCTCCAGAGTTTGGCCAGCTTCACGCTCCATCAGTGGTCTCACCATAGACCTTCTAATCTTGATTGTGTTGGCTGGTGTCTATTTTCTAATGGTGTTTGGTTTTGGAACCTGCATTTCTTTGAAAAAGAGTGAGCATGTGCATTTTCCCAGATGCCTGGTATCCAACTGCACTTCTCCATGTGTGCATTGTCCCCTGAGCTGGCAAGAAGATCCTACTAGTTGGTCTGCATGCCATGCCAGCTCGGCCTTGCACCCTGGGGGCCCAGGTAACTAGCTCTCACCAACAGAAAGAGATGTGATGGACATCACCTGAGGCCAGACCCTAAGACCTCTGTGTGCCCCCTCCGTGTCTCCTGTCTGCAGCTGTTGTCCACACCAAGGGTGGCCTACAGAGGGAAGTGAGGACCTTGGGACTTCCTCCAGGACAGCCCTCGCTGTCCAAATCTCCACCTGCTGCAGAGCTGCCTCCAGTCAAGCCCTTGTTTCCAGCTTTCTGTGCCCTAAATAAACTTCTGCTGGGATTGAGCCATCAGCATTCTGTGGTGGGCGTCGCTGCTGCGAGGTTGCCCTCGTGCACACAAGCTCCTCACAGGTAAAGGTGATCTGCCTGTGGACATACTTGTTACAGAAGTTTCCCACCTGCTGTGCGCATCTTGCCTGTGTGCAGTCACCATTCTTTATGCAGTTGGTGCCTCCATCTGCTCCTGTGTGGTTTCTTCTTTTGGTTCCTTTATTATCTCTCTTTTGGTGCTGTTTCCCAGGGACTTAACTGCTGGAAGTTTGATAAATCCTCAACTCTCAAATTCACCCTTTTCTATAGATTTAAACAGACATTGAATGTTTCACCTAGCATTGGGGCAGAAGGAAGGTGCAGGCTCGGCCCTTGGCCCTTCTCGGCCAAATTGATCTCGCGCCCTTGAGAAGCTCCAGAATGAGTCTGAGAAGCCTCACCGGGGCTGATACATCCCTCCAAGGTGGGGGTCGGGAGACTCCCTGGCCAGGGGAGGCCTCCCCTGGGCCAGCTCCAGGCTTTGCCAGGCCCCCTTGGAGCCTGCACCAGCCGTGCCCACCAGGCACAGGCCAGCACGCACGGAGGCTGGCAGGTCTGTGAGCCCAGGATTAGGGGCCCACAGAGGCAGACCCAGGGGTCCTGGAGGTCACAGACAAGGCCGTCAGCTTCTCTCAGCCCGTGCAGCCTGGCCCTGGCCCACCAGGCCAACCTTGTGTGGGTGTGTACACCACCCCCATCCCAGGGGCCACACCCCACCTGGCTCCCGTCCCATGGCTGCCCCAGGGAGGTCTTCCTCTCTTCTCTGCCCACAATTCACCCTCTCCCTGAGCCCTCTTCTCTCACCTGGGATCTGATCTTTCCTCCTGGACACTCATGATGCCCACAGCTTGGTCACCAGCTCTGTGCTAGAGATCCTGACAATCCCTAAGCCCCTTCCCCAGCCTCGGTCTCCCCATCCCGGGAGCAGGGCGGTGATGCCACCCTGTACATGCCTCTGTCCCCAGCCCCGGCTCTTCTCCAAAGTGCGACGCGGGTCTCCAGTGGCCTGGGACCTCCATCTCTCAGAGGCACCCCTCCCCTGGCAGTTCAGGCTCAGGAGCCACCTCTTTCCCTCCGTCTCTGATCAATTCAACCTCCTAAACGTCTATCCACTCTGAGCCCTGTCCCATTCCTGGCTCCCCAACTCACCTTGTCTCCATCCTGGCTGCCAAGAGAGCATCTCAAACACACATCTGACTTGCCCCCTCCTCTGCTCTGAAGCACACACACCATTGCTCCCCAGTACCTGCAAGATCAAACCCAAGCTGTTGTTGTGGCCACAACCTCAATAGAGCCCACACCCCGTCAGGCTATGTCTGGCTATTTACAGGTCCGCCCACCCGGGTTCTGTGCCCCACACTGAAACTCAGGTGTTACTGCTTCTGCAAACCCTGTCCTGCCTCTGCCCCCTTCTGAGTCCCACCCAGCTCTACCCCCTCCTTTGTGCCCCCGACCTGGCCTGTGTCTGCATCAGTTGAGAAGCCCTTGCCTCTCTGGCCTTCCCCGGCTGGGTTTCAGGGCCCTGCCATTTCAGCCCCAAGCCGGAGTCAAATACTGTGTTTCCCCAAACCACAGCAAGGAGAGCCCTCACCAAGAGCCTGCAGAATGAGATGCTCAGCCCCTGTCTGGGATGCAGCCTCCCAGAGAGGCGGAGTGACTGGCTTGGTGTCACACAGCACATCCAAGTCCCAGGTAGCTAAACAGAAGGGAGGAGCCCTGGGCCTGTGCCCTTCAAGTCGTCCTGGAAGCTCAAGCTGCCCTCTGGGCTCAGGGAGCCGACTCCATTCCCTGCAGGTCCAGCCCGTCCCCCTGCCTCCCAACCCTCTACAACACACACACGTACACACACACACACACACACACACACACACACACACACACACCTGAAGCAGCTTGGTTGAGCCAGGCATTAGACAGGCAGGCTCCAGCACGCCCTGGCATCCTGGCCCAGTGGCTGGGAAGATCCCTGACAGGCCTGGTCAGCACCCGGCATCTCAGGAGCTCAGGCCCTGGAGGTCTGAACAGAGAGCACCAGCACGGCCCACTGACCTGTGACTGAGCTGTAGGGCCAAGGGGCCAGGGCGTCCTGTCCCTGAACCACGTAGCCCAGCAGGGGAGGGGCTGCCACAGGAAGGCCAGGTCCCAGCATTGCTTATGGGGAGGGCAGAGGGGGCCAGGGCAGCTCAATGCAGCGCTGGGCCAGCTGGGGTGCAAGGCAGGCCTCGAGGGGCCATGACACCTGCCACGGCCCAGAGCCTCCCCTAGGCCTCCAAACTGCAGGAATGTGAGCACTGGAACCTGGCAAGCACGGCCAGGGCAATGGTGGGCACCTCCCGCCAGGCCCCTCCACACAGGGCTGAATGGCACTCTCTAGCCCAGTCTTCTGACATGGCCTGGAAAGAGATTTCAGGTTGCTTAGTTTTTTGTTTTTGCTTTTTTTTCCCCCATAAAAGATAGGTGGATTTCAAGATTAATTCTTGAATATTTTATAATTTTTGTTCTTTTGGAAAATGAGCTCTTCCCTGTTATTTTTTTTTTTTACTGGCTTTAAAGAATGCTATTGACTTCTTTGTATTGGGCCCCCTTGTTGACCTCTGATCAGTGCTAATAGTTAACTGTTGGTTATTTGGGAAATTCAACATTAAGCAACCATGTTACCATGAAAGACACGGTAATATAACTTTGCCTTCCTTGATATTGCTCCTCAAAGGCTGATTTCTTTTTCCTGTCTCGTTGCATCGGCCAGGACTTCCAGGATGATATGGAAGAGTGACTGAGAGCAGCCGCCCGGTGCTTCCCAACCTTAGAGGGAGGTCACGGGCAGTCTCCCTGCGATGCTGGCCACAGGTGTGAGGAAGACAGTCCTTATAGGAAAATGCCCTCTCGTTCTTATTCTCTACTTTAAAAAATCTTTAAATCATGAGTATAATAAATGTTATCAAATGCCATATTCCACATCAATATAATGATTACAATTTTTTTTTTGAGACAGGGTCTCGCTGTGTCGCCCAGGCTGGAGGGCAGTGGTGTGATCTGGACTCACTGCAGCCTCGACCTGTTGGGCTCAAGTGATCCTCTCACGTCAGCCTCCAAGTAGCCAAGACCACAGGCAGGCGTCACCATGCCCAGCCCCCATGATGACTTTACTTTTCTTCTTGAACCTGGTGAATTTCTGTGTTAACATGTCTGATTTGAACCCTTCTGATATTCCTGAGATAAACTTTATGTGACCTTGGTATTCTGTTGGATTTTGGTTAGCTGATACTTCAAGATTTTTATAAAACTGGGTTGCAATTTATTTGTGTTCCCGTTTCTAGCTGTCTATGAGCTTCATCAAATGGGCAGGACCACTTTCCCTTAACTTCTCCTTTTCTGGAACAACGGACATATCCTGTGGATTATCTGTTCCCCACAGGTTTGGGATATGGGTGCTGTGAATGCCACTGTGCTGGGGGCTTTGGGAAGTGTGTGTTTGTTTTCGTGCGTGTGCGGTGGGATACAGGTGTGGTTACTACTTTGATTTCTTTCTTTCTTTTTTTTTTTTTTTTTTTTGAGATGGAGTCTCACTCTGTTGCCCAGGCTGAAGTGCAATGGCGCGATCATGACTCACTGCAACCTCCGCCTCCTGGGTTCAAGCGACTCTCCTGCCTCAGCCTCCAGAGTTGCTGGGATTACAGGCACCCACAACCATACCCTAAATTTTGTACTTTTAGTAAAGATGGGGTTTCACCATTTGGCCAGGCTTGTCTTGAACTCCCAATTACCAATTTCTTATGTGTCCTTTTGAAGACTTTCTAAGTACGACCAACCTAGTAAAGTGAGTCACCCACCACTGTTTTGTTTGTTTTTGTTTGTTTGTTTGTTTTTTAGAATGGGGTTTCACCTTGTTGCCCAGGCTAGTCTTGAACTCTTGGGCTCCAGCAATCTACCCTCCTCAGCTTCCCAAAGTGCTGGGATTATAGGCATGAGCCACCATGCCTGGCCCCACCACTCATTCTTAACCTCTTCTTCTTTGCCTTTCTCTGTTGCAGAGTCCTGGAAGTTAAATGCTCTATTTCCCAGCCTCCCTTGCAGCTAGGAGCAGTCATGTGACTCCATTCTGGCCAACGAGATACAAGAAACACTTGCTGACAGGTGCAATCAGAAAGCGTTTGCTTTTCCAGTAACATGTAGGACCAGTCACCTTTTTGCATTTCCCCTTTCTTCTTGATTCGAACATTGCATTGCCGTCATGTTTGGAGATGAGTCAGCCATCTTGCAAATAGGAGGCAGCAAGACTGAGGGAAATGCCATCCTGCTTCAGAGGGCAGAATGGAAAGAGAAGCCTAAGATGGCAATGGTACGGTTGGGCAGCTGAGTCAGGACTGGGGCCACTGCCTCTCGGTTTCAAGGGAGAAAAATAAACCCCTGTTTGTTGGCCTCATGCTAGGTTGGATTTTCTTTTACTTAAAGCCAAGACATTTCTAACATACAAAACCAGACACATGTGCATGCCACACGTACATCACAAGTGATCACATGCTGTCCGACTAGCACCTCGATTTTTCCACTGAACCATCAGTCTTGCAGATCATCCTTTATCAGTGCCTGGCAACTTGTCTTGCCCTTGTTTTCTTGGGTTTTTGTTTTTGTTTTTGTTTAAGACAAGGTCTCATCTGTTGCCCAGGCTGGAGTGCATTGGCACAATCATAGCTCACTACAGCCTGGACCTTCTGGGCTCAGCAGTCCTCCGTCCTCAGCCTCCCGAGTAGCTGGTACTAAAGGCATGTGCCACCATGCCCGGCTAATTTTCACATGTTCTTTTAGAGACTGGGTCTTGCTTTGTTGCCCAGGCTGGTCTTGAACTCCTGGACTCAAGCAGTCCCCCTGCCTAGGCCTCCCAAACTGCTGACACTACAGGCATGAGCCACTCCACCCAGCCTCGTTTTTGTTAATGGCAGTATACCACCACTCTGGATGTGTAATATGATTTATTTAACCAGCCTCATCGACCTTTTGAGTTGTTTCCAAACTCTTTGCTATTGAGGTAGGAAACAGAACTCAACTCTGGAGGTAGGGCTCAGACACTGGACCAAATTGAGGACTACCTAAGCAGGTCCAGGGCAGAGGCACCTCCCTATAAGACACACCCACCAGTGTGCCATGTCAGTTTACCACTACCATGGCAACATCTAGAAGTTATGGCATCTTTCCATGGCAATGACCTGGCAACCCAGAAGTTACCACCCTCACCCTAGAAATGTCTGCATAAACTACCCCTTAATTTGCATGTAATTAAAAGTGGGTATAAATCTGAGTGCAGAGCTGCCTCTGAGCGCTGCTCTGGGCATACTGCCTGTGGGTGGCCCTGCTCCACAAGGGACAGTTCCTGTGTTGCTGCCATGCATGGCTGCTCTGCTATGCACAGCAGCTTGCCTCTGAATTCTTCCCTGGGTGAAGCCAGGAACCCTCCTGGGCTAAGCCCCGATTTGGGGGTGTGCCTGCCCTGCACCACTGTTATGGACAATGCTACAATGAATAACCTTGCACATACCTCACTTCACACACGAGAACATATCCATAGGATAAGTTCCTCGCAGTGAAGATTGTTGTCTTATGATGTTCAACCACTGGATCTGAGAACACGATATGCCTTTCATTCTCTCAGGTCTCCTTTCATGTCCCTCAGTGGATTTAAAGTGTTCTTCTTTTTGATTGTACATGTTTCTTTTTAGGTTTATTCCTAGGTTTTATTTTTTTTTTTTTGGTGCTGTGGTAAATGAGATATTTTTTCTCATCAATATTCCTGCTCACAAGTCATTTTTTATGTAGATGAAGGCTAATTATCATGTTACTTTCGTCCCAGCCACAAAACTTTTTTTTTTTTTTTTTAGATGGAGTCTCGCTCTGTCACCCAGGCCGGAGTGCAGTGGTGTGATCTTGGCTCACTGCAAGCTCTGCCTCCAGAGTTCACACCATTCTCCTGCCTCAGCCTCCTGAGTAGCTGGGACTACAGGCACCTGCCACCAGGCCCGGCTAATTGTTTTTGTATTTTCAGTAGAGATGGGGTTTCACTGTGTTAGCCAAGATGGTCTTGATCTCCTGACCTCGTGATCCGCCCACCTCGGCCTCCCAAAGTGCTGGAATTACAGGTGTGAGCCACCGTGCCCGGCCTCCAGCCACAAAACTTAAATATTGTTTGTCATAGAAATTAAATTGATTCTCTTGGATTTTCCAAGGACTTAATCATGTCATCTGCAAAAAGTGATATTGTATTTCCTCCTTTGCATTTTTTAAACTTAATTTCTTTCTCTCTTCCAATTGCAAAAAAATTAAATAACAGTGATGATAGAAGACACCTTCCTGAGCTTTCACCTTGACAGAGATGCTTCTAGTATCTTCCCCATTTGACACAGGAGTAGCTTTGAGGCTGACATAAATGAATGGCAGCACATTGAGAAAGTATTACTGAGAATGCAAGTTGATTCTGGGCACGACGAGTAATGAGATTTATACTTAGCCTCCTGCCATAAACAACGATAAAGTTGGGCCAAATGTATAAGGCAGTTATGTACAGGAATTGGACAACTGGTAGGACTGTGATAGCTGAGAGAAGGGAAATACCTGAAGTGAGTCCAAGTTTGCCCTGTCTTTTTACCTTGGGTTTTCCTACCAAGGTATGAGAGATAAAGCCGCAGCAGAGATCATCAGCCAGCGATCACTGGCTGGGAAAGCAGAGATCAGTGCTGAGGTGGCTACGATTGGTAGAGCAGGGCACTGGAGGGGAGGGTGCTACGTAGAATGAGGGTGCAGAGGCTGCATGGGGGTCCCTCAGGTCCCTGGATGAGGCCAGGCTGTACATGTGCAAGGTGATCCTTCACAAGGCCTAGCGGGAAGCTGCTGCTGTGGGGCTGGGAGCTGACAGACAAGCCCAGCAGTGTGCAGTGCTAGGCGACATTGCAGTTCTTGCCCAGCTAGGGTGGAGAAACCTCACCAAGCCCCTCAGGCAATCAGTTGAGAAATCAGAAAGGCCATGGCTTAAGAATAAGAATCGCACTCCAGAATAATGGCCAAAGCACAGAACTAAGAACACAACCAAAACAGACTCACCCTTACAAAGCATAAAATCAAGCCTGCAGTGATATCAGCAAAATGATGGAATTGGAAGCTCTGGACTCTCCTTTTCAAAACCATGAACACATCAACTCAACAACAATTCCTGAAAATTCCCTTTGCAAGAAATCCAGAAACTAGCTGAGCATCTCACGCATTCCAGGTAAGCATGAATCTACTCACATTGAAACTGGCAGGGAAATTCAAGACACCCTCTTGGCATAATCCCTACCCCCAGCACAGTGCCATATGACTGAGAGGAAATCCCCTAGCTCCCAGCTTACCATGGAGTGAGAAAGAGATGAGCTGTGTATTCAACACCTCAACTTTTCTGAGGGCTACCTAGGGGGCTGACTTCTGTGTTGCCTGTCTCAGAGTGCGGATGGGACGTAGCATAACCCCACTGCCTCAGGGCCATGGAAAGAGACCTGGTGGGATGATCTAAAGTGCAACTAGTCACCACAGTCCAACTCAGCACAGAGTGAACAGGAAAAACAACAAAAACACACCTTAGATTCAGGCTTCTCCCTAGGGAAGAAAAGAGTTGGACAGAACACCCAACAATCCAGTTTTCTGGAGGCTACCTGAGGAACTTCTTTCAGTCACTTGTCTAAAATGCTGACAGGACTTGGCATACTCCAGACACCCGGGGGCTCCAGAAAACAGAGAAAGTGGGTTGGGCCAGCAGGAAGTTTAGAGAGGCCCCCAGAATCTTTGGCTTGGCTGATTGGTGAGGGTCTCCTCCTGTACCTGGCCAGTTCGTGAAAACTTGACAGAGGCCTGCTTTGTTGAATGTTCAGACAGCAACAGAGAAAGGCAAGAAAATGAAGAAACAGGGAACAATGTTTCAAACAAAGGAATAAGATAAATCTCCAGAAACTGACCCTAGTGATATGGAGTTATATGATTTATCAGACAGAGAATTTTAAATAACTATCATAAAATTGCTCACTGAAGACAGGAAAACAATGTATGAACAATGGGAGAATTTCAACAAAGAGACAGAAAATGCTAAAAAGTACCAAACAGAAATCATGGAGCTGAAGAATATGATAACTGCACTGAAAAAGTCACTAGATGAGGGGAACAGTAGACTGGATCAAGCAGAAAAAAGGATCAGTGAACTCAAAGAAAGGTCATTGGAAATTAATCATAGGAGCAAACGGAAAAAAAGAAAAAGAGTAAAGAAAGTAGAAGGGACTTATGGGACACCATCAATCAGACCAATAGATGCATTAAGGGAGTCCCAGAAAGATAAGGGAAAGAATCATTATATTCAAAGAAATAACGGTTGAAAACTCCTCAGATCTGTGGAAGAAAATGGACACCCAGATTCAAGAAGCCCAAAAGATCCCAAATAAGATGAACTCAAAGACATTTACAGCAAGGGACATTAAAATCAAGTTGTCAAAGACAAAGAATTAGAAAGCAGCAGGGAAAAGTGACTTGTCACATTTAAAAGAATCTCCATAAGAAATAAGCTAATTTTTCAGAAATCTTGCAAACCAGAGGGAATGGGATGACATACTCAAAGTGCTGACATTTTTAAAACTACCAAGCAAGAATACTGTGCCTGGGAAAAAACTGTCTTTCAGAAATGAAGATGAGCGACATACTTTCCAGACAAACAAAAGCTGACACTGTTCTTCACTATGAACTTGCCTTGTAAGAAATAATGAAGGGAGTTATTTCACTGGAAATGAAAGGACAATAAACAGCAACATGATAGCATAAGAAAACATAAAACTCTTTTTATTTATTTGTTTTTTGTTTTTGGTTTTTTTTGAGATGGAGTTTCGCTCTTGTCGCCCAGGCTAGAGTACAATGACACCATCTCAGCTCACTACAACCTCCACCTCCCAGGTTCAAGCAATTCTCCTGCCTCAGCCTCCCAAGTAGCTGGGATTACAGGCATGCGCCACCACACCCGGCTAATTTTTGTATTTTTAGTAGAGACGGGGTTTCACCATGTTGGCCAGGCTGGTCGTGAACTTCTGACCTCAGGTAATCCGCCCTTCTCGGCCTCTCAAAGTGCTGGGATTACAGATATGAGCCACCGTGCCCAGCCACATAAAACTCTTTGACAAGGGTAACTATATACACAAATACAGAATACTGTATTACTGTCATGGTGGTGGGTAAATCACTTTTAGTTCTAACATAAAAGTTAAATTACAGAATTATTGAAGATAACTACAGCTAAAAATATTTTAATGGGTGCACAATATAAGTCGATGTTAATTGTGACATCAGTAACATAAAGTAGGAGGAATGGTAAAAGTGTAGAATTTACTTATGTGATTGAAGTTAAGTTGTTATCAGCTTAAAACACACTATTTTAATTATAAGATATTTTATGTAAGCGCTATGGTAAACACAAAGAAAATACCTATAGAAGTTACAAAAAAGAAAAGGAGAAAGGAATCAAAGCATAGCAACACAAAAATATCAACAAACCCAAAAAAGAAAACACGAGAAGAGGGATAAGGCACAGGAAAACAGGAAAAGAAGACAGAAACAAAAACAGGAAGTCAAACGCTACCTGATTCCGCTTATGTGAGGTATCTGAAAGAGTCAAACTCATAAAGTCAGGGAATAGAATGTTGTTTGCCTGCCAGGAGCTGGGAGGAGGGGGAAATGGGGAGTTTCTAATCAATGGGCATAAAGTATCAATTACGCAAGACGAATAAGTTCTAGAGATCTCCTATACAACATCGTCCCCATAGTTAACATTACTGCAGTGTACTACCCTACAGAGGAGTGCAGATCCCATGTGAAGTGTTCTTATCACATAAAAATAAAAGCTTGAGATAAGGAAAACCGAGGACATCTACAAGCATATTCATTGCAGAAAACCGAAGGCTCAGAGAAGACTAAAGTCATTTGCTGTGGTTGTAAAATATTTCCTTCTAGTCCTTTCTATGCTTACATAGCCATTGTCAAATTTTTACAAATAAGGGATGGTATCAGAGATATTATTTTATAATGTATAATTTTGCTCAATTTACAATTAAGAATAAACATTTTTCTTTTTGAGACAGGGTCTCCCTGTTTTCCAGGCTGAAGTACAGTGGTACAATCATAGTTCACTTTAACCTCCTGGGTTCAAACAATCCTCCCACTTCAGCCTCTCAAGTAGCTGGGATTACAGACACGCGACACCATGCCCAGCTAATTTATTTTTATTTTTTAATTATTTTGTTTGAAAAGACAGGGTCTCACGATGTTGCAGAAACTTGTCTCCAATTTCGGGGCTCAAGCAATCCTCTCGCCTTGGCCTCCCAAAGTGTTGAGATTACAGGCATGAGCCATATGAATGTTTTGATAACATTATTTTCTATTATCACAAAACAACCAGCCAGGTGCTGTGGTGGGTACTTGTAGTTCCAGCTATCCAGGAGGCTGAGATGGGAGGATCACTTGAGCCTAGGAGTTTGAGGCTGCAGTGAGCCATGATCACACCACTGCATTCAAGCCTAGGCAACAGAGTGAGACCCCGTCTCAAAACAAAATAAAAATAAATTTAAAAACAAGCAGAAGCCGAGCTTGATATGTTCAAGATGATTTTCCAGTACAATAGAAGTAAACAGAAATAGATCTCCAGGTGAACAGATGTTGGAATTAGCAGACCTTAACTTTAAAAGATCTATTGTAAATCTGTCCAAAGATTAAAGGAGCAAATGAGGAAAATGAATAGACAAACATGAAATCTCCATGGTGAAATCAAAACTATAAGGCCAGGCATGGTGGCTCACACTGTAACCCCACCGTTTTGGGAAGCTGAGGTGGGAGGATTGCCTTAGGCCAAGAGTTCAAGACCAGCCTGGGCAATATAGCAAAACCCCATCTGCACACACACATACACACACGCACACACACAGAGTCAGGAATGGTGGCACAATCCTGTAGTCTTAGTTACTTGGGAGACTGAAGCAGGACTATGACTTGAACCCAGGAGTTCGAGGCTGCAGTGAGCTATGATCACCACTGCACTCCAGCCCGGGTGACAGAGCAAGACCCTGTCTCCAGAAAAGAGAGAAAGAGAGAGAGAAGGGTCAGGCATGGTGGCTAATGCCTATAATGCCAGAGCATTATCAAGGTGATAAAGAAATTGTGGTAGAGCCCTACCATGAAATACTACGTGGCAAAAACAAAAATGAATGACTGATGTATGCCACAACATGAATGAACCTCAAAAACTTTAGATTGAATAAAAAATGCCAAACACAAAAAACATGTGTACTTAATATTTCTATTCAAATGAAGAATAAATGAATTCATTTGACTATAATCATGAATTCACAGGCAAAATGAATCTGTGTTGAGAGAAATCAGAAGAGTGATTACTTATGGGGTTAGGAATAATCTTCAAGAGGCAAAGTGACTTTTTGGGGTGATGGAAATGGCTTATACTTTGGGGCTATTGTCTGCAGTGGTGCATACATTTCTCAAATCTCATTGAATTGTACACTTCAGATCTGTATATTGAAATACCATCTTCCACCAAAAGGAATTAGGGATCCTTGAAGGAATGGCTAGTTACTAGGTTGGTTCAGGGAACATATAAGGGGAGCCTGGAACACTGTGTTTATCAGAGAGTAAGTTGTGCTTCAAGAATGAAGGGGCCTGTGTGGTGGTGCACACCTGTAATCCCAGATGCTTGGGAGGCTGAGGTGGGAGGATCCCTTGAGCCCAGGACTTCGCGACCAGCCTGGGCAACATAGCTAGACCCTGGTTCTACAAACAGTTTTGTAAAAATCAGCTGGGACTCGCTGGGCGCAGTGGCTCATGCCTGTAATCCCAGCACTTTAGGAGGCTGAGGAGGGTGGATTGCCTGAGCTCAGGAGTTCGAGACCAGCTTTGGAAACATGGTGAAACCCGTCTCTACTAAAATATAAAAAATTAGCCAGGCATGTTGGCGCACACCTGTAGTCCTAGCTACTCGGGAGGCTGAGGCAGGAGAATTACTTGAACCAGGGAGGTGGAGGTTGCAGTGAGCCGAGATCACGCCACTGCACTCCATCCTGGGTGGCAGAGCCAGACTCTGTCTCAAAAAAAAAAAAAAAAAACAGAAAATTAGCCGGGACTGGTAGCAAGCACCTATAGTCTCAGCTACCTGGGAGGCTGAGGTGGGAGGGTCCCGTGAACCCAGGAGCTGCAGCTGCAGTGAGCCGTGATCACGCCACTGTACACCAGCCTGGGTGACTGAGCAAGACTCTGTCTCAAACAAACAAACAAACAAAAAAACAAAGGAAGGCGGCATGTCAAAAAGACACAGAAGCTAGCTTAAAGGCACTCCCAGTGGCCAAATCTGGGATGATTTGAGCTATAAAATAAATACTGAAAGTTACAATTAGAATGCATTGAATAAATAAGAATTCATGAATCCACACTGATAGGTATTAATTATATGACTTATGAGGACTAGGATATTTGCATAGTCTCAATATACCTTCTCACAAAATTCTCAGTAATTACAGAGGGAGAGAGAGCAGCTTCACATTCTGAGAACTGATCAAGGTGCAGACCGTGTGTAACAGGGCAAAGTGAAATGTGTGTTCACCTGATGGGGTGCCCTGGGAACACAGCCTGTCTTCTGAGATGTTCCTAACAACAATGTACATCCTGAATCTAACAATGAGGAAACCTCAGGCAGATCCAGACTGAGAAACATCCTACAAAATAACTGGCGTGTGATTTTTCCCATGTGTCAAGGACATAAAAGTAAAGGAAATCCTGAAGAACAAATCCAAATGGAAGGAGACTGGAGAGATGGGGCAACCAAATGCAGTGTGGAGTTCCAGGCGGGATCGTGTGAGGAAAATGATGAAATCTGCAGGGATTTTATCAACTAGAAGGCACTGCTCTATCAGCGTCAGTTTCCTGACTTTGTTTGGTGTTTTTTGTTTGTTTGTTTGTTTTTGAGATGGAGTGTAGCTCTGTTGCCAGGCTGGAGTACAGTGGCGCAATCTCGGCTCAGTGCAACCCCCACCTCCTGGGTTCCAGCGATTCTTCTGCCTCAGCCTCCCGAGTAGCTGGGATTACAGGCGCCCGCCACCACGTCTGGCTAAATTTTGTATTTTTAGTAGAGACGGGATTTCACCATGTTGGCCAGGATGGTCTCGATCTCCTGACCTCGTGATCTGCCCACCTTGGCCTCCCAAAGTGCTGGGATTACAGGCGTGAGCCACTACGCCCGGCCAGTTTCCTGACTTTGAGAGTTGGATTTTTATTATTTAGGAGAATATTCTTGCTCTAACCACACACTAAAGTATCTGAGGGTGATGGGGCATCGGGTCAGCAACTTACTCTCAAATGGTTCCAGAAACTAAGTTGAAACTTTTCTGTAGGTTTAGGATTGTTTTAAAAATCTGTCCATTTGACTGTATGTAAATTACCTCAACAAAATAAAATATGTTAAATTTTATAAAATGCCTCTTCAAGTATCTAAGGAGAGGTTAATAATTTCTGCCTTCTGATTTGTTAATATGGTGAATTGTATTAAAATATTCTCCATTAATGAGCCATCCCGGCTGGCCGCAGTGGTTCACGCCTGTAATCCTGGCACTTTGGGAGGCTGAGGCAGGTGGATCACTTGAGGTCAGGAGTTAGAGACCAGCCTGGCCAACAAGGTGAAACCTCGTCTCTACTAAAAAATACAAAAAAGTCCTGGTGCGGTGGCTCGTGCCTGTAATCCCAGCACTTTTGGAGGCCGAGGCGGGCAGATCACCTGAGGTCAGGGGTTGGAGACCAGCCTGGCCAGCATGGTGAAACCCTGTCTCTACTAAACATACAAAAATTAGCTGGGCATGGTGGCATGTGCCTGTAATCCCAGCTACTCAGGAGGCTGTGACAGGAAAATTGCTTGAACCCAGGAGGCAGAGGTTGCAGTGAGCCGAGATCTCACCACTGCATTCCAGCCTGGGGAGAGAGAGAGAGACTGTCTCAAAAAAAAAAAAAAAAAAAAAAGAGCCATTCTTAACATTGCATGATTCCATGGTAGACGTCACTCGGTTTCAGAGTTTGGTTGTGTGGGTTTTTTTTGTTGTTGTTTGTTTTTTTAAGTGTATGTTGTTGTTTTTTTCTGTCACCCCGGCTGTAGTGGAGTGGTGTGATCATAGCTCACTGTAACGTCGAATTCCTAGGCTCAAGCGCTCCTCCTGGCTCAGCCTCCCGAGTAGCTAGGACTATAGGTGTGCACCACCACGCCCAGGCAATTTTTCAAACACTGTAGAGCCAGGATCTTGTTACGTTTCCCAGGCTGGTCTCACCTGGCCTCAAGCAATCCTTCCGCCTTGACCTCCCAACACACGGGGATTACAGGCGTGAGCCATTATACCTGGCCCCAGAGTGTAATTTTTAAAAATGTGCTGCTTGATCCTATTTACTAATATCTTATTTAGTATTTTTGCATTGTCGTTATTGCAAACGACAATAACATTGCAGTGATTGTCATTACGGCCTGTAATTTTACATTATTGTGCTACATTTTGGAGTTTTGTTATCAATATTATTATTATTTTTTTGTTTTGTTTTTTTTTTTTTAGTAAAGGACATATCATATTTATTCATACACATGCTGGAATTATTGGTGCAGACATTTAAATACATTTTCTTTGAGAAAGTCCTTTTTTTTTTTTTTTTTTTATGGAGTTTCCCTCTTGTTGCCCAGGCTGGAGTGCAATGGTGCAATCTCAGCTCACAACAACCTCTGCCTCCTGGGTTCAAGCAATTCTCCTGCCTCAGCCTCCCAAGTAGCTGGGATTACAGGCATGCACCACCACGCCCAGCTATTTTTTTTTATTTTTAGTAGAGACGGGGTTTCTCCGTGTTGGTCAGGCTGGTCTTGAACTCCTGATCTCAGGTGATCTGCCCGCCTTGGCCTGCCACAGTGCTGGGATTACAGTCGTGAGCCACCACAGCTGGCCTGGGAAAGTCCATTCTTTTTTTTTTTTTTTTTTTTTTTTTTTAATTTATTTTTTTATTGATAATTCTTGGGTGTTTCTCACAGAGGGGGATTTGGCAGGGTCATGGGACAATAGTGGAGGGAAGGTCAGCAGATAAACAAGTGAACAAAGGTCTCTGGTTTTCCTAGGCAGAGGACCCTGCGGCCTTCCGCAGTGTTTGTGTCCCTGATTACTTGAGATTAGGGATTGGTGATGACTCTTAACGAGCATGCTGCCTTCAAGCATCTGTTTAACAAAGCACATCTTGCACCGCCCTTAATCCATTTAACCCTGAGTGGACACAGCACATGTTTCAGAGAGCACAGGGTTGGGGGTAAGGTCACAGATCAACAGGATCCCAAGGCAGAGGAATTTTTCTTAGTGCAGAACAAAATGAAAAGTCTCCCATGTCTACTTCTTTCTACACAGACACGGCAACCATCCGATTTCTCAATCTTTTCCCCACCTTTCCCGCCTTTCTATTCCACAAAGCCGCCATTGTCATCCTGGCCCGTTCTCAATGAGCTGTTGGGCACACCTCCCAGACGGGGTGGTGGCCGGGCAGAGGGGCTCCTCACTTCCCAGTAGGGGCGGCCAGGCAGAGGCGCCCCTCACCTCCCGGACGGGGCGGCTGGCCGGGCGGGGGGCCGACCCCCCCACCTCCCTCCCGGACGGGGCGGCTGGCCGGGCAGAGGGGCTCCTCACTTCCCAGTAGGGGCGGCCGGGCAGAGGCGCCCCTCACCTCCCAGACGGGGCGGCTGGCCGGGCGGAGGGCTGAGCCCCCCACCTCCCTCCCGGACGGGGCGGCTGGCCAGGCGGGGGGCTGACCCCCCTACCTCCCTCCCGGACGGGGCGGCTGGCCGGGTGGGGGGGCTGACCCCCCCATCTCCCTCCCGGACGGGGTGGCTGGCCGGGCTGAGGGGCTCCTCACTTCCCAGTAGGGGCGGCCGGGCAGAGGCGCCCCTCACCTCCCGGACGGGGCGGCTGGCCGGGCGGGGGGCCGACCCCCCCACCTCCCTCCCGGACGGGGCGGCTGGCCGGGCAGAGGGGCTCCTCACTTCCCAGTAGGGGCGGCCGGGCAGAGGCGCCCCTCACCTCCCAGACGGGGCGGCTGGCCGGGCGGAGGGCTGAGCCCCCCACCTCCCTCCCGGACGGGGCGGCTGGCCAGGCGGGGGGCTGACCCCCCTACCTCCCTCCCGGACGGGGCGGCTGGCCAGGCGGGGGGCTGACCCCCCCATCTCCCTCCCGGACGGGGTGGCTGGCCAGGCTGAGGGGCTCCTCACTTCCCAGTAGGGGCGGCCGGGCAGAGGCGCCCCTCACCTCCCGGACGGGGCGGCTGGCCGGGCGGGGGGCCGACCCCCCCACCTCCCTCCCGGATGGCACGGCTGGCCGGGCGGGGGGGCTGACCCCCCCCCCCCCCACCTCCCTCCCGGACGGGGTGGCTGCCGGGCGGAGACGCTCCTCACTTCCCAGATGGGGTGGCTGCCGGGCGGAGAGGCTCCTCACTTCTCAGACGGGGTGGTTGCCAGGCAGAGGGTCTCCTCACTTCTCAGACGGGGCGGCCGGGCAGAGACGCTCCTCACCTCCCAGACGGGGTCTCGGCCGGGCAGAGGCGCTCCTCACATCCCAGATGGGGCGGCGGGGCAGAGGCGCTCCCCACATCTCAGACGATGGGCGGCCGGGCAGAGACGCTCCTCACTTCCTAGATGTGATGGCGGCTGGGAAGAGGCGCTCCTCACTTCCTAGATGGGATGGCGGCCGGGCGGAGACGCTCCTCACTTTCCAGACTGGGCAGCCAGGCAGAGGGGCTCCTCACATCCCAGACGATGGGCGGCCAGGCAGAGACACTCCTCACTTCCCAGACGGGGTGGCAGCCGGGCAGAGGCTGCAATCTCGGCACTTTGGGAGGCCAAGGCAGGCGGCTGCTCCTTGCCCTCGGGCCCCGCGGGGCCCGTCCGCTCCTCCAGCCGCTGCCTCCCGGGCGGCGCTCGCCGGCGCGGCGGCAAAGACTGAGACAGCTCCGCTGCCCGCTGAACTCCATCCTCCCGGCGGTCGGGCGGCGGCGGCTGCGGTCGGTCGCGGCAGCGGCTCCGCTTCATATCTGCAGCTGGGGCCCGCGGGCGTCAGCGCCGCGACTGTCCTGGCTCCGCACTGCCCCGGGCCGCAGCGCAGCCGCGCCAACCACCAGCCGCGGCCACCATGGCCGGACGGGCTCCCTAAGCCACCGACCCCAGCCCGCGGCGCCTTCGACCCTTCTGGGGCCTCCGGCGCCGCGACTTCCTCTGCCTGAAATTTCTTTTTTCTTTTCCTTTTATTTTATTTTATTTTTTGAGACGGAGTCTTGCTCTGTTGTCTGGGTGGAGTGCAGTGGTGCAATCTCGGCTCACTGCAACCTCTGCCTCCCAGGTTGAAGCGATTTTCCTGCCTCAGCCTCAGCCTCCTGAGTAGCTGGGACTACAGGTGTGCACCACCACGCCCAGCTATCAATATTATTTTTTAAATATGTTATTTTTATTAATAGATTTCTTTTCTTTTCTTTTTTTTTTTAAGACAAAATCTAGGCCAGGCGTGGTGGCTCACGCCTGTAATCCTAGTACTTTGGGAGGCCAAGGCGGGTGGATTGCCTAAGCTCAGGAGTTCGAGACCAGCCTGGGCAACATGGTGAAACCCTGTCTCTACTAAAATACAAAAGAAATTAGCTGGGCATGACAGCATGCACCTGTAGTCCCAGCTACTTGGGAGGATGAGGCAGGAGAATTGCTTGAACCCAGGAGGTGGAGGTTGCAGTGAGCCAAGATTGCGCCACTGCACTCAGCCTGGGCGACAGAGTGAGCTGTTTCAAAAAAAAAATTTGTTTTAACATTTTTAAAAATTAAAAATGGGGTTGAGTGCGGTGGCTCACTGAGCCTGTAATCCCAGCACTTTGGGAGGCCGAGGCGGGTGGATCATCTGAGGTCAGGAGTTTGAGACCAGCCTGGCCAACATGGTGAAACCCTGTCTCTACTAAAAATACAAAAAAGTGGGGGCCAGGCACGGTGGCTCACACCTGTAATCCCAGCACTTTGGGAGGCCGAGGCGGGCAGATCACGAGGTCAGGAGATCGAGACCATCTTGGCTAACACGGTGAAACCCTGTCTCTTAAAAATACAAAAAATTATCCGGGCGCGGTGGCGGGCGCCTGTAGTCCCAGCTACTCGGGAGGCTGAGGCAGGAGAATGGCGTGAACCCGGGAGGCGGAGCTTGCAGTGAGCCAAGATCGCACCACTGCACTCCAGCCTGGGCGACAGAGCGAGACTCCGTCTCAAAAAATAAATAAATACAAAAAAGTAGCCAGGCGTGGTGGTGGGTGCCTGTAGTCCCAGCTTCTTGGGAGGCTGAGGCAGGAGAATCGCCTGAACCCGGGAGGCGGAGCTTGCAGGGAGCTAAGACCACGCCATTATACTCTAGCCTGGGCAACAAGAGCGAAATTCCATCTCGAAAAATAAATAAATAAAAATAAAAATACAAAAACTAGTCTGTAATCTCAGCTGCTTGGGAGGCTGAAGCAGGAGAATTGTTTGAACCCGGGAGGCGGAGGTTGCAGTGAGCCAAGATCACACCACTGCACTCCAGCCTGGATTATAGAGCAAGACTCTGTCTCAAAAAATAATAATAAATAAAAGGTTCACATTTTAAAAATGGTCTGCATCACTTCGTGTGCTTAGATTTTTAAATCTCTTCAGAGATCTGCTATAATATTATTATAATCATTCATTATAATATTTTCTGTAAGAATAATGTCGTAACCAAGGCCTGATTTATTTGCTTGGTGTTCATCAAAATGTGCTCTTGTAATGTAA
This sequence comes from Homo sapiens, assembly GCF_000001405.40. Taxonomy (NCBI): domain Eukaryota; kingdom Metazoa; phylum Chordata; class Mammalia; order Primates; family Hominidae; genus Homo; species Homo sapiens. Next base: position 105,114,604 of record NC_000014.9, read on the forward strand.
ACAATCTTTTTGATATCTGGGATTATTTTCTTCTTGTTGTATATTTCAACTTTCTCTTCTTTTTTTTAAAAAAATAAGCGTGACTCTCAGGGGATGTCTGCACGGGAACCCATGTCTCTGCTGCCCCACAAACACAGCAAGAGCCGCGAGCACGCGAATGCATGGCCAAGTTGGGAGGTCAGAAGGAGGGATGGGACCAAAGGAGGGAGTGTGTGTTTTTTTTTGTTTGTTTTGGTTTTTTTGAGACGGAGTCTCGCTCTGTCGCCCAGGCTGGAGGGCAGTGGTGCGATCTTGGCTCACTGCAAGCTCCGCCTCCCGGGTTCACGCCATTCTCCTGCCTCAGCCTCCCGAGTAGCTGGGACTACAGGTGCCCACTGCCACGCCTGGCTAATTTTTGTGTTTTTAGTAGAGACGGAGTTTCACCATGTTGGCCAGGATGGTCTCCATCTCCTGACCTCGTGATCTGCCTGCCTAGGCCTACCAAAGTGCTGGGATTACAGGCATGAGCCAACACGCCCGGCCAGGGAGTGTGTTTAAGAAGTCACGTGGCACACGGGGTGGAAGCAGAGGTAGATGGTCCGCCTGGGTGCTGAAGGCCCTTTCAGAACACAAAGAGAAATTAGGAGAATGGGCAGTGCAGGTTTTTGGGAAAAGAGCTGGTTTTTGTTGAAAAAGCAGAGGAAACCCCAGACATTGCATGGGTTTAGGCCTTAGCCTCACCACTGTCGAGAGCCTCCTGCCCAGGAGGGCCAAATTCTAACCTCCAATCTGCTTGGTGAGGACCTTAAGATCCTTTCCACCCTGGCAAGCCACCTGCCAGGGTGAGCTGAGAAATCAGCCAGGGGAGCAGAGTCACTTATGGCCAAGAGGAATTGTTCTGGGGTTTGGTTAGTAAGCAGGAGAAAGAGGAGAAGAAAACTGCGTATGGGGGTTGAATGCCTCTAGCAGAAGAAGGTGAGGCATAGAGGCCTCTTACCACTAGGGAACATATTGGAGTCACGCAGCAAAGTATGTTAACAGCAGAAGTTACCCAAGTCACAGAGCACCAACATATGCTATTGGTGGCAGGAATCCGAGCTACCGGTGGTGAGTCTGTAGGGGTCTGCAGCAACCTCAATTCTTGCCTCCTCAGAAGAAAGAATTTGACTGTGGGGCACAAGGCAGAAGGAGAGACCGAGGCCAGTTTCAGAGCAGAGGCAAAGGTTCATTAAAAAGTTTTAGAGCAGGAAGGAAAGGAAGGAAAGTGCACTTGGAAGAGGGCCAGGCGGGCGACGTGGAGGGCAAGTGCCTCTTTTCTCTCCTTGATTGGGTTTTCTCATTGCTTTTCTATTTTATTTTGATTTCATCCCCAAATAATTAGCTCCTAGACTTACTTATTTGTTCTAACCAACCTGAGTCCGTTCATTTTTGCTTCTGTCTTTACGATCTGACCCTTTGGGATGTGGTCGCCCATCATCCCCATGGCAGGCAGGGAGCCGTTTTGACAGCAGCATCTCCCTCTCTCACTCCCACCTGTGGAGGACAGCCTCGGGACTGGCCCAAATGCCAGCATTTGCTCTCCTGCCTATTTCCCAGGCCGTGGTGAGGGGCTTTTCCTCAGGGTCTTCATGGGGAGAGTCAGGGGATGAGTGCCTCTCTCCTCACTTTGCACTCCTTCCTCTATGTCATGCCAAGGCACTTCAGCGGCTCAGCCTCCAATGATGGAGGTGACTCTGGAGCTCAGGCTTCAATCAACCAACGAAGAAAAATGTTAGAGACACTTCCAGCTTTTTCTTTTTTTTTTTTTTTTTTTGAGATGGAGTCTTGCTCTGTCGCCCAGGCTGGAGTGCAGTGGCGCAATCTCCACTCACTGCAAGCTCCACCTCCCGGGTTCACACCATTCTCCTGGCTCAGCCTCCTGTGTAGCTGGGGCTACAGGTGCCCGCCACCATGCCCGGCTAATTTTTTGTATATTTAGTAGAGACAGGGTTTCACTGTGTTAGCCACGATGGTCTCAATCTCCTGACCTCGTGATCCGCCTACCTCGGACTCCCAAAGTGCTGGGATTACAGGCATGAGCCCCCACGCCCGGCCACTTCCAGCTTCTTGAACTAAAAATATTGAATTCAGAATCTCTTGTAAATGCACACAGCTCAACAGACTCTAATCTTTAAGTTTGTGCTTCCCTCCCAGGTCTAGTGTTTGCAGAAGCCACCCACCCCCACACACACACCCCCAGTCTTCTAACAATATAAATGACAAATCTTGCAAACCTTTTGATGTGTAAGCCTTCTTTTCCCAAATTAGGTTTGTGCTGATACCCCTGGGACATGCCGGGATCTGATTGTAATTGCAGGTTTGGAAGTGGTGAGGTTGGTAGTGGTGGAGTGGGATGGAAATCAGCACCTGCTTGCAAAGTAACCACATCAGGTGAGGTCACAGAGAGGTCTTCAAACAATGCAGGACCAGACCCATCAAACAGGGGCTACTTCTCTTGGTGTGATTGTCAGGGTATGCAGCTCATCGCCCCCCTCCTGATTCTGGGGTCCAACACCTTCCCAGTCCATGCCCTGATTCTCACAGAAGAGACCTGAGGGAGGGTGAAAGTCCGGTCTACATTGGCATTCAGCAAACCTCCCAATAATGCCCTGAGGCTGACCTGAGGGCACACCAGACTCAACAGCCTTAAGAGAGAAGAGATTCTTTCAGTGATGATGGAAACCTTGTTCTCTGACCAGGCCTTGAGCTCAGCATTTGAAAAGCCCAACTGTGTCATCTTGTTTCCTGAGACTCTCCAGTGCAGCTCAGAGCAGCCACCTCAGCCCACAGGCCTGTGCCCCTCCTGCCCGCTGTACTGTGCTGCCATCACCAGACCCACACTGCACAGGAGCTTCACTCTAGGTGAGCACAGGTGGTTACTTAATTAACTGTCTCACCAGGTGCCACGGACTCCAAATATCCCTTCATCCTCATGGCCCCCAAACCCAACCAGGTCATAGAAACCATCCAGAATCTCACCCACCAAGGTCTGTTATCTGCAGTCACTTCTGGTGTCAAATACTGTAGGAGTCAGGATTCAGCTGTGGATAACAAAAACTTATCCTGGCTACTTTGGGTAGAAAGGGATTGAATCAAGGCAGAATGGAGAGAATTAAGGGCACTGTGACAGCAGGAAGAGCAGGGTTTCAGCTGGGCCTCAGCCACGGCTCTCACAGTGGTACTCCAGAATTGTCCTGCTGTGGTAGATTAGAAATGGCCACAGATCCTTTGCAGCTCCTGCAGTCAAGAAGTAGATCCATTTCGCCGCCTCCCCCGACCCCCTCATTAGGGACTGACTTGTGACTAGCTTTGACCAAAGAAGGTATTGAAAGTAAAGCTCTGGAGCTCCTGCTCTGGTGCTCTTGGAGAGCTGGGACAATGTGAACAAGTATTGGTGAGGCTAAGAAACTGGGTAAGTGTTGAAGCACCCCAGCCCCAAACCAATCAACTGATAAACCTGTGTGTGATGCCAATAAGAACCAGCTAGATCCCAGCTGACCCACCGACTAACTACAGAACCAACAGCTGAGCACAGATGCAAGCGTGAACCCAGCCAAGCCCAGCAGAACCATCCTGCTGAGCCCAGCCCAAATTGTCAACCCACAGAACCATGACCTGAATGCATGGTCATTGAGCTTTGGGATGATTCATTACACAGCAAAAAGATATCCAATGCGCCTCTCCAGGAAGCTTCCATTCCTGCCACAATCCAGAAACTGGGGAAACCATAAGATGCCCCTATGTTTGGCTCCAGGACCATATTCCCCTAGGCAAGACAAATAACAGCAAAATGAATATCCTATGACATGAGGTCTAGGGGTGAGACTCTGAGGCTTCTGTTACTGCCGCCTCAGAAATGCTGACCATCTCCCTGTCTGGGCTTGCTAGTGGAAAACGAGGGAAGCAACAATGACAGATTCTACCTCATTTTTCCCATCCAACTGTCACCAGAGGGTGTCTGTTGGAGGGGCACACTCCATGGAGCCCATGGCAGCTGCTTATCTAATCCACAGCCTCAACCCAGCCCTGTCAGTACTGAACCAGATTTTCATTTCCACCAGTTTGACTCATGGGCCTCACTTGGTCTGAATTTGGTGTGTGTATGTGTGGGGGGAGGGATGGGCTATCATTCGTGGTCCTCCTCAACAACCCCACCACAAAAGCACAGAAGCCACAAAGAAAGACTGACAGACCTGACTACACAAAAATTCCAAACTTCTGATCAGTTAAGAGAACCACAGTGAACAAACTGAGGGACGCTTCTTGCAACACACATCCCAAAACGATGGACAGATTCAACCATAAGCATTTAAGACTTTTACTCAGCAAAGACTCCACCAGGAACTCTGAATTTGCAAAAAAAATATATATACATTTGCAATATACATGATGGAAGAAATGACAGATTTATCCATGTAAAAATTAAAAATATCTCATGGCAAAAGACATTATAGACAAACATAGCCAGTGCAACCTGTTCTACCAGCTTGGGGTACAAATAAGGTCACATATTTTTGTTCTTCATAGGAGCCCCACCCACTCCCAGTGCTGGAAAGGGAACTCTATTCCCTCTCTGGGTGAGCTCACACAGAGCACAGCCTCTGTGCAGAGCAGCGCCACTGCCCCCACCGACATCTTCAGACGTGTTCGCTCTTGACACGGTACACCCACAGTGATAGAGCCATCCCTCAAAAAAACCTGCACACAGGCGGCTCCACAGCAACAGCTTGAAATGTCCGTCACTGGGGCACCGGGAGAATGTTCTGTGCACAGGTGCTTCCTGACAACGGAATCCTTGCTGTGGTTGGGAAGACTGGAGTGGACCCCTAGGCCCCAGGCAAAAGGCTGGTTTCTCCTGCCCAAGACGCCTGAACAGGCAGGGCCGAGAGCTCTGTTTATAACCCCAAGCGCCAGAAGTGCTGATTTTCTAAAATAAGGGTAAAATGCATAGCCAAGTTGGGAGGTCAGAAGGAGGGATGGGGCCAAATGCAGATGAGCCGATGTGGAACCGCAGGGGCAGGGCTGTCGGACCCAGCTGCGTCTGGGAGGTACTGGGCTCTGGGGACACAGCCAGGCCACAGGCTCTGCCCAGACAGGGACTGGAACTGGGCTCTGCACAAGGCTGGGCCTGTGAGGGTCTGTCCCGCAGGAAGGGGGACAAGAGAGGGCAGAGGCGCCCAGCAGGGGCACCCTTCCAGAGTTGGCATAGCATCCTTGAGAATCCTGTCTGCTCTGGGGAGGCTCATGTGCTTCTTGTCCATGTATGTGCTCACAGGACATTTGGAGACCAAATTCATGCCAAGGAGAGAGGTGCGGGCCTGGGACCTCTCCCCCTTGTGTGCAGGTGGGAGCTTCATGCTGAGTGACCCGGAAAGGGGTCAGGATGCTCTGTCAGCTCTGTGGCCATGGCCATCCATGTAGCCCTTTTATGCATTTCTTACCTGCAAAATGGGAATCATAAGAGTATCACCAGCAAAACACCTGTGGTGCTGCGGGTTAAGTGAATTATTTTTGCAAAGTTTTCAGAGCAAGATCTGGCATAGAGTGAACACTGTGAAGCATTTGTTAAAGGAATGAAGAAATATGACGTGGTTAGCTAGTCTCTGAGGCCGAGCTCTGGAGTAAAATTCCTTTCCCCATTCAGAGGAAAGGATCCACCCACTAAGAGGTGGGAACATCTACAAGGCATAGAGGTGCAGGGATGAGCTACACAGGACAAAACCGTTCCAGTATCCCATTCACTAAGCCCTCTCATTCTTTCTCAGCTACACCAGAGGTGTGCTGGCGTCTTGACCTCAGTCAGTGAGGGCCACTGAGTGCATGTCTCGGCTGTCTAACCAAGCAAACCAGTGACCCCTCCTCACTGGTGAGCAATCACCCACAGGCCAGCAGCTCCAATAAGGAAATACACATGGATAAGCGTGACCGGATCCACCCTTGGAAGCTGCTATGGACTGAATATTTGAATCCCCCCAAATGCATATGTTGAAGTCTTCACCTCCAAGGTGATAGCCTTAGGAGGTGAGTTGGGGAGGTGAATACATCATAAGGGCACAGCCTTCATGAGTGGGTTTAGTGCCTTTTAAAAGAGGCCCTAGGAAGCTGTTCACCCTTGGCCACGTGAGGACAGAGTGAGAAGGCACTGTCTATGAAGAACAAGCCCTCAACAGACACGGAATCTGCCAGCATTTTGATCTCAGACTTTCAGCCTCCAAAACTGTGAACAATAAATATCTGTTGTTTATAAACCATTTAGTCTATGGTAGCCTCTTAAAGCAGACCAAACAGACGAAGAGAGAAGCCATCCCCACACTCAACCCAAGAGTTTCTACCCATATGAATTTTGGGGTGTCAACCATCTCTCATTGGGTTTAGACTTTATATGTGTCCCCATGGGGCATGCTGGGCTCTGCCTTGAGTTACGAATCTAGAGGCAAAAAGGGATGCTGAGGCTGTTGTGAGAAGGGAGAATCCCCCAGCAAACAACTGCCTTGGGGGAGGTGATTACAGGGCAGGCATGAAGTTAGGGGGTGCATTCTGCAAGACTGCCCTTACTTCTGACACCCACTGTAGGTTTGGAGGGTTCCCAAGATCACTCTGTGGTTCAACAATTTACCAGAAGGGCCCACAGAACTCACTGAAAGCTGTTATACTCGTGTTTATGGTTGATTACAGCAAAAAGATACGGATTAAAAGCAGCCAAAGGAAGAGACACTGGGGTCAGGGGCCAGCAGACACCATGTGCAAGCTTCTAGGTGTCCTCTCCCTACAGAGCTGTAGATGGTGTGACTTCTTGGTATTGATGTGTGACAGTCTGCATGGAGTATGGCCAAGCAGGGAAGCTCACTTGAGCCTCAGTGTCCAAAGTCTTTATTGGACTCCATGGTTGATTGCCTTTGTGGCCAACCTCAGTCTCTGGTCCCTCTGGACATTAGGCAATCCCATGTGACCTGAGACTCCCACCATAAATCACATTGTAAGCGTAGACTCTCTGGTGTGGCCCAAAACCTCCACAGAAACAAAGACCCTCTTATTAGGCTGGACATCCTAAGGACCTGGAGATTAGCACCCAGGAGCTGAAGGCAAAGACCGGACTTCCTGTTGGGCAAGGTTAAAAATCTGTACCACTCACCTGTCAAGCAAAGGAAGGCCAGTCTACAAAGGAAGGCCAGTGTAGACACAGTCTACACAGGGGAGGAGAGGCTACTTTGCTAGCCAGGGAGTCTGGAGGGCGGTTGGAAGTTCAAGTTCATCAGACTCATTCCAACCCAGGTAATATTCTCATTCTGATTCTCAGGACCCTATTCTTCTCCAGATGATGCAAACTTTCACATACATGACCTGGTGAGGCTCTAGATTCAGCTTTCCTTGGACTTCTGCAACCTCCAAGGCCAATTTGGGGTGACTTTCAACTAAGTCAGTGCTGAGGCTACACGAGGTAAGTGGTTAGGGCCACGATAGATGCTCCATTTTTGGTCATTTGTAAATGAAGACGTTTGGCAATAGGATTGGCACTGACTTTCATTAAGTTCCCCAGTGCAGGCATCAGCAGCTGCCCAATCCTCATTCCTCATAGTCATCATTCACACCTGTGCTAAAAAGGTGAGAGCAATGGCCACATTTCTTCACCATCCCCGGATCCACACTCTGTACCACGTGGCCTTGCAATGCTTCCTACCAACAGGGGTAGTCTCTTTCCCCATGTCTTGTATCTGGTGCGTGGACCCCAGAACTGTGTCCACAGAGTGTGTTAGACACGTCACGTAACAGTCCCAGGACTGGATCTCAAGACCCCTTGAGCAAGTGCAGTCCTGTCCACTGAAAATTACAAAATGTTGTTGAAAGAAGATCTAAATGGAGAGACATCCCATGTTCATGGATTGGGCAACTCAACACGGTTAAGATAGCGATAATTCCCACATTCATCTACAGATTGATTGTGGTCCTTACCAAAATTCCAGCTGGCTTTATTTTGTTTTGTTTTGTTTGCTTTCCTAGAAATTGGCATGCCAATAAAGTACCCCAAATAGCCAATATAATCTTTAAAAAAGGTCAAAGCTGGAAGACTCACACGTCCTAATTTCAAAACTTACTACAAAGCCACAGTAATCAAGACAATGTGGTACTAGAAATATGATAGACATACAGATAAACGGAAAAGAACTGAAAATCCATAAGTAATCTTTTACATTTATGGTCAATCGATTTTTCAACAAGGAGCCAGCCCAGAGAATGCAAGAAAACACTCAAATCTTATATATTCCCTAAAGGACTTATATTAACAATATGTGTTGCCTGTATCATACAACTAAGTAAGAAGACAAACATCCCAATTTAAAATGGCTGAAAGATTTGAAGAGCTATTTCTCCAAAGGACATATTCAGATGCTTTCAGAAATGCTTGGCAACATTAGTTAATAGAGAAATGCAAATTATAACCACAAGATACCACTAGGCACACCCTGGGGTGCCTGTAATCAGAAAGACGGATAAGAGTTGGAGAGGCTGTGGAGAAGCTGGAACCCTCGCGCATTGGTAACAGGAATGGAAAATGGTGCAGCAACTGCTTTGGAGACAGTTTGGCAGGTTCTTGGATTGTTAAACATAGAGTCACCATATGGCCCAGCAATCCCACTCCTAGGTATCCACCCAAGAGAAATGGAAACATATCTGCACATAGAAACTTGTACATGAATATTTATAGCAGCTTTATTCATAGTAGCCTCCAAACTGGAAATAACCCAAGTGTCTATCCACTGGTGAATGGAGAAACAGTGTGGTCTATTCATGCAGTGGGATATGATATGGCAATAAAAAGGAACAAAGTTCTGATACATGGAATAACATCACATTATGCTGAGTGGAAGCCATCAGACACAAAAGACCACAGATCTTGTGATCCCACTGATACAAAATGTCTGGAAAAGGCAAATCTACAGAGACAGGAAATGAATGGAATGGTTCAGTCCCCGGGGACCATGGGTGGGAACAGGGAGTGACTGCAAGGGTGTGCAGCCTCCTTTTGGGGTGACGGAGGTGTTCTAAGCTTAGCGTCGTTACCATTGCATGACTCTCCATTTGTGAAAAGTAATTGAATTGTATGCCAGAAATGAGTGCATTTTATCAGACGGGATCAGGCGCGTTCAGGGTGGTATGGCCGTAGATAAGAGTGTATTTTATGGTATGTGAAATATATGTTAATAAAGCTGGAAAGAAAGACAGGAAGGAAAGAGAGAAAGAAGAAGACAGGGCAGCGGTGATCACTCCTCCCTCTGTTCCTGCCGTGCTGCTATGGGAACGAGCCCAGGCTAGAGTGCTGGAGGATGAGAGGCATTGTGGCCCGGTCACTCCCATTGCCCCAGCTGACCTTCAGCCACCCCCAGAGGTGATAGTGAGACCACCCTAAACTAGTCAACCCTCAACTGACCTGCCAGGTGGCCACAGGCTCATAAGCAAGCTCAGCAAAGACCAGGTCCAGATCAGCAGAACCCCAGCTGAGCCAGAGCCTTTCAAGCAACAGTAAGTGCCCACTTAATGTCTTCAGCCACGGAGGTGCACGGCTGTGACACAGCTCTGGCTAACTGATGTGCCACCCCAACAGCCTATCGCAGCATTTCATTGCAGACAACGCCAGGTGGTAATTTGGGTGAATGTTCGCAGGGGTGATACAGGCCATCGCATTCCATTTTCCATCAGAATGAGGCCATCACCACGTTCGAGCCCAGTCTTGTGAACCAACCCCAGATTATCATAGAGTCGGACTCCGTTTTTGCTCTTTGACTGCTGACAACTTTCAGGTAAGCCCCTCCCCAGCAACCTTTTGCCCTGCGTCTGAGCAAGCCAATAAGAAATCCTGTGTTGTCTCTCCCTTGGCAGGAAGTTCAAACCGCTCAAGCTCCAGCCCCGGCCCCGGCCCCAATAAATATCAAAGCAATGCACGCCCTCTTTGCTCAGCCATTCGGGACTGCTTGTGCCTGCCCTGCCTCCTCAGAAAGCTCATTATCTGAGCAACACAACTTCCCATACACTCTGAGGGTGTGAGCCTTCTTCAGTCTCAACATCTGGACCCCTGGGTGAAGCAACTGCAGAATGCAGGTCGGGATTCTCCACAGAGCACAGATCAGAGTCCTTCTCTTGGATGCACTCCTGATGCTCAGTGTGGATCAGCTCGGGTGCAGACAGGAAACAGAAACCACTCTGCGTGTTTCTAACAGAAAGGGTTTAATACAGAGAATCTGTACAGAATACAAGGGGATAGGGGTGTTGCTCAAAGACCCTGACCCATGGGAAGTAGCTACGACGCCTGTAGGAACCTGAGCTAGACATCCCACCTGCTGCACAGCCACGACCAGGGATGGGCTTTGGGTGGCCTCCACCCTGCAAATCCTCCATCATCTGAGCCTGAGCTCCTCTGCTACGACGTCACTTTGAGACAGCTGCTGCTGCTGCCAAGGTCAAAAGCAGAGTGGTCCTTCCTAGCCCCTGCATTCTAACCCCACATAAGTGCCTCCAAGTACAGAACCCCATGGAAATCCATCTGGCAGTGGGTCTGGGGAATGTAGTTTTCAGACTTCTAGCCCCAGTGGTATGGAGGAGAGTGAGAAGAGCTGGTAAGGGCTGAGTAGCCAGAAACAACACCTGCTATAAATCCTACAGCCACACAGGCAGAAAAATCAAGTTACCACAAGGAGTGAAACAACACTGACCACAAGCTTCTCCACAGCAATATGCAAGGCTGAAGGACAGCAGTGATTGAAGCATTTTATACCTGTCTTTTCAAACATGTCAGAATCCAGGTATTAGGGCACCTATGAGTTCTTATTTCTCACACACACAGTTGGAAACTGGGCACGGTGGTGCACACCTGTGGTCCCAACTACTCAGGAGGCCGAGGCAGGAGGATCACTTGAGCCCAGGAGTTCGTGGCTGCAGTGAGCCATGATCATGCCACTGCACTCCAGCCTGGGTGACAGAGAAAGACCCCATCTCTAAAACAAACAAACAAACAAACAAACAAACCCACTTGGTATTGAAATGTAACAGCAAAATTGAAGTGAAGCCCGTGTAGGAAATCCTGGATTGCCCAACAAACAGTATCCTACACACACCCTTAGGCACAAGCAAAACAGGGACAAGAAAAGGGATTTTTTTTTTTTGAGACAAAGTTTTGCTCTTGTTGCCCAGGCTGGAGCACAATGGCACAATCTCAGCCCACTGCAACCTCCGCCTCATGGGTTCAAGCGATTCTCCTGCCTCAGCCTTGCGAGTAGCTGGGATTACAGGCAACCCCCACCATGCCCAGCTAATTTTTGTATTTTTAGTAGAGACAGGGTTTCACTATGTTGACCAGGCTGGTCTTGAACTTCTGACCTCAGGTGATCCACCTGCCTTGGCCTCCCAAAGTGCTGGGATTACAGGTGTGAGCCGCCATGCCCAGCCGAAAAGGGAACTTTTATGAAAAGTAATTTGACGTTGATATTCATCCATTCGTGCATGCAGTATCTGCTGGGTGTCTGCAACATACCAGGTCACACCTGGGGACAGGACAGGGGAAATCCAGTCTGTCTCTGCCCTACTGGACCTTGGGTTCTGGGGGCAGACAGACAATAAACAGCTCCAGCAATGAGAGGCACCGTGGGGCTGTGAATCACAGAGACACTCCCGCGACCAGGGAGGGGTGCTGGGCAACAGGCAGAGGCTTTCAGACGCGAGGGAGCAGGCAAGTGCACTCACCTGGAGGCCGCCCAAGGAGCCAGCAGGAGCCAGGGCAGGGTGGAGGTCGGGGAGCTGGACCGTGGGGTGACCTTTGAGGACTTGGGCTTTTTCTCTGAATAAGGTGGAAAGCCACTGGAAGGTTCTGCTATTTCCAGAGGAGAGGAAGAAGGATGAGGAAGGTGAGGTCTCCCTGCCCCTCTAGCTGCTCAGGTTAGGATGCACTTGGTCAGGAAAGGCCGCTGTAAGGAGGGCCCCTCTGTTTCCCATGCTTGGGCCCTGAGGGGCTGCTCGGCCAGGGAACCGCGTGCGGAGAAAATTGACACTGAGCATCAGCTGCACTTCAATAATTTGGTTGAACTGCACGGAATTGCTGACAGGTGGCTGTTTTGACGAAAAAGAGGCAATTTCATACCATTCAATCAAGCAGGATGAAAGGCCGCCCAGCTGCGGAGGTTAGGTGGGTGAGCAGAATGCGATGGACTGGGCCCTGGCCAGCAAGGACTGACAGGAGGGCGAGAACCAGGTGGGGGAAGTCGCCTCCTCGTCCCTCACTATGGAGTTGCTTGACTCTGTCCAAAGTCCATTAGTTCAATGCCTGCAGCCATTTGTATTTAGACAACGGCACAAAAAGTGTCCTTTAACATGACACTCCATGCTATAGGACAGGAACTCACACAGAACCCTCTTTCCATTTGTTGACACTCAGATAAATCGCCCACAGGATGCCTGGAAAAGCCGTGAGGATGACGCTCGTAGTGCAGAGCCAGGTGCAGGACCGGGAGCTGTTTCACAGACAGCCCCATGGCTCTGCCCCAAATCCCACAGCCTGCCTAGCGGGATGGGGAAGACAGGAATGCCCGTACTGTAGTAGAAGTCAGCAGCTCTTTTTGGAAGTAGTTTGGCAGCGCTTATTCAAAATGCTTCATTGTCCTGCAACCCGGCAATTTCATGTCTAGGAAACAGCAGGTTGGCTTGGATGACTCAGGCAACACCTCCATCATTAGCAGAGCTCGTGTCAGTTTTCTAAAAGACAGAAGCCAGAACAAGTAAGGGAATTTAGCAAGGTTGTGGGATATAAGAGCATTAAACAAAAATCAACCGCTTTTTTTTTTTTTTTTTTTTTTTTCGGAGACAGATTTTTGCTCTTGTCGCCCAGGCTGGAGTGCAATGGAACGATCTCAGCTCACTGCAACCTCCGCCTCCCAGGTTCAAGAGATTCTCCTGCCTCAGCCTCCCAAGTAGCTGGGATTACAGGTGCCCACCATCATGCCCGGATAATTTTTGTATTTTTAGTAGAGACAGGGTTTCACCATGCTGGCCAGGCTCGTCTCGAACTCCTGACCTCAGGTAATCCGCCTGCCTCAGCCTCCCAAAGTGCTGGGATTATAGGTGTGAGCCACCACGCCCAGATAAATCAATTGTATTTTTATTTACTTGCAAGAAACAATTGGAAATTGAGAAATTTTAAAACACCACCCACAAAGGCATCACCTAGTATGAAATACTAAGGATAAATTTGACAAAAGAGACGTCAGGTGTATAAACTGAAAACTACGAAGCATGAACTGCACACCTAAAGATGGTTAGGATGGTACATCTTATAGTATGTGATTTTACCACAATAAAAAATTAAATAGAATAAAAGGACAGAAAACAAAACAAAAATCCCAAAATATTAACTGTGGTTGTTTCTGAGTAGTGGGATGATGGATTTTTCCCCCTTAGTTTCTGTATTTTGTCCTTTTCAAATCCTCTCTAATGCACAAGTGTTACTTTTGCAAAACAAAGTAGCAAATGTAAGAAGCCACGTGTGCTCCTTTCTGCTTGCAGTATAATTTCACAAAGCCCTGACTCTTCCACAATGTGTAGCTCTCCAGAAAGATGCTTTGAAGACAAAGCAGGACAGAGCGCACGGCCCCCACATCTCTTGCCTGAGTCACTACATTCCTTCAAAGATAACATGACCCCTGCCAGGAGCGGTGCCTCACACCTGTAATCCCAGTGCTTTGGGATGCCAACGTGGGATGATCATTTGAGGCCAAGGGTTTGAGACCAGCCTGGGCAACATGGCAAGACCCTGTCTCTATTTTAAAATTTTTATTTTTATTTTTGAGAGAGTCTAGCTCTGTCACCCAGGCTGGAGTGCAGTGGCAGGATCTTGGCTCACTGCAACCTCTGCAGTTCAAGTGATCTTGGGTTCAAGTGATTCTCCTGCCTCAGTCTCCTGAGTAGCTGGGATTACAGGCATGCCCCATCACACCCAGCTAATTTTTATATTTTTAGTAGAGATGGGGTTTCACCATACTGGCCAGGTTGATCTCAAACTCCTGACCTCAAGTGATCCACCTGCCTCGGCCTCCCAAAGTGCTGGGATTACAGGCATGAGCCACAGTGCTTGGCCTTAAAATTTTTTTTAAGTAGCTGGGCATGGTGGTGCATGCCTAGCTGCTTGGGAGTCTGAGGCAGGAGGATCACTTGAGCTCAGGAGTTTGAGGTTACACAGTGAGCTATGATCAGACAACCCTGGAGAATCGGCTCTGAGTCCCCTCATGGTCACCATGATTGTTGATTAAATTAAAAAAAATCAATCACTGCGCTCCAGCCTGGATGACAGTGCAAGACTCTGACTCTAAAAAAAAAAAAAAAAAAATTATTGCCTCTTCCTACACATAAGATGACCAACACCTGAAGGGGTTCGTGATGATGCCGCTGTCATCTATAAGCAGATGTACTCTACCACCAGACCTCGACGGGACTCTGCTTCAATGTCACTCCCGAGCATGTTTGATGTGCTCTTGTGCATATTAAGCCCCCACTCTGTACACAAGCAGTGAGCTGAAACACTGTGTTGGAGCAGCCTGACAGAGCTGCTCCCAGGCTATAGGCCTCAATCTGTAGTCCTCAGTAAGACTTCAGAATAAAACTAACTTTAGTTATTTGAAAGCTTGATTTTTTCTCCTTTAGTCAACAATCATGGTGACCATGAGGGAACTCCAAGCCAACTGCCCAGAGTTGTCCAAAACATCACCAGGACCCGGTGCCTTGGTACCAGCATGGGCCCTTTGAGTCCCTCTGGGTCCCCAGTGGTTAAAGACCACTGAGTGAGTCTCTCCTCACACATAGCTGGTGGTCTTGAGATTTATTTACACATAGTTGCTACGACTCCTTGATGAAGGGGGAAGTTCTTCCTTGCGACTTCTGTTTCTTGAGAAGGGGATTTCTCCTAGCTGAAACACTAGGAAGAAATGATCACGTGAGGTGTCTGATTGGCTAGGTTGTGCCCGTGCTCCCCCTTTCCGTTTGACTCTGTAAGTAAACCTCAGCAGGACAGAAGCTCTTAAAAATCTATGAGAGTTTGACCTGAGTCAACTCCAAAGACCGGGAATATTTGCTCCTTCCAGCTGGATTCTGATTTGGCAACCCTCGGTGATTAGAGGGCTCGTGGAGGTGTTGGAGGTGCAATCCTTGCAATGCACAGAGGTCCCATAGGAAATTCCTTGTCACAAGCAATTGACAATCGGCTCTTCTGAGGCCCCACAAGTTTTTAGATAACCAGAGGGAGAAAGAGAGACAATGATTTAACACTGAAATGACCAAAAATTGGATTTTCAAACATTAAGGCATGCCAGGTTTTCTGGGACTGCAGCCAGCTACATACTATTGCCCATTCTTGTCCACTTGTTTAAACTGATGGACAAATAACATCAAAGAAAATTCAGAGCTCAAGCAACCAATCTGCAGCTAGAGTTATTAACATGTAGAGTCTTCTAAGTTCTCTCTCTTTTTTTTTTCTTTTCTTTCTGAATACGTTGAATCTGCTGACTTTTCTTTTCTTTTTTTTTTTTTTTTTTTGAGACAGAGTCTCGCTCTGTTGCCCAGGCTGGAGTGCAGTGGCACAATCTCGGCTCACTGTAAGCTCCGCCTCCCAGGTTCACGCCGTTCTCCTGCCTCAGCCTCCCGAGTAGCTGGGACTATAGGCACCCGCCACCATGCCTGGCTAATATTTTCTATTTTTTTAGTAGAGACGGGATTTCACTGTGTTAGCCAGGTTGGTCTCGATCTCCTGACCTCGTGATCCGCCCACCTTGGCCTCCCAAAGTGCTGGAATTACAGGCGTGAGCCACCATGCCCAGCCTGAATCTACTGACTTTTCTAGTGCTTTCCAGATAAAACTCATTGTTTATGGTGTTACTAGTTCAAGACTACCTGGAGATTTTGTTTTTCTTACAGAATTCAGCCAGTTCTAACTAAAATGTAGACACTGAATTTTTAACCCTAAACTCATGTAAAACTAAAAAAAAAAAAATGTAAAAGGGGTGTTAAAAATCAAACTGCCATGGAAACTGCTTTACCCAAAATTTGGGTTCACAGCCTTCATTACATTACTCATTAAAGCAAATAAAGTTTAGCCACGTGAACATGTCCCAATTTTGTCAGAAATGTAACTTGGGGCCAGGCGTGGTGGCTCACACCTGTAATCCCAGCACTTTGGAAGGCCAAGGCGGGTAGATCACTTGAGGTAAGGAGTTCAAGACCAGCCTGACCAACCTAGTGAAACCCCATCCTCACTAAAGATACAAATATTAGCTGGGCGTGGTGGTGGGTACCTGTAATCCCAGCTACTCGGGAGGCTGAGGCACAAGATTCGCTTGAACCTGGGAGGTGGAGGTTGCAGTGAGCCAAGATTGTGCCACTGCACTCCAGCCTGGGCAAGAAGAGCGAGAGAGTCTGTCTCAAAAAAAAAAAAAAAAAAGTGTAACTTGGATCCAAACATCTTTTATAAACCAGTGAGTTTCTTATTAATGTCTCATGACTAAAATTCTAAAATGAAAGCTGTAAGACATTTGTGTGTGTGTATGTGTTTGATGTGTTTACAAATATGTACATTTATTATATGTTGTGTCTACGTAGTACCAAATGACTTATAAATAAATGAGTGCTCATAAATTAGTAAGCCCAAATATTTTTGAAGTTCATCTGACTTAAGTAAATCTCTAAGAAATAAGATGGGTTTGAAATTAGTGGTAAAATAAAAGATAGAAATGTCTTCGGAATTGTCAGCATATGTTTTTGCCTGGGTTGAGTGGTCAGACAGGTTTATATGAGCTAATAAATATTTAAGATGTCAGGGTTTAGCATGAAGGCTATAAAACTATAAACCCAGCCAGAAACAGAATGATCTTTATGTAATTTTTTATAAGAAAAATTATTTCATATTGTTGGTTTAATAAAAACAGCTAAATCTTCTGAGTTATCAGAAAAATAGCCATATATATTTAACTTTAATGTTCTTACTTAGGTGAACACCTAATATTCACAGGCTGTAAAAATGGTTAGCAGGAAAATAACTTATAAAATGATGATTCACTTTGTCTAATATCTCAGTTTTTATAATTAATCTAGCCAAAGACCTTATCTTGAGGGTCTAGAAAAGCAATTTACTAAATAAGTAAATGTCAATGGGATAAATGCCTATAAATAAACTTTTCATGTTTGAAATCTTAAATTAAATGTCTCCATTTCCAACTAAGAAAAATTATGTTACATGTTTCTAAAAATTATAATATAAGCTGTGCATGGTGGCTCATGCCTGAAATCTCAGTACTTTGGGAGGCTGAGGCGGGCAGATCACCTGAGGTCAGGAGTTCAAGACCAGCCTGGCTGACATGGCAAAACCCCATCACTACAAAAATACAAAAATTAGCTGGGCATGGTGGCATACACCTGTAGTCCCAGCTGTTTGGGAGGCTGAGGTGGGAGAATCACTTGAACCTGGGAGAAGGAGGTTGCAGTGAGCCGAGATCATGCCACTGCACTCCAGCCTGGGTGATAGAGCGAGACTCCATCTCAAAAATAAAATTATAATATGGTTCTCATCAATAAAATTCTAATATGTGACAGACAATTCAAGATTTCTGGCTTCCTAGGTTTTTACTAAATTTAAGTTTACTAAGAGTTAAAAATTCTAATTTATATATGATTCTGTATATAAATGTGCCTAAAATGTGTTTTTAATTTAAAAATTATTTAAAAGGCATAAAAATATGTTATTTATTAAGAAAAAATAATTTTTGTCTAATTTTCAGGTTTTTAAAAATATGAAACAAAATTAAAAGAAGCCAGCAAGTAGGAGGGAGAGATGTAAAGAAGCTTACGGATATGAAGTTATATTTTTGGTAAGAAAAGTTTAAAAAAGAGAGAGAGAATAATTTTGTATGAGAAAGAATCTTGTATGGTGAAGTTTTTGTCCTAAAGGAAAATGACTGATTATAGGACAAAGCAAAAAGTCCACACATAACTTAAATGGCCTGTGTAAATTGTGATAAGGTTCATGAAAAGAAAATTTTATAAAAGGAATTTTGTATGTGATTAAGTTAGCTATAATTTTGAATAATTATTTATAACAATCTTTCTAAGGTTTGAGTTTTGATATTAAAAATACACTACTACAAAACTAAAAATTGGTTCCCTGTATTAGAACAAAGTTTTCTTAAAGTCTTGATTTGCTCTTAGTAAAATTATAAGAGGTTTTGATTCTTATCTGTTTCTTTTCTTAAACTTCTCAAATTTACATATCAGAAGTTCAACTTTTGCCATGTGATCTGCAGCCATGTATCATTGCCTTCTGTTCCTTTTCCCTTGAAAAGGTGTATCTTTTTGTTTGGCTGGGATTATAACTCTCTCCTTCAATCTTTTCATCAACTCCTGTTCTAACTTTGCTATTGTGGTCTGATGCTTAAGTGCTTATCTTCACAGTTTAGAAAGCAATGTTTCCTCTAGTATAACTGGATTCTGTGCTGTTGGCTTTTCTTTTTGTTTCCTTTCTTTTTCAGACATGGTCTCACTTTGTCACCAGGCTGGAGTGCAGTGGCTTGATCACATTTGGCTTTTCTTTTTCTGTGTGTGTGTGTGTGTGTGTGTGTGTGTGTGTGCAGATAGGGTCTTGCTATATTGATCAGATTAGTTTCAAACTCCTGGCCTCAAGGGATCCTCCTACCTCAGCTTCCTAAAGTGTTAGAATTACAGTGTGAGCCACTGTGCCTGGTTGGCTTTTCTTAATATGTCTGAATTGTTCAGTGTAACCAGGATACTTCCCACGCCGTTTCTAAGAGCCATGTATTCCCCCGTTCAAGTTACTAGTTTTCTTGTTTACACTCTCCTAGAATGTAGTGTACACTGATTACCCTGGACGCATTCTTCCTGTGTCAGATTAAGTACAAATGCCCTTTCTTAATGAGGTTGATTTCTAGGTTACCTAAATGGGTTTCCCATAAGGAGAAGCAATCACACATTACAGGAGGTTTTTCCTTACCTTTTTAGTAACTGGCCTAAATCACACACACACACAAGATTTTACATTTTGTCGTGATGATTTCTGTGTTGTCTTTATTAGTTTTTTGATTACTTAGAAGAACTGAGCTTTGAAAGGGTTAAGGCTTTTACATCCATGTAACTTTTGTATTGCCTTTGAGGTCTTAATTATCACTCTGGTTAAACAAATAACTATTATTTTTCAATGACCTGTGATTCTGTTTTGATCAAGTGCTTTAAACCTTTTGACATTTTTTACAGGTTTCTCCAGGACCAAAATCCTGAATTAAGCCTTTTTGAATTACATGATTAGACTTATGTGGTAAACTGTATGGGAAACATTGTCAAATGGTAAGTGATGCTAGACCTTCTTTCAATTACATTTATGGGTATATTATTGATATCAATGTTCCAAAATTATGTAAATTTAAAAAACCAAATATCAGTCATAACTTTGTTATATTAAAACCTGTTCTAAACCTATGTTTACATCGATGTTATTAATGTGAGTATTTTAAAGACTGCGTAAAATTTATAAAAGCCAGATAGTCCTCATGTGACACAGTCAGTCATGATTCTTATTGTTATCTTAAAATGCTGCAGGTAACAAAAATAACTACATTTCCTTGTACTGTGGGAACTTTTATCAAATTTTAACCATGACTAATCTAAGTTTTATCGTTCAAAGTTATTGTTCTAAATTCTTCTCTACAAACATTTACAATCAGCTCTAGTCCAAAATTTCTTTTCATAAAAAAGACTCTAATAAGTGTGAGTACAGAAAAAGGGGAAAAATAGTACAATTAATATAAAAATAGGCCGTCTCAAAAAAAGAAAAGAACACAGATCATCTCAACATCATTAATCATTAGAGAAATGCAAATCGAAACCACAGTGAGATACCACCTCCCACCCAATAGGATGGTTGTTATTAAAACAAAACAAAACAAGTTAAGGCTGTGGATAAATTGGAACCTTTGTGCGCTGCTGGTGGGAATGTCGTCTTGGACGGAGGTATGGCAGTTTCTCAAAAAATTAAAAGCAGAATGACCCCAGAATGGATCCCACAATTTTGCTTCTGGGTGTACTCCCAGCAAAACCAAAAGGAGGGTCTCAAAGGGCTGCTTGCACAGTCATGCTCATAGCAGCATTAGGCACGGTAGCCAGGGGCCATCAACAGATGACTGAATGAGCAAAGTGCGGTCTGTGCATCCCAGGAACTATGCTTCTGCCTTAAAAGGAAGGAAATTCTGCCATATGCAACAGCGTGGATGAACCTTGAGAACATGAAGTCAAGCAAAATAAGCCAGGCTCAGAAAGACAAACACTGCTTGACTCCACTCACACGAGGCATCCGGTCAAACTCATAGAGACAGGCAGTAGAATGGTGGATGCCAGGGGCTGCCGGGAGAAGGGAATGGGGAGTTGGTGTTTAATGGGGACAGAGTTTCAGATTTGCCAGATGAAAAACTTCTGGAGACCCAGTGTCATCAGCAATGTGAATGGACTTAGCGCTGTGGAATTATACACTTAAAAATGGTTAAGAGAGGCCGGGCGCAGTGGCTCACGCCTGTAATCCCAGCACTTTGGGAGGCTGAGGCGGGCGGATCATAAGGTCAGGAGATCGACACCACCCTGGCTAACACGGTGAAACCCCGTCTCTATTAAAAATACAAAAAAAAAAAAATTAGCCAGGCGTGGTGGCGGGTGCCTGTAGTCCCAGCTACCAGGGAGGCTGAGGCAGGAGAATGGCGTGAACCCGGGAGGCGGAGCTTGCAGTGAGCTGAGATGGGGCCACTGCACTCCAGCCTGGGCGAAAGAGCGAGACTGCATATCAAAAAAAAAAAATGGTTAAGAGATATATTTTATGTGTATTTATCACAATTGAAATTTTTTTAGGCCAGGTACAGTGGCTCATGCCTGTAATCCCAACACTTTGGGAGGCCGAGGTAGGAGAATCACTTGAGGCCAGGAGTTTGAGACCAGCCTGGGCAACATAGGAAGACCCCCATCTCTACAAAAAATTAAAAATTAGCTGGGTGTGGTGGCACACACCTGTAGTGTCAGAGAGTCGGGAGGTTGAGGCTGGGGCAGGAGGATCCTTTGAGCCTAGGAGGTAGAGGCTGCAGCGAGCCATGATCACACCACTGCACTCCAGCCTGGGCAAGAGTGAGACCCTGTCTCAAAAAAAAAAAGAAAAGAAAAGAAAGAAATTTTTAAAGGCAAACCATGATGATTGCACAACAATTGGATGTACTTAATGCCACTAAACTGTACACTTAAGAATGTTTAAAATGGGGCTGGGGGCCGTGGTTCACTCCGATAATTCCAGAACTTTGGGAGCTAAGGCAGGAGGATCACTTGAGGACAGGAATTCAAGACTAGCCTGGGCAACATAGGGAGAACTCATCTCTACAGAAAAGTTTTTAAAAAATTAGCTGGGCCCGATGGTGCGTGCCTGTAGTCCCAGCTACTCCAGAGGCTGAGGTGGGAGGATCCCTTGATCCCAGGAGGACGAGGCTGAAGTGGACTATGACCGTGCCACCGCCCTCAAGCCTGGGTGACAGAGTGAGACCTTGTCTCAAAAAAAAAAAAAAAAAAAGCACAAGCACAGATCGTATCGTATGGACTGCACCTTGCCTAAAAAAATTTCAATTGTGATAAATACACATAAAATATCTCTCTTAACCATTTTTTTTTTTTATATGCAGTCTCGCTCTTTCGCCCAGGCTGGAGTGCAGCGGCCCCATTTCAGCAATCTGCGGCAATGTGCTTGCTCCGTGAACCTGCGCACTGCCCTGCGAGGCCCCACAGCCCGGTGGCCTCCCCCGTGGTGGCCTTGTCTGGTGCCTGGTCCATGCCATGCGTGGCTGTGCAGCTGCAGCCCTCCTAGGCCTGGGACCCTCGCGGCTGGCGCTCCAGGTCGCTGCACCGAAGGGCACCTGCATTGGAAACTAGTGGCTTTGCCGGGCGCCTTCCCAAGGGACTGGTGCATTTGCCTTCCTTCTGCAGGGTCTGCACCCCACCCCCATCCCACCATCCACAGTGGGCAGGGGCGCTCGTTCTGAGGGGCTCGCCGCACTAGCTCACCACACAGTCCGTTCTCTTTCCCCCTCGGCGGGGCATCTGCCTGTGGCTTCGGAAGGTTTCCGTTTCCCCAGGCCTTACCGTGGCGCCAGGTTCCCAGCCTGCAGCCGGTGGGCCCCTCGCTTGGCCGGCTCGGGTCTTCACTTAGCTCAGAGAAATGCTCTCTTTCATGTAATGTTCTCACCTCCGTCTGTCCCTCCCTTTCCCTCTGCAGCTCCTGGTACTCAGAGGCTGTGTCCCGAGTCTCCTCTCCCCGTCCCCGGCTCCAGGCCCTCGTGTGAGTCTCGGCACCCGCTCCCTTCCCCCAACCCCCGCGCCGTTCTTCTGTTCTGCTGCCCGGTTGCTCTTTGGGACCTCAGGGATCTAGCTCCGGAAAGCCATTTTGTGCCGCACTTTGATCACGTCAAATGAGCATCTTTGACGATGAGCCAAGCGCCTGGCCACTCCTCTGCGCCTGCACGCTGTGGGTCCAGGCAGGGCCTATCTCTGGCTACCGAGCCCCTCAGGGCTGTTGTGGCCTCGGGGGCTCCTGGCCTCCATGATGAGTGTGTCCTTGCCAGCTGTCGGGGTCAGGCCCCCTTGGGCCACCCCAAACCTGTGATGGACAAGGAAGCGACCTGGCCATTCCATCAGAGCAAGGATGCCGGATGCTGCAGCCCCAGAGGCCTCTCGACAGCCTTTTCCAGCCCCTCCGTGCTTCTAGAATCCTCCTCACCATTTGGGCTTCCTTCTTCCGCAGAAGGCTTTCAAGCAGACGCTTCCTGGTCCCCAGATCGACAGCAGGATAACAATATTGCTGCAGAACAGGTGACCCCCACAGGCCACACCTTCTAGCCTAGAGCGAGCTTCCTAGGGCCCCTGCCTCTGCCCCTACACGTGCTCCACAGCGCCACTCTGCCCAGAGGAGAAGCCCCCGGTGCCGCCTAGCTGCCGCCCTGGTCCCCTGGCCCAGAGCCGCACTGACACCACTGTCCCCAGCAAGCCCTCCCGTGGCTCCATGCCTCCTGCCGGCTGCCCTCCTCTCAGAACGCCACCCCAAGACTCACATCCTAGCCCCTGAATCCACCAGGGCTGGGGAACCATGAGGAATGTCACAGGGCAGGTCCCATCCTCCCGGGCCTCAGTTTCCCCTTTTGTATAAAGGTCTTCAAGTCCTGGCATCCAGATGCTGTCCATCCGAGACCTCACAGGTCCCTGCTGACCTCAGGGGCTCCTTGGAAGACCCTGGGTCTGGGGGTCTGATGGGGAAGGGGTGAGCCCTGTGGGTCTTGGGACAGCTGGAGTTGGGCCTGTGGCCACCATGAGGCCCACACCACCCAGCTGCTGCTGCCTGGCCTGCAGGGGTTAATGGGTCTGGCCCCCCCAGGGACCAGGCTCCTTTGTGGAGCCTCCTCTCTGCACCCTGGGGCCTGGTTTCTTCGGAGACGCAGCTGTCAGAGCTGTCGCCAAGCAGAACCAGCAGACGCAGTCCCAGGGGCCGAACAGCAAGGACGCAGCAGGGGACCCTGGCAGCAGTGGGTGCGGGAGGTGCTGCTTCACCACCTGAGAGGGGCTCTGCACCCACAGCAGGCCCCTGCCATGACTTGGTCCCAGGCTGGGTCAGACAGCGCGGTCAGGACGCACCCCTCGGGCCAGGCCAGGCAGGGCCGACCCTTTGCTCCCTGCTCTGACGGTGCAGAATGAGAAGAGGCAGGAGTCTCCGGGGCATGTGCGCACATGGCCCCGCCCACGCCGTCTAGCCTGCAGGTTGGCCTTTGTGCACAGGTCACTCTGCCTGGAAAGTGGTGGCAGGGGTGGTGGCACGGCTCCCTGTAACCCTCTGCCTGAGTGAGCGCCTGCTGCCCAGGGCCGCCTCAGCCAGGCACCCCCCGGGGCTGCAGTGGCCACCTCAAAGTTCCCTCTGCATCCAGACCCTTCCCATCCGAGCCACAAAGCCAACAGCCATGTAGCCTCTGGGCCCAGCTGGGAGCAGCTCCAAAGTGTGGGGAACAGGCCCTGCCCCGCCAGTCGCCGGCACATGCCTCGGAGCCTGGTGTCCCCCAAGCTCACTGCCCACCAGGCTTGGGGAGGCCCAGGTGCTCATTTTGGGGACATGTGCCCCAGTGACAGAGGAGCTCTCCCTCTGTATGGCAGGTCACAGCCCCAGACCTGTCAACAGGAAGAGCAAAGAGTGGAGGCAGTGGGGAGACTGGCCGTTGGGGGCCCCCGCTTCATGGCAGTGCAAGACACAGCGGGCTCCAGGAACTTGGCAGCCAGGACGGGTAGCAGGGCACGCCTGTGTGTCCTGAGGGGCAAACAGGAGTGGCACAGGTCCCAAGCCCAGCGGCCAGAGTAGGGGTGACCACCGGGGTTCCTGCAGCCACAGCCAGAGGGGCCCCAGGGGCCTAGCACCAGCCTGGGGGTGCCAGGGAGCCTGCCTTTCTTCGCTAGATTTGCTGACCACACAGCGCCCTCTCTGGGGGCAGCCACTCACCCACCCACCCACCCACCCACAAGGGAACAAGGCTTTGGTGGCAGCAGGATGGACCCTGAGGCCTAACCCTCACTTGTGGACCCTGGCCTCTGCATAGCGGACTCTGTGAGGCAGGTGAGTGGCACTCAGGAGGTGTGGAGGTGGCCTAGGGTCTGAGGGCAGGGACTGCCAGGCTTACCCCAGGGGGTTGGGCCAGAACCTAGCCCGGCTTCATGACCACACCATGGGGGCAGTAGCACTGAGATGAAGAAGAGCCCCATCGTCTGCCCTGACATGGCGTGAGACAGCAAGCAGGAAGCCTGCTGGCCGGGCCTGGACCTCTTGACACTGCCATCCACATGGGCTGGCCATGGCCAGGCACCAGCCAGGCCTGAAAAGGTGCAAGGTCCCCTAAGTGGGGGGTTATGACTGAGTATGGGGTGGAGGGAGGCCATGAACTCCCAGTGGGCTCAGGACACTGGATGGCGAGCTCAGGGTGGGGGGCGGCAGGCCCGCCCACCATGGACACACGCAGGCAACTGCAGAGGCTCTCAGCTCAACCCATGCACACTTGGTGCATGAATGATCCCTGAGTGCCACCCCTCCACCTCCAACAGCCACACACCCTTACACGGGCATGGAGGCCAGACTACGTCCTGTGAGACTCCAAGCCAGATGCATCTCCCGGAGGTTACAGGGGCTTCCCCAGAATCTGGGGAACACATTGGCACAGCCAGAAAGGGCCAGGCCTGTGGGACACTTCCTGCAGAAGTAACTGGGCAACCCAGCCCCACCTATGACACCCGCTATACCTGCCGCACCTACTTACTGCTCACCCTATGCCTGATGGGCTCCTGTGGGCCTCAGGACAGCCCCTGCCAGGCCCTTGCCTGGGGCCCCCTCCTCAGCTGCTGATGCTATTTTCTATCTCTTGTCCTGGGGGGCAGCCTGGATCATTTCTTCTCACCTGTCTTCTAGTTCACAAATTCTCTCTTTAGCAGTGTCTAAGCGTGGCTGCCAAACTACTTCTGGAGTGTTTGGTTTGAAGGCTGTATTTTTTTTTCCATTTCTAGAAGTTCTACTTGGTGCTAGGTTGAAGTTTGGCCTATCAGCTTTTCCAAGCCATCTTTGAGCACAGCAAGCTTTTTACAATCCATGTCTGAGAATTCCAGTACACTCGGATGCCTCTGCACACATTTCTCATGGCTTTCGATCATGGTGCCAGGTTCCCGTGTACTTGGTTTGATTGTGGTCTACTCACTGACCTGGAAAACTCATTCATGAGGTGTACAGATGTCTAGGACAAAGGTGATTTGCATTTGGTTCTACCAGGAACCTAGGGAACTGCAAGTTAGGTACACACCGTTTAAAAGGAAACTCAAAGCCTGCCGTCTTTTTGGCCAACCTGGTGGTGGGAACATGGGCTTCAGGTCCACACGAGTCATGGTGTACACGACTCCTCAGTGGCTGCCCTTCTGCCTGAACTGCCTGGCCAACCCCTTGGGGCCACGGCAGGAGGTGGGTTTAACCCTTGCCCCCACCCTGAGGGCACAAGCCTTGGGCTTGTGAGCAACTGATGGCAAGCAGGGTCTCCTACCAGCTCCTCTGTGTGTCCCTGCAGACCTGGCTCAATACAATGGAGAAGCCGATGGGAGGACTCCAGCCGGAGTGAGGGAGACTGTCCCTCTAGTGCACACCATAGCTCATTTGCATGGCTTCCTGGAGTCCACAGCAGCAGTGCTCAACAACAGACATCCAGAGTAACTTCTGCAGCAACGAGCGGGTCTTAAGGAATTACCAGGTCAAAATTTTTATTCGTTCATTCATTTATTCATTTGTTCTGCCTGTGCAAGGCAGCCTCACTCCCAGGCTGTCAGCAGGACTTTTTTTTTCTCTTTTGTACAGATCTGGTTCTTGGCTTTGCTCCTTGACTCAGTTGACCTCCTACCCCTCACAGCAGGGTAAAGACTTGCACATCACTGACAGGCGGCTCGGAGTCAGCCTTGGAGTCGGCCTTCCATGCCCAGCCCTGAGGCCACCATGCCACGTTCCAGTTGGCTCAAGCAGTGAGGGGCAAAACCAGCTCCAGGGCCAGGTGGAAGGGCTGCTTCTCTCCTGCCTCCATCAAATGCTGACCTTGCCTCTGAATGACCAAGCAAAACAAAGGAATAAATGAATGAATAAAAATTTTGACCTGTTAATTCCTTAAGACCTTGATACGTATTCGTGGGTAAGCAATTTTATACTATTTTATAAAACTGTTTTCAGCTGTTTTAGTCAGGGTCGGGTGCCAGGCACCTAGACACCCCCCTCCCCATTCCCAGGAAGGTTTTGGCCAAACCTGCATCCACCACCTTGGCATGCCAACGCATTCGAGGCCCTGGCAGGCCCCGACTCAACAGAACCGTCTCGCCCTCTACAGCCACCACAGCCACGTGGGCCAATACCCAGCACGCGCCCCACTGCCCCAAGCCTCTCTGCCGGCGTGGCTCTCCCCCAACCTCACTCTCAATACAAAAGGGACAGCACCGAAAGAACAAGGGAGGCCGGAATGGTGGCATTATTCAATCAAATATACAGAGTGCTTCCTTTAATATGTACACATTTACAAAAATGCACTTTCACGAGGAGGGGCGGCCGGGGCCGGCAGGTGGGCAGCGCCTGGTGCCACGGCACGCGTGGACAGTTGCGAGGGGTCTGTGTGAAGGCACTTGTCACGAGCTTCAATACTGCCGCCGTCCCAGGATGGGAGAACTGCGCAGCAGGAAGGGCACTTCTGAAAGCACAGTGGAGAGATCGCTGGAGCGGGCGTTCTGGGCAGGAGGAAGCACAGACGGCAGGCAGGGTGGACTGGCCAGCAAGCGCGAGGTTGACCTGCCAGCCTTGGGCCACGCCGATGACCTCAGGCCCCACTAACAACCACAGGTGCGTCAACAGCCACGGGCCGTGCCGGCAGCCAGGGCCACATCAATAACCAGGGTCCCACCGACCACCGTAGGTCCCACCGACAGCCACAGGTCCCATTGACAGCCACGAGTCCCACCGACAGCCACAGGCCACACCATCAGCCACGGGTCCCACCAACAGCCATGGGCCACACCAACACAGCCATGGGTCTCACCGGCACTTTGGCCTGGAGCCACAGAGAAACCCGAGTGAGGAATAAAAGGAAGATTCTGTAAACAGTGCACAACCTCTGGTAACAAACGCTACGATTTGGTGACGACGCAGACACCCTTTGCTCTCTCCTTTCATACAGCGAGTGCCACGCACGGAAACTTTACAAAAATAGCAACTATCCGAGAATACTCCATTGTTTTCAGCCTGACAGTTACTGAATAATTTATACAAGGTTAAAGAAACGTAGAAAATAAACATTTGGTTTTTGTTTTTGGTGGTTTTTTTACACAAAATAAAGAAACTATGCACATGGCCTCGGCCTCCGGGTCCGGCAGACGGCATGGCTCCCACCGAGGGCCCTGGGTCCCGGCCCAGCTGGCAGCCGCCCCTACTCCTTGCCGGCGTAGCGGGCCTCATTGATGCTCCTGACCGCGCGGTTGTCCACTTTGGGGCCTGAGGCCCAGTGGGCCGGCCTCCCCGGCGAGCGGCCAGGATCTTTGGTGAATTTGTGTGAGAGGAACTTCTCCGCCTCCAGGGAGTCCTCCTCACCGCGGCCCAGATCCTCGTCCTCCTCATCCTCCCTGACGGCCGCGTGGCCGGCCGGCCCGGGCAGCGCCTCGTCCGCCCTGCGCGGCGGCGGCGTGAAGTTCTTGCACTGGTAGAGCACGTCCTTGTGGCCCCCCGGCCGCTCAATGGGGTTGCGGATGGGGTTGAGCGGGGCCCACTGGTTGTTGGCGCTCTCCTCCCGCGGCAGCCGGCTCCTCTCCCGCTCTTTCCTGCGCTTGCGTGTCCACCACACGCACAGGACCACGCACGCCAGCCACAGCACGCTGAAGGCACCACACAGCACAGGCACCAGCAGACCTGGGGACCGGGGAGAAGAGCCGGTGGGCAATGAGGCCTGGGCACCTGCGGGGCACTAGCCACACACCCAGGCCTGGGAGGGCCCTGCGGGCCAGGCGGCCGGGCCCCACCCTCCGGTTGCTGGCTCGTGGGGAGGGTCCCAGGACGGGGGCTGGGAAGGTCAGGTTGTGGGGCTGGGCGGCTGGGGCAGCAGGTGCCAGGGACTTCTGTGTTCCTGGTGGCTGGCAGGATCGGCAGGATCGGCCGGCTCTGTGCCCAATGCCTGAGTTGCCTGCCTGGTGCCTTCCCAGGGGCCCACCTCCCGCGCTTACCTGTGGAAGAGCCGCCCGTAACAACCGTCTCCACCTTGACCTCGGTGACAGCCAGGAGCAGTGAGCTGTTCCCCCGCTGGGTGATGGCGGCCACGATGGCGTGGGCCGCGCCCTGGATCAGGCTGCTGTCAGGCAGGTCCCTGGCAGGGCTGAAGGACTGCGGCAAAGAACGGCATTGTGGGGATGGCTCGAGGGCTCCAGGCTCCCAGCAGCCTGCCCCCAACACTGAGGCCCTGGCCACACTGGAGCAAGGTGGGCGCACGGGAGACGAGAGCCCGGGGTCCTGCAGTGGCGACTTCACCACCAGGCAGTGAGTGGGGAGTAGCGGGGGGAGGAGTGGAGGGGTGGAGGCTGTCCCCATCCGGGCACACAGGAGAGCCCAGGGTCCTGAGGTGTGGGGACCTCACCACCAGGCAGCGAGCAGTGGGGGGAAGGGGAGGGGTGGAGGATGTCCCCATCCGGGCGCACGGGACAGCCCAGGGTCCTGCGGTGGGGACCTCACCAGCAGGCAGTGAGGGGTGGGGGGAAGTGGAGGGGTGGAGGGTGTCCCCGTCCGGGCACACAGGAGAGCCCGGGGTCCTGCGGTGGGGACCTCGCCACCAGGCAGTGAGTTGGGGAGGTGTGTGGCCCCATTCGCTGACACCTGCTCCGTGATGGCCATCCCTTCTTGTCAGTTCCCAGCCCCCACCCCCACCTATGGGCCACACCCCAGGGGCACCACAAACCTAGTGCCTTCACGAGGCCACAGCAACCCGGGGCTGTGCCCCTGCCTCCACCACATCCCTGATGGCGCCCTGACCTGTGCTGGCACACTTCTTACATCTTCCCCTGCCCCTACTGCCCTTCCATCACCCAGCAGCACCCATCCATGTCCCCCACCCCCTCTGCGGCCTCAGGGCACCAAAACACTGCACGTCCTTCCTGTGCCTGGCCATGGCCTCCACCAGCCACACTGTGCCATGGCCACACCCACTGCTCTGCACACCCACCCACCATGTTCCAGAACATTCCCTCCCCTCTCCGGGCATGTCTCCACCCCAGTCTCACCCGACCCCCTTGGTATCCATTCACATCTGACACCCCCCAGGTCCAGGGCAGGTGCCAGTCCCAAAGCAGGCCTCCCAGGGCAGACTAAGCCCACGGACTCTCCTGCTGCCTGTGACGTAGGGACACAGAGACAAAAACAGAGCAGGGGACCGGGCGAGGATGCAGCTGCAGGGGAAGCGGGCTCCACACCACAGCCCTGCATCTCCCTCATGCTGGCCAGGCCCAGGGAGCAGTTCCACGGGTCTGCGGCATGGACAGCGAGGGGCCGCAGGGAGACAGGCCTGCCCGCAGTCCTTCCGCACCAGGACTAGCCTCGCCAGAGCCTCTGTCCAGCATAGCCAGGACCTGCATAGTACGGGACCCAGGGCCCACCCAGGTGCTGCTCCCCACTGGGCACTCACCACGGCCACCTCCACAGCACTGGCCCCCGAGGACGCCCGGTCGCAAAGCAACACCAGCAGGCGGTCCCGTGCCACAGCCCTTGTGGCTGGCAGGGAGCGGATCCCGGAGCAAATGGCGCCCACCGTGGTGCCCTGGGCAGAGACAGGCAGTGCGTGGGCAGGGCAGGGCCGTGAACCTGACACCTACATCCCTGGACTGGCGCTGTGGGTACACGTGGGACACACCCTACAGCCCGCCCAGGAGAGCACAGCAAGGATGCCAAGGGCCTGGGGGGGCAGCTTCCCACCCGGCTGTGCCCTATACCAGGAGGCAGGAGTGACGGTGCCCACCCGCCCATCCTCAGGGCGGACCCAGCTCCACCTGCAGGCCAGTGGGGGAAGGAGAGGCAGGGCGGGGTACAGTGGGTCTCCTCCAGTTCTGAGCCCCTCCTGGGAGACAGGGGCCCAGCTCCAAGCACACAGCAGGCAAAGGTGGCTCCTAGGCCAGGGCAAAACTGCCCACGGAGCTACAGCCCAAGAGCTGGGGCCAGGCAGCCATGGCGCCGTCAGTCCAGGCCCTCAGGGCAGCTGGACAAACAGGCACCCCCAGCTGGCTGCTCTCCCAGCCTCCTCTGCCACCTCCACCCAGCACCAGGCCCAATGCCCCTCTCATCTGACCCCACAGGGCCACTCTCTGTGACCAAGAGTGACTCTGCTCAGCCAACCAGGGCCTCCCTGCCCTGCGGGGCTAGGCTTTCGCCATGCCACGAGCAGATGCCGGCGTGTGGCCTCTGCAAGCTCAGATGCCACCAGGCCCCTCACCTGGGGCACGTGGTCACGGTTGAAATGCAAGGTGAGGCGGGCACAGTTATTGTCCAGGTGGCCGGAGCGTGGCAGGCAGGGGGTGCTCGGTGGCTCTTCTGCGCCGCACTCCCCCCAGGCCTCACAGGGTGGTCGCAGACACTGGCCTGGGGCCTTCTCCAGGCACCTTTGCCCCAGTGGGCACTGGGCGCTCAGGGCCTCGGGCTGGCCGGCCAGCAGACAAGGCTTCCATCCGCACCACACCTGGGCAGGCACGCACAGGAGGGTCAGGCGCAGGCGCACAGGAGGGTCAGATGCAGGCACACAGATGAGAACCCACAGGCAGGCACGGGCCCCATGCCAAGGAGGGACACCGCCCAAGTCTGTGAGCCCCAGGGCCCAGCCCACCCCCTACCCAGGGCTCCCAGGGAGGCAGGCCAAGCTCGACATCAGAAAGGGCAGGCGGAGCAAGGCAGGACCCAGACCAGGCCTGTTTTCCCAACTGCACATCGAAGCATGGGGCCTGGCTGAGCTCTCGCCTCCCTGGGTGTCCCTGAGGGCAGACGGCTCTCAGTCCATCCGGACCCCAGCACCCGCCTCCTGATCTCACAGAGTGGCCAGGGTCAGCGTGCACCAGCCTCGGGTAGGGCAGGGCGGCTCACGGGCTGCCCTCACCTTGCTGCAGTCACGGCGGCCATCCAGGCAGCGGCAGCTGTTGCAGTCTTCCACCCAGGAGCTTCCGTGTGGGAACGGAGTGCCCCGGGACCAGCAGGATCTCCCGAACCCGATCACTGTGGGGAGAAGGGGCTCGAGGGTCAGCAGTGGGCATCTGGCCCTCGGGGCTGGGTGTCACCCATGCCCCCCAACCCGCCCCAACCCAGGGCAATCACACGGGGCCTACCTTCCTGGCACCGGGGGCCGGCTCGGCCGGGTGGGCAGCTACAGCGATACCCGTTGATCTCATCCACACACGTGGCCCCGTAGGCACAGGGCGAGGACTGGCACTCGTCGATGTCTGCAGGGAGAGCCACCGCTGCTCAGTGCAGTGAGGCCAACGCCCACCGCAGGACCGGCATGGCCTAGGGCAGCGGGGAGCCAGTGGCACACAGGCGCAAGCCCCAGGACAATGAGGAGCAGCCCCTGCCCCCGAGCCCAAGCTGCTGCCTGCCTGAGGCCTTCCTGAGCCCAGCCTGACCCTGGCCCAACAGCACCCTCCTCCGTCTGCTTCTGCAGTGGGCCTGTCCCATCCTGGATTAGCCCCAGCTGCTGCGTCGGACCAGCCAAGGGGTGCTGGACAGACAGCTGGGCCAACACCCAGGGACAACAGCCCTGCGGCCACAGAGGAGCCCACGTCAGGCTGCACGCTCCAACCCCCACAGCTCCCTGGGCCCCGGACTGGTCCCCCAGGCTGGGGCTCCCCACTTAATCACTTGGCAGGGTATACAGCAGGAACCCCACAGGGCACAGACATGTGGGGAAACTGAGGCTCAGAAGAGAGGCAGGAAGTAGTTGTGGCCACACTGCCCTTCAAGGGACGTGGACGTTGATGTCCCCAGACTCCTGACACCGCGGCTGGGCTGAGGGGCTCCCAGGGCTGGGGCTGTCTGGCCACTCACTGATGCGGCAGTCAGGCCCCGCGAAGCCAGGTGCACACTCGCAGCGGAACCAGTTGACGCCGTCAACACAGATGCCACCATTGTAGCTGCAGAGCAGAGGGTGGGCATCAGGTGGCCCCCCGTGGTATGCCAAGTCCCACCCACCCCTGCTGTGGCCCCCAGGGTGCCACTCACCAAGGCAGAGGGTTGCAGTCGTTGGTATCTGGTTTGGGAGAAGAGAACGCAGGGGATCAGTACCCACCCCCCAAGCGTGCCAGGCACTGTCCAGGCTGGCTTGGCGTGATCAGGCTGTGGGGCTGGGGAGGGTCATCAAGGAGGGTGCCTTTTGCTGGGGGCAGGGGCAGCAGGGGGAGGGGCTGGCAGAAGGGACTGGGGGGCGAGTCGGGGGCAGGGATGTCATCTGGGTGGAGGAAAGCGGCCCCCGCCCACACCCCTCCCACACTCACTGTGAGTGCAAGTACGACCCTCCCAGCCGTCCCGGCAGATGCAGGAGAAGGAGGCCCCGCTGCCCACGCAGGTGCCACCATTCACACAGGGGTTGGGCAGGCAGCTGCTGTTCTTGGCTGTAAGGAGAGGAGGAGGAGGGAGCGTCTCACCTGGCCCTGGGCTGGCCCTGGGTCTCCATACCGCGCCCCCAACCCAGACAGGGCAGACAGACCCGGGGGCAGGGGGCAGGGGGCAGGTGGCAGGTGTGGCCCTCAAAAAAGACCCCTCGGCCCATCGCGCCCGAGGGAGCGGTGCCTGGGAGGGCATATGCCCGGCGGTCGCAGAGGCAGCGGGGGCTCCTCACCGACGGCGCAGGTGCTGCCCTTCCAGCCGGGGGGGCAGGCGCAGCGGAAGGTGTCGCCGCTGTCGTAGCAGGTGCCACCGTTGCTGCAGGTGTAGGCATCGCACTGGAACTCGCCTGTTGGCACATGGGCCGCTCAGCAGGCAGGCCCCAGACCGCCAGGGCCAGGGTCCTGGGGGCAGCCCCAGGCGGCCAGGGCCTGCGGACACTCACGTGAGTGGCAGGTCTTGCCCTTCCAGCCGTCGTCGCACGCACAGTAGAAGTCATTGACCAGGTCGTAGCAGCGGCCGCGGCTGTGGCAGGGATCGGGAAGGCAGTCGTTGGGATCTGGGGGCGAGGACGCCGGTCAGCGGGCGGGGGGTCACCGGCGCTCAGGGAGGGCTTCCCGGGGGAGGAAGCACTGGAGCTGGGCCAGGTGAGGACAGAGAGGGGCGGGGGAGGAGCGTCGGGCCGGGGGAGCTGGCCTCGGGCATGGGGGCAGCCTGGGACTCCACCCCATGGTGGCAGCACCCCCTGGCCAGGCCTTTCTGGGTACGGGGCCTGCCGCACCCAGACAGCGGTCCATCTCAGGGTGATAAGGGGCCCACAGGGGTGGAGGCACAGGCCGTGTGGGCGGGTGCTGGAACACTCACTGGTGTCGCAGAGCTCGCCCTCCCAGCCGCTGGGGCAGAAGCAGCGGAAGGCGTCCACCTCATCGATGCATGTGCCCCCATTGCGGCAGGGCTGGCCCAGGCAGTCGTCAATGTCTGCAGAGGCGAGCGGGGTGAGCCAGGGCCTCAGGCCAGCCCAGCCCCACCACCAGCCCGCCGTTCGTGGCCACTCACTCTCATGGCAGTAGGTGCCAGTAAAGCCACTGTCACAGATGCAGGAAAAGTTGCCCCCTGGCTGGCTGACGCAGCGTCCATGGGGGCCACACACGCCGGAGGCTGCTGTGCCAGGCATCCCAGGCCCCGCGTCTGACCCGCAGCCATCGATCACTATGGCAGGCAGTACAGTCAGGAGTCAGGCCCGCCCCTGCCCCACCACCTCCCCCACCACCCCATGCCGCACCCAGCACCTCTGCAGGCCCCGCCAGGGCACGGCTCGCGGGGCACGGAGCAGTTCTTGCCACCAAAGTCATCAGGGCAGGCGCAGTAATAGTCACCCTCCAGGTTATAGCAGCGAGCGCCGTTCCGGCAGGGGCTTGGCTCACAAAGGTCGACATCCACCTGCAGGGTGGGGGGTGCCTGTGAGAGCCTAGGCCCAGGCCCAGGCCGGGAACACAGGCCAGGCCTCTGTCCATACGAAGGTAGATCCCTGGGGACCCCCAGGCCCCTCCGCCCTGGGCCTAACAGTGCCAGCCAGAGCCCAAGACCCCTGCCCACCTGAGACTGCCCAGGCCTTAGCTGAACGCAGATACCTGTGGGCCCCCACCCCCACCTCCACTGCAGCCCAGCTTCCTCACTGTCCCTCGGGAGGAGTGTGGCCTTGGCCCCTGCTGCTGGCAGGAAGGACAGCTCCTGAGCCCCTCACACACTGCCTGGCCACCCTCAGAGCCAAGACTGTGGGTCTTTTCCAGGGCCAGCCACTGCCATGCTTGCAGGTCCTGAGGTCAGACCCCTGCCCTGGGCCCCAAGAAGCCCTCTGGACAGGAGGCCCATCCTCTGCACCAAGGCCAGGGCAGGATCGTGGGCGGCCGAGGGTGGTAGGGAGGTGGGTGGGGGGAGGCAGGGAAAAAGGGGAAGTAAGGGGAGGGGGTGGTAGGGAGGCAGGTAATGGGGAGGCAGGGTTGGGGGAGGTGGGGAAGGGGGTGGTAGGGAGGTGGGTGGGGGGAGGCAGGGTTGGGGGAGGTGGGGAAGGGGGTGGTAGGGAGGTGGGTGGGGGGAGGCAGGGTTGGGGGAGGTAGGGGAGGGGTGATAGTGAGGTGGGTGGGGGGAGGCAGGGTTGGGGGAGGTGGGGAAGGGGGAGGTGGGGAAGGGGGTGGTAGGGGTGGTGGGGAAGGGGGAAGGCAGGTTACTTTGGAGGCAGGGGGGAAGGGGAGGTTGGGGGAGGGGGTCCAGTACCAACAGATGGTCAGAGGGAGGCGAGAGCATCAGCCCTGAGAGAGATGCCCACTCCGACCCAGGACTCACCTATGACAGGTGTATACCTCTCCACCATCAGGCACCCACCCTACCCCATGTGCTCTGCCCACCAGAGCCCCCTGCCCTCCAGTCCCGAGGGAGTGCACAGATGGACAGATAGGCCTGGGCAGCCAGCAGCCCGGGGGCTCCTAGCCCAGGCCACCAGGAAACCCATCACAACAAGCAATGGCCACAGGGGGCCAAGCCTGGTGACCTGTGACAGCCCCGCCTGCCCACCTGGCACCCAGTGGAGAGCTGAGCCTGGGACGCCTTGGGGACAACTTCCCCTGCAGCACCCCTGGGTCACTCAGGCCCCATGGTCAGGGGACGAGGCCTGCCCTACAGCTCCCAGAGCAGCAGGTGGGGCAGGGTGACCAGGCAGACCTCACCTCACAGAGAGGCCCGGAGAAGCCCTGGGGGCAGTGGCAGTGGAAGCCGTCGGCCAGGTCCTCGCAGAGGCCGCCGCTGTGGCAGGGGCTGCTGGCACACTCGTCTCGTTCCAGCTCGCAATGCCGGCCTCCGAAGCCCCGTGGGCACACACACTGGTACCCGTTCACCAGGTCCTGGGCGGGCCAGCCAGGTGAGCGTCCCGCAGGCACCCTGACGGCCCCGCAGCACCCACGCCACACACCCTCCTGGCCCCGCCTCACCTTGCAGGTGCCCCCATGCTGACACTGCCCGCGACAGTCGTTGACGTCTGGGGGCAGAGGAGCAGGGTCAGAGGCGGGGTCCCATGTGCCTCGGCCCACCCGCCGGCGCCCACCCCCCATACTGACTGATATGGCAGTTGATGCCCTTCCAGCCCGGGATGCAATCACAGTAATAGCCGCCAATCAGGTTTTTGCAAGAAAAAGCGTTAAGGCATGGCTTCCCTTCACACTCATTGGCGTCTGTGAAAGAGACAAGGTGGGAGCCGTGGGGCTCGGGCCCTGCCTGCCCCCTGCAGCACGGGCACCTGGCACCCGCAGCCCAGCAGCCCCAGCAGCCCCAGCAGCCCCCGCAGCCCCAGCAGCCCCCGCAGCCCGCATGCGCGGCCCACGTTCCCATGCACTCGCTCGGAGCCCTTACCCAGCTGGCAGGTGGCCCCCACCCACTGCTCGGGGCAGATGCACTCAAAGCCGTCCACCTGGTCCACACAGGTGCCACCGGCCGCACACGGGTTCGAAGCACACTCATCGATGTCTGCAGAGGGTGGAGAAAGGTGGGGCCCTGGCAGTGTGAGCCGTGGGAATAAGGTCCCCATGGGCAGGTGGCGCTGCAAGCCTGGGTCTTCCTGCCATTTGTCCTCGCCAAGCCAGCCGCAGCCACACGTGTGGACTTGACCACTGCACCCCATCCCCAGCGAGTTGCCCCACTCCCAGACCCCCACTGATACTAGGCAGGAGTCCCCTACTCACGTGCAGACACTCACCAAGGGCACAGGTGGGCCCGCTCCAGCCCGATGGGCAGTGGCATTCGAAGCCGGACGGCACCTCATGGCAAGAGCCCCCGTTGGCACACGGGTTGGAGGTGCAGGCGTGCTCAGCTGTAGAACCGCGGGGAGGGGGCAGAGCTGGCAGCCAGGCCCCCAGCTTTCCACAAGCACTCCTCCCCAAGCCCACAGGTTCCCAAGCTGGGGGTCAGGGGCCCACCACACAGGACGCCAGAGGGATGGGGCCTGACCGGCTCCCCAGGGAACCAGTCCCTGCCTGGCCAGAATTTGGGTGGCCAGCCCCCCACGTACCCTTCTCACAGTTCCTGCCCGAGTAGCCGTCAGGGCAGGTGCAGCGGTACTGGTCAGGCTCGGCGTTGATGCACGTGCCTCCGTTGGTGCAGGGGTGGTGGCTGCCACAGTAGTTCAGGTCTGGGGGCAGGGGTGGGATGCTCAGGGGAAAAGCCGGCCCCCCGCTCCCCCACAACCCACACTTCGATGGCAGAGCATTAGGCCTGCCGCCCCCTACCACTACCTTTGTCACAGAGCAGGCCGCCCCAGTTGGTCTCACAGTTGCACTGCCAGGGCTCCACACAACTGCCATGCACGCAGCCGGGGTAGGGGACACACTCATCGCAGAACCTCCCTTGCCAGCCGTAGCTGCACCTGGGGGAAGGAGGAGGGGCGCAAGACCCAGTGAGCTGTGGTGCCTGAAAGGGTGGCAGGGGAGCCAGGCACAGTCACCCACGCCACACCCAGGGCCGGCGGGCGGCCTCAGGCCTTTGAACTGGAGCAGCCCCAGCCAGGCAGGGGTTGCAGCCCTGCCGGCCAGCCCCACTGTCACGGGCATTCCCGGCCGCTGGCTGCCGACGGTCAGCCCCAGCTGTCCCGTCACTCCTCCCTGAGCTATTTTGGGATTCACCCGTGAGCTGGGCCCCGAGAGCAGGCACCAGGAAAGGAAGGCCCTGCCGGGACCCCGGGGATGAGAATGCCGGCTCGGACTCACAAGGTGCTGCCAGGGCCGGGAGGCACCAGGGGCTGGGTAGGCCAGCGGGCAGCAGGGGAGCACTCCTGGCTCTGCCTCGGCCATGTGGCCCTGGGCACAGCACGTGCCCTCGCCCCCACCTCAAAGGCAGTCATTTCGCTCGCTCCCAGTAAAGTCCCACAAGGTACCCATCTCACAGATGGGGCTACTGAGGCCCACAGGCTGGCCTGGGCCAGCCCTGCCCAGGGTAGTTCCTGATTCTGCAGGAGCTCCAGCTGCACCCCCAGCTGCACCCCCCAGGACACAACCACCAGGACTCGCCCTGCCCCAGGCTATCGGCCAACGTCCTGTCTTGGGAGTCCCCCAGGAGAGGGCAGGTGGCCAGGGTAGAACATGGCCTGACTTGAGGGTGCCTCCGTCAGGGGAGAGAGCCTGCAACGACCCCAAGGCTCAGCAGGCTGCCATCCAGGCCCTGCCGGGACTCCCGGGGGGCCCTTCCTAGAACTCTCCGGTCCTGCAGGACGGGAATGTCATCCAGGCCACGTCACTTCCACACCGGCACCCGCCACACTTTATTTTTGTAAAAGGAAAGAACCACGGCCCTT
Organism: Homo sapiens; assembly: GCF_000001405.40. Classification (NCBI taxonomy): domain Eukaryota; kingdom Metazoa; phylum Chordata; class Mammalia; order Primates; family Hominidae; genus Homo; species Homo sapiens. The sequence continues at coordinate 105,153,216 of NC_000014.9, forward strand.
CCTGAGCCGCCCTCAAGCCACACAGCCAGCACCGAAGGCCTATCAGCCCAGTTCAGCTGCCACAAATGGGGAAACTGAGGCCGGGAAGAACGTGTCTCCAGTATCCAGCCCAGCATGCACAGTGGTCCGCGTGGGTGGCCTCACATCCCGCCTAGAATCCCTCCTCCACAGACACAGAGACCCAGGCTCAGGGCGGGGCTGTGACACACCTTGGGTCATCGGCCAGAGAGCGGCCACAGCCGGGCTCAGAGCCCAGACCTCGTGGGTCCCAAGGGCGTGCTCTCGACCCTGGGCAGGGCAGCCCACACCAGGCCCCCACCTCCTGGTTTCCCCAGCCAGCAGCCCCAGGGCCCTGGAGAGGCGGCGGCAGGAAGGCATGGCCATCTCCGCAGCATCCGGTGGGGGGGCGTCCTGCACTGGAACCTGAGCCGAGGCTGTCAGCAACAGCTGGGCCTCCCCGACAGGGCCAGCAAGAGGGGCAGGCGGAGCTCACCTACTGCCCCCACCCACCAGGCCCCCCAGACTCCGGCTCATCTTCCTGCGGGTAAAGGGCAGGGATGGCCAACTTCTCTGCTGCCTTCCTCCAGCCTTGGTGTGACATTCAAGCTGCCAGCCAGCAGCCATCCAGGGAGGGTGGCACTGCCATCCAGGTTGTGTGATGCACACTGGGCCAGGCGAGGGTGAGTGGGGCCGACTCCCGTAGATCTACATCTACATCTGCCCAGACCAGGTCCACCTTGTTGCACTTTCTGAGCTGACTTGGGACTCGCTCAACCTGCCGGGAATCCCTGTGTGTGCAAGTGACCGGGTGGGCGGCCCCAGCCCTGCTTGCCTCCCCGCTCTGGGACTGGCCGGGAAAGCTCCTCACTGTACCCTCCAGGCCACTCAACCGTGGGGCCTGTGGAAGGGTCACCCACCTCCCCACCTTGGCTCCCAACTCAGCTGGTTCCCAAACTCCCCGACTCCTCTCCAAAACGCCACGCTGTGTGACCCTGGGGAAATCAGTAGGCTCTCTGTGCCCCAGTGTCCTCGTCCCATGGAGGCAAACCCACTCCACAGAGGGAGGTCCTGGGACCCCTGCAATCCAAGGCTGGCTGGAGGGCGGTGCTCACCTCCACCTGCTGTCTCTCCACCCGCTCGCGCCCCTCTCTCGGGCTCCCCAGCTTGCTCACGCACAGTGAGCGCCACGGCTCGAAGCCCGTGCCCACCCCAGACCCTGGGCCCCAGCCCCTCTGGTTGCCCTGCTGACTTCTCTGCTCCACTCTAGGGCAAAGCTGCCAGCCCCCCTGGCTGGATCCCCCACACTCTGGTCTGGGTCCAGAGGCCTCCACCATCTGGACTTGGCTGTAAGACCCCGGACACTCCCTTGTGGAGGCCCTTGCTGACTCCTCATCCATCCGCCCTGACCTGTGGCAGCCGGGACTTGCTCCTTGGCCTCCCTCCTCTCTGCCTTCCCCACTTTCCCGTCACCGCCTGAATGCCACCCCCCACAGGCCCCGCGTGGCGCAGGCCAGGCCTCTCCCACGAGCTTTCTGGGTGTCTCCAGGGACAGGGCAGGCATCGCCTCTCCACATCCAGCTAACCCCGGCCCCGCCTGCTCCTCTGTGGCATTCCTCCTGCCACCATGGCTCTGCTACTCAGCAGCTTGGGGTTCTCCCTGACTCCACACCCTTCCTGCTTGATCAAATCCATCCACAAACCCCTGGGCTCCACCCCAGGATGTCTGCAGGACCCGTGCGCCTCTCCCCCTTCCACTGACCCCCTCCCCATCCCGCTGGCCCCTCCCCCACCACCCCCACATGCCCCACAGCGGCCTCCCCCTCACAGCCTCCCGTCTGGTGCTTCCCCACTCAACAGCTACCACAGCCCTTCCACCCACCTTGCCCAGCTACAAACCTGCCAGCAGCCCCTTCCTCTGTCCCTGGTCCTGCAGGCCTCAGCTCCCACCACTGGTCTGCTCTGCCGCCCCTCGCCTGCTGGTGTCACTTGCCGGCCGCTCGCCGCCCACCCCCTCCCCATGGGCAGGGTTACCGTGTCCTCTGCCCATGCCCCATCTCTGGGTGGCTTGCAGCCTCCGGGTCTCTGCCCCTCGGTGACGTGACTGTCCAGCCAGCCTCCCCAGTCTCTCCTCACTGTCCTCACATGGCTGCCGCCATCAGACACATCCCATGCTCAGACACGCACCTACTGCACTAAGGAGCCTCCCGAGCTCAGGGCCCGGCTCTCACAGCTGTGTGCCCAACCTCCAGCCAGCTCCGGGCGACTCCTGACAGCAAGGCTGTGTGTGCCAGTGAGGACGTGAGGGCAAAGGTTGGGAGGGCAAAGACGGGCCGGCGGCACACTCACCTGCACTCCCCAGGCACGGTGCATCCCCCGTGGAGCAAATTACACCCTTGTTTACACACAGCTGCGAACAGAGAGGAGCGAGAGGCACAGCTGCAGCCAGCCTGGCCGCAAGGCCTGTGCCCGGGGCCCTGCCCGAGGCCCTCCCTGCCCTCCACGCAGCCCAGCGGCCCCCTCACCTTCCTTGCACTCCTTGCCCATCCAGCCGTCCATGCAGGCCTTGTTGCCGTACTGGTCGCAGGTGTAGTGGCCGAAAAAGTCGTTGCGGGGCCGGCAGAACTTGTTGCAAGTGGCGCTGTAGTAGTTCTCGTCGCAGCGCACGCGGATCTGCAGCTCCAGGTGCGCCACGTGGCCGCTGAAGTGCAGGCTCTTCCAGCGGTCCTCCGGGTTGATCATGCCGGCATGCGACACTCGCTCGATCAGCAGCTCCTCTTGGGGAGGCGGCAGAGTCAGCACAGGCCAGAGAAACCAGCCCGGCCAGGGGTCCTCCAGGAACAACGGGGACGGGGCAGAAGCCTGCGGCTGCTGCAAGGCCGGGGCACAGCAGGCAGCAGCACACGGAGGGCAGGGCCCCCGGCCAGGCTGCTACAGAAAGCTCAGGGCCCCGAGAGGCCTCTCCCTCCCGCCACCAAGCCTGCGCCCCGCTCCCACCCTAAACGCAGAGGGTCGGGGGGCCCGGCTAGGGGCTAGGGGCCCTGCAGGGAGGGCTGCTGAGACCACAGGCTCCACAGAGAAGGCACGGCTGCTGCCAGGGCGTGAGTCTCACGTCCCACACCTGTGCCCACCCACCTGCAGCCCTGCTCCAACACCTGCACCCACCTGCGCCGTGTCCAGCCCTCGACAGCACGGACATGGTGCTCAGTTGCCCTCCCCTCTCCTGCGCTGTGACTTGCTCCCAGAAGTGCCAAACACCACTACCGTCCCCACCTTAAGACAAGCCTCCCCTCAGGCCCCCAAGACAGGCATAGGTCCCGTGACCCGCTGTCTAAGCCTCACTTTAAGTAAGCCACCAGGAGACCAGGGGCCAGGGGCACCACAGCTGCTGGCGCTGGTATGCAAAGTCCGTGATGCCGGTCCCTGCGCTTAGGCACAGGCTCGACGTTTTGCACAATAAAAGGTGAACGGGTCCTCCAGACCCCACCTCTCCCGCCTCGGGCCAAGGCCTGGGAGGACACTGTGCTGGCCCACTCCCCAAGGGGCGTCCCGGCCGCCCCAGCCTCTCCAGGCTCACGTTGTCAAGAGCCCTGACGACCTTGCTTGGGACTCAGCCCACCTGTCTCTCTGCCACCCCCTCAGGAAACACCCCTGCCCTGAGCCGCTGGGGTCCCCACAACTGCTGCTCCCCACCTGGGCACCCCCACCGCCGTCCCTGCCCTGAAAACAGCCCCTCCACTCTGCTGGCAGCCAGGATGCCCTGGCCCCGCTCTCCCTCCTCCAACCCATTGGCCAACCCCATGCCTCCACTTCTGAGAGCCCCTCTCACCCCCAGACTGCCCCTGGTCCAAGTCACCCTGACACGCCCAGATTCACGTGGCAGCTCCTCCTCGGTCTGTGTCCTGGCCCCACAGCCCACCCTCCATAAGGCAGCCACAGCTTGCCAGGCGGAGCCCGTGTCCTCTCAGTGGCTTGCCAGCCTCCATGATCTGAGCCCAGCCCCGGCTGCTCCCCCTGCACAGCCAGCCCGCTCCTGCCCAGACCTTCACACGAGCTGCTCCCTTGGCCTGTGGGTGCTTCTGCATTCACCCATGGAAGTCATCCCGTTACCCCTGCAGGGCCCTGCAGAGCCCCTGCCTCAGGGAGAGGGCCACCAAGGCTCCATGCTCCAGTACAGACAAGCAGAGGGGGCCACAAAGCCAGAGACACACTCAAGGGTGTCCCCTCCACTAAGTCACTGCCATGGGCCCCAAAAGAGCACACCCAAGAGGAGAACAACATAGGCAAAGCCAGGACTGGGGAAGAGAGTGCATGCACAGCTCTGCAAGTCCCAAACGTGGCAGAGCTTCCTGGCAGCCAAAGCAAAAAGGGAAACAGCACACATGATCCTCAGGGTAAAGCAAGGCTTTGTCCCAAGCAGACAGAGGAGCTGGGCCCTGCCACAGGCACGCTGAAGCTGAGAGGAGCTGCCACCTGGCCCAGGGCTCACTCACCATTCGGGGTGGTATCGTTGTCCCAGTCCCAGGCCTCCACGATGAGGGTAAAGGAGCGCTGCAGACATGGGGAGGCGGGTCAGGTACCTGAGGCCACACCTGCCTGCCTCGTTCAGGGTGGGACAAGGCCCAGGGCTCAGACGCTGCCCCTGGGTCTGCCAGGCTCTGGCCCTTCCTCCCCAGCCAGGGACCCACCACCCTCCTCATCCTCAGGCCACATCCTCTGCAGACCCAAAAATGACCCAGCTCAAGGGAGGGAGACTGCCCCTCCAGGCCACGCGGGCTCAGGGGCCTGGGCTCCCTACCGTTGGGGTGCCAGAGGCCCAGCCTGCCCTGAGCTGGCTCAAGTCAGCACGGAGCACAGGAAGAGCGACCGGGGGGAGAGGTGGGCAAAGGGCAGCCTGGCTGGAGTGGCCACAGACAGGGGCCCCATGGGCAGCCGGGACCCGAGCGTTTCCTGTGGAACGCCCCTTGGTGCCTCACTGGGGGTGACCACGGGGGAGAACGTGGGGCCCCATCACCACGCTGGCGGCCTCCACCAAGTGCACGGGGTGGCCAAGTACAGGGCGCCCAGCCAGAGGCCCCAACAGGCCGGAGCTCAGGTCCTGCAGGCATACAGCACACAGGCAAACCCACACCTACCTCCACCCTCACACAGAACAGGTGGCAGGAGGGGCCCTTGCGGTACAGTTGGGGAAACTGAGGCCAAGAGGTCCTGGGACTGCCCAGCACAGCCTCAGACCATGGCCACTATGCCCCCTCTGCCCCCGGGCCACCTGGCCCTTGTACCCCAGCCATGGCGACAGGCGATGCTGTCAGCCAAGCAAAGAGACCACAGGGCTGGCCCCCTGCTCCGCCTAGTGCAGCCCACGGAGACCGTCACTCACAGACATGCTCAGACAGGTGGGACCCCCGGGACATGCCCTGTACTACCCAGCACTGGGTACCCACATTCCACAGCCTCTCAGCCCTCACTGCCCAGGAACCCCCCAGTCTACCCCTGGTGTGCTCTTGACCCCTGAGCCCAGCCCTGGCTCCTTCCAGGTGGGGCCCAGAGGAGGGGGCTGGGGCTGAGTCACCTCAGGGCCTGCTGGCTTCCCACCCCGGGGGGATGCTGCGTTGGGCAGTGTCCAGGCAGGCCAGGCTCACTCCATCCCTCAGCACACCCCATCCAACCAGCCCCAAGGCCTGGCTAAGCTGGGGAAAACCACACTTCCCCAGCAAGGCCCAACCCCACGCCTGCCAGCCCTTCCCTGGTCCTCACCCGCCGCCCACCCCACGCACGTCCCAGTGCCTCGGCCTCATCCAGCTAAGGACAGGCCTGGCCTCCCAAGATGTCTCAGAAGACTGCACTCCCACGTCCAGCCCCTCCCCTAACCAACGTGCTACCAGCCACACCCAGCCCAGCCTCCAGGACCCCCACCCAGTCCCCCGCCCCACACCTCCGACTGTCCCTCAAATACAGACAACTAGGGCCCAACATGACTGCTGACCCTGGGCCTCACTCACAGCTGGGCAACCCCGGCCCCGCCCCCGAGCCCCTGCCTGCAGAACACCCGGGGACGGCCCGAGGAGGCTCACCCAGGTAGGAGCACAGGATGGAAGTGGGGGGCCATCCCCAACCCGCTCCTAGAACCCTCCCTAGCCACGTCGAGCTGACAACAGACCCTCAATCCCACCTCTTAAGCTCCCCTTAAACCCGTTTTCCCACATCCGCCATGGCCCCGCCAGGCCACGGGGCCCAGTCCCCGCCCATCTCCAGGGCTCCCTGAGGTCACCAGGGCCCGCAAACCTCTGCCTACAGGCGCCAGACAATCCCCAGAGTTCCATCCACATGCCTCCCAAGGCTCCGTCCACACCCCCCGCCGAGCTCTGTTTACACCCCCCAGAGCTCCATCCACACCCCCAAAGAACTCAATCCACATCCCCCAACGGGGTTCCATCCACACCCCCCAACAGGCTCCATCACCTCCCCAGGGCTCCATCCACACCCCGCAACATGCTCCATCCACACCCCCCCAGAGCTCCATCCACACCCCCCCAGGGCTCCATCCACACCCCCCCAGAGTTCCATCCACACACCCCAACATGCTCCGTCCACACCCCCCCCCAGAGCTCTGTCCACACCCCCCAACATGCTCCATCCACACCCCCCAGGGCTCCATCCATACCCCCCAGAGCTCCATCCACACCCCCCGAGTTCCATCCACACCCCCCAACATGCTCCATCCACACACCCCAACATGCTCCATCCACACCCCCCAACAGGGCTCCGTCCACACCCCCCCCAGAGCTCTGTCCACCCCCCCCAACATGCTCCATCCACACCCCCCCAGGGCTCCATCCATACCCCCCCAGAGCTCCATCCACACCCCCCAACATGCTCCATCCATACCCCCCCAGGGCTCCATCCACACCCCCCAGGACTCTGTCCACACCACCCCCAGGACTGTGTCCACACCCCCCAAGGGCTCTGTCCACAAACCACCCCCGTCAGCTCCATCCACACCCCCCAGGGCTCCATCCACACCCCCACCAGGACTCTGTCCACGCCCTCTCAGCTCAGAGCACCCTTGGGGTTCCCAAGGCTCCTGCCCACCCCCACCCACCCACCCCAGCCTATCAACCCATCTGCCTGGAGCACCACCCTCGCAGCTGCACCTGGCCAAGCCCTTCCCCACCCCCGGTAACACCTGGAGCACCCAGCCGCTTCCCAGGCGTCTGGCATTTGGCTCCTTCCTTCGTTCCTTCCTTCCTTCGTTCACATCAAGTGTACAGCAGGCATGCCTCTGCCACCAAGGACGGCAACCTATAGCCAGCGGGGCTCGGGGAAAGCAACAGGGGGCAGGGGCTGTTGTTCCAATAAGGCCAGGCCAACGGGTCACAGTGGCTCACGCCTGTAATCCCAACACTTTAAGAGGCTGAGGCAGGCAGATCACCTGAGGTCAGGAGTTCGAGACTAGTCTGGTCAACACGGTTAATCCTCATCTCTACTAAAAATATAAAAATTAGCCAGCCATGGTGGCAGGTGTCTGTAGTCCCAGCTACTCTGGAGGCTGAGGCAGGAGAATCACCTGAACCCAGGAGGCCGAGGTTGCAGCGAGCCGAGATCGCACCATTGCACTCCAGCCTGGGCAACGAGGGCAAAACTCCATCTCAAAAAAAAAAAAAAAAGGCCAGGCCAGGCTTTGAACAGGTGGCATTGAGATTGAGGCTGCAGGGCATGAGGAAGTGAAGGAGCTGCATGGCAGAGCCCACAAGAAGGCCCAGGGGCTGAGAACGCATAGCCCACGGGGACAGTGGGGTCATACCACAGATCCAGACCCCACCACGGACTTCCTTCCTGAGGCTAAGCGAAGTGGGTGACTGTTGCGGGTCTGAGTGAGGTCTGTTCGGGTGTTGGGGGTCCGAGTGAGGTCTGTTGGGGGTCTGAGTGAGGTCTGTTGGGGGTCTGAGTGAGGTCTGTTGTTGGGGGTCTGAGTGAGGTCTGTTGTTGGGGGTCTGAGTGAGGTCTGTTGTTGGGGGTCTGAGTGAGGACTGGGACCCACCAGGCTTTAACAGTCACTGTAGCCGCTGGACAGGAACCAGCAGGACCAGGAAGCAGCAATAGTGAGGTCAGAGGATGGGGCCAGCATGGGTCTGAGAGCAGCTCTGGCCACGGGGCAGGCAGAGAAAAGCCAGGCCACCCGGTCTCCCGGCACAGCCACACCTGGGCTTCAGGGCCAGCAGGGAGTTCCTCTCGACTCCCAGGAAACCTCATGCCAGCCACTCAGGTAAGATTACTGCCACCTTCGCCTGAGCCCAGGGCTCCGGTTACCTGCTCCCGCAGGGACGTGTGCCTGCCCGCCCGCCGAGAGGGCCTCACCGCCCGCCAGCTGGGGTCCCTACACCTGGATGGCAGGAAGTCATCCAGAGTGAACCTGAGCTGGCTGACGGGGCGGTACCTGCCTCACCCCACCTGCCAGCTCTCCCAGCTCCCCTTCTTCCCTAGGGGCCAGCCTCCAGGACTTATTTGCCTCTTCTGTGAATAACAACCTCTCACCCCCGTCCTTCCAGGACTCAGTTGCCTCCTCTGCGAATAGCAACCTCTCATCCCTGTCCTTCCAGGACTCAGTTGCCTCCTCTGCGAATAGCAACCTCTCACCCCTGTCCTTCCAGGACTCAGTTGCCTCCTCTGCGAATAGCAACCTCTCACCCCTGTCCTTCCTGCCTGGCGGGCCACGATCTGGGACAGGGTTTTGTCAACACCAAACCCCTAGAACACAGGAGGGACTATAGGGCCTGGATTGGGCGGGGGTTGGCGGGCATGTTGCCCTTCTAGGAACGGGGCTGGGACATGTGGGGATGTGGGCCTGGCGCTGGCAGGGGCAATAGGCGATGTGTGGGCTGGGGGTCTGGGGACAGGTGAGAGACCCATCACCTGCCCAGGTTCCCCGGCAAGCAGGGAGAGGAACCCAGGCCCTCCCTCAAGGCCAGCCTAGCAGGGCTATGCCCCTGCCCAGTCTCTGGAGGCCAAGGGGGAAGGGCTTCACCCCTGCAGGCCCAGCTAAGCCTCTCCCTACAAGCCCGGCCTGACCCACCCCCACCGCACAAGCAGACCCGCAGCCCAACTTCATCTCCCACCATCTGATTGCCTCCTCCCCAGCCCGAACCCTCAAGGCTAAGTCTAAACCCCTCCTCCTGTCCCCAGGCAGGGGCAACAGCAGTGGCACAAGCCAGAGGACAGGCAGACAAGACAATAGATGTTCCACCCCAGGCCAGGGCACCTCAAAGCCCAGGGTACCCCAGGTCCAGGGCACCCCAAAGCCCAGAGTATCCCACAGCCCAGGGCACTGCATGGCCCAGCATACTCCAAGACCCAGGGCACCCCAGTTCCAGGGCACCCCAAAGCCCAGGGTACCCCAGAGCCCCAAAGCACTGCATGGCCCAGCACACCCCAAGGTCCAGGGCACCTTAAAGCCCAGGACACCTCAGGTCCAAGGCACCCAAAGTACAGAGTACCCTCCTGCCCAGGGCACCCTAGATCCAGTACACCCCACAGCCTTGTGCACCCCATGGCCCAGTGTACCCACAGTCCAGGGCACCCCAAAGCTCAGGGCACTCCAGGTCCAGGGCACCCCCAGCCCAGGGCACTGCATGGCCCAGCACACCTCATGGCCCAGGGTACTCCAAATGCCAAGCACCCTAAGTCCACGGCACCCCACTGCCCACTGTACCCCAATCTACAGCATCCCAAAACTCAGGCAACCCAAGTCTAGGGCCCTGCACGGTCAAGGCCAACACAGCCTCCCTGCTGCCCCGCTAACGGCCCCCCCAGGTCCAGGGCCCTGCACGGTCCAGGCCAACACAACACAGCCTCCTAGACCTGCTGCCCCACCAACGCCCCGACTTGGTTTCTTCTCCTCGGCCTCCCGCATCAGCCTCCCGCCCCCTACGGAGCACAGCGCTTGGTGCAGGCGCCAGGAGCTCCAAGCACAGATACATTTCCTGAAACCTGAGCTTCTGAGAGGCCCAGGCCTCTGCCACCATTGTCACCCGAGGCAGGGAAGAAGGGGTGGGGGCAAACACCATCCCCAGGGCTCTGGGCCCCAGGGCCGCAGCAGGAGGAGCAGACCAAAGCCCATCCCACGCAGGAACACACACACCCATGCTCCACACCAGAGACCAGCCAGGGCCTTGCCTGGGTGTACCCCCACTCCCCAGCACACCCCCTCTAGGTCCCAGGTCCCCCACCGTGAAGACGGTGGCAGCCAGGGCCGGCTAGCACCTGCCACAAAGCCCAGGGTACAACTGATGCCAGCCACACCCTGCTCAGGCCTGGGATGTGGGGATAGGAATCCCGCTCAGGCCTGTGGTCTGGGGACAGGGACTCCGCTCAGGCCTGTGGTCTGGGGACAGGGCCTCCGCTCAGGCCTGTGGTCTTGAGGACAGGGACTCCGCTCAGGCCTGTGGTCTGGGGACAGTGACCTCACTCAGATCTGGGGTCTGGGGACAGGGACCCTGCTTAGGCCTCAGGTCTGCAGACAGGGACCCTGCTCAGTCCTGGGACCTGGGGACAGGGACCCAGCTCAGGCCTGGGGCCTGAGGATAGGGGCCCCACTCAGGCCTGGGGTCTAGGGACAGGGACTCCAATCAGGCCTAGGGTCTGGGGACAGGGACCCCGCTCAGGCCTGGGGTCTGGGGATAGCGACTGTGGCTGGGGCCTGGGATTGCAGATCCTTGTCTTCCTGCCCCCACTCCACCACCAGCAGCAGCTCAGGCCGAAGCCTGGCTCCACAAGCACCCCTTCACTGGCCTAGCTTGCTCCCCTCATAAAGACACCATGGAGCAGCCCAGGAGGGCCCCTGAGAGCAGCAGTCCCCTCCCACCCAGGCCTGCCGCCTGCTCCCCAACCCGCCCCTCCACCTCCCAGCCTTCCTATCGTGCTGCGGCTTTGACCCTTCAGCCCACCCTCAGGGACCAGCGACAAACCCCCAGCCCACTCTCCAATCCTCCCTGGCCAAGGGCAGTCCTCCCTGGCTCCAATGGTCCCCGTGTTGCCTGGGCACTGAATGCCCCACCCTGCCCCCATACCAAAGCTTTGAACCAGACCCCCAATGTACAAGGCGGACATGCCCTGAGTTCTCCCCAGGGCTCTGGGCCCCAGGGCCATGGCAGGAGGAACAGACCGATGCCCACCCAACACAGGAACCCAGATGCCCACATTCCATACCAGACCAGCCAGCTCTCCTGGTCCCTACTGGGAAGGTGTGGGAAGGAGGGGGGTGGTCCCCAGTGTGCAGACAGGATCCCCTGAAGGTAGGGTGGGGAGGCCAGGGCCCTGTCATCCCCAGCCCAAGCTCAGAAAAAACAGGAAGCAGAGTGGTGCTGAACCTCACACCTGCCACGAGCAGCTTAGGTAGCTCCAGGCACAGACCTCAGCCTGGCCCACCTTGAGCCCTAGGGCGGCTGGATGCAGGGGGTGGGCTCTGTAAAAACCTTCCTCCCTAGGGGGCAAAGGAGAGGGTAGGGAAGGCTGGGAAGGGGAGGAACTGGACAGGTCTGGGAGCCGGGCTGGGGGCACAAGCAGAGCCCGAGCTGGGAGTCCAGCAGCCCCATCTGACTTCGTGAGACCTGCAATGAAAAAGCGGCAGTGTGCCCCTTTCACAGGTGAGAAAAGCTCAGCCCTTCTGATGGCCCAGGACCTCAGGCCTCCTGAGCTGATAGACGCAGGGTCAGCCCCAGGCCCACCTCCTGTATCTACAGGGCCTTCACCCATCCCGTTCTCCTCATAAGCCCAGATCTGTCACGGGGACCATGCTCCAGCCACACCACCCCGCACAGCTGCCCTGGAGCCCAGCACACACATGCCAAGACAGAACAAGAAAGACCCTCGCTGGCAGGCAGGCTCCTGGGCTCCTGGCTCCAGAGATGGGCCAGCCAGGCAGGCACGACTTCCAGCTGCACCTCTGAGGGTGGGGCCCTGGCTGCCCAGGTCACGGCCAACTGCCACCACCCTGCTCCTCCCTCAGCCAGCAGGTGTCCCCTGGGCCTGCCACCTACCAGGCCCCAGAGCAAAGCTCCCTGCTGCCCCCAGCATGACACTACTCCTCCCCAAACCTCCATCACCACCTGCCATGCCTACAGAGCACCCGGGGTGCGTGCACACACGCAGCTGGGAGAATGTGGCCTCACCCTGCCAGCTACAAGCCAGGCACCAGAACCAACCCAGGCTGACACCGGCCTCCTGGGGACGTCTGGGGGTGGAGCCAGGAGAGGAGGGGCAGCCAGGCAGCCTGCTGGCATGTGGTCCACCACCTCTCCACATTCAAGACCCTGGGCCCACCCACTGAGGGAAGCTGAGCCCGAGACCAGCACAGATCCATGACTAATAGCACACAGACCCCGGCCACAAGAAGCCAGGCCAGGGGGCAGAGGGCCACCCAGCCAGGCCTGGGTCAACAGCAGAGACCACAAGGTGGGAGAGTCACTCAGGGGGCAGGGGGTGGAGGGAGCGAATGCAGAGCCCAGACTCCCCCACTCCTCTTCCACAAGGCCCTCTCATTCCCTTTACTCCAAGGAGCCCAAAAGCCCCACGGGCCTGGGCAGGATGCCACCCTAGCCTCCAGGCTGAAACCCCTCCTCAGGTCCCAGGGAGCCTGAACTCGGTCCTTGCCTTCCCATCACAGCCAAGTACACCTCAGCTCACCGCACAGAGCTGGACCTCAGCAAGCCAGGGCAGCATGGCCAGGGACTGCCGCCGCCCGAGTGCAAATACCAGGGTGCTGGCATCACGGCACAGCTCCCGCCCGGCAGCCAGGCCACATGGCAGGAGACCAGGGCTGCCCCCAAACACGCAGCTATGACTCTGCCCTGGCCCCCAACCCAGAGACAGGCCGCCTGCCCCCTCCTGGGGCATTCGAGGAACCGGCTGGAAGCAAGAGGCAGGGAGGTGAGCTGGCCCCGAAACCCAGTGCCCGGACTCCAAGGAAGGCAAGGGCCTACCCGGTCCCATCCCACACCTGACCGGCTGGCCCGCGGGGCGAAGAGCCAGGGCGGACACGCGATAGCCCGCCACATTCCTCCAAGACCTCCCTGCCCCCACACCCACTGCTGCCAACTCGAGCAGAAAACACATCCTCAGGTAGCGATGTGGGGCCACGCTGGCTCAGGCCCAGGTGCAGATGACAGGCTGCGGGCCCTGCTCAGACCTGCCTGCTGCACCGCCGTGGGGGCGAGGGGCTGGGCTTCTCACAACTGCCTGGGCCCTCCCATGCCCGCCCCTGCCTTTTCCATCTGGGGGACACTTTCCCCTCTCTGGGGCCCCCCTGGTCAAGGGATACTCGGCGGGGTGCTCACGGGTTGAGGACATGGCCAGAGGAGACTGTGGCCAGCTTCCACGGGTGGGAGCTCAGGAAGCGGTGAGGATGGGGGCAGCAGGCAAGGCTGCCAGCCAGGGCTGCAAAGGTACAGCACAGGACTGGGAGCCACACACGGCAGGCCCAACTGGCGTGAGCTCGGCAGGGATTGCCCTCAACTCACAATCACTTCAGGGCCCAGGATACCAGGTGGGCACACTCCGGTGCCTCCTGCTGACTGGAGCCACTTCCTGGCTCCCAGATCCATCTACTCCCTGATCACAGGTCTGCATGGTGCTCTCATTCCCGCACTCACCCAGTTCCAGGCCCCCAGCACAATGACCAAGCAGGGAAGGACCTCTGGGCACCAGGGCAAGGCCGTGCTCCAGGCAATGAGGTAAGGCGCCCGAGGCCTGGGCCTGCCCACCTACCACTACCCACCTGCCAGCCCACTGGGATGAGTACCTGTTTCCCAGTGACACTGGACCCCTACCACCCCTCCTCCCAGCACGCCCAGGCCAGGGCTCCTGCCTGACTGGCCACCTGCCAGGGGAGACCAGACAGCCCCGACTCAGCTTCTGCCCCTCCAGAATAACAAAACCAAAAAAACCCACAAACAGGGCAGTGCCACAGAAGGTCACTGCACCAGGATCCACTATCTCTGTCTCTGAACGATCTTGGGTCACCATCGGGGGCTTCTGCCGACATAAGCGTTAGGCGTTAGGCTCTCCCGGGCCTAGGTCCCACGGCGCCCGCCCGTGCCCCCCAGGCATCCAGGAAACTGCAGGGCAGGCGCAGGCTGGCCACGGGCCCGGGGCGGCTCAGTCAGGGCCTGCCCTAGACCAGCCCCAGCACGCGCTGCGCACATGCCACCGCGGCCTGCCCGGGACCGGGGCGCCTCGCCTCGCCTCCCCACCCAGACAGACACGCGCAGGGCGACGCAGGCACACGCCGCACACCGCCGCGCACGCGGGACGCCGCCGCCCCGCCCCCGCCGCGACCCCGCTCCCGGTGGCCCCGGGGCCCCGGCGCGCCCACGTGGCCAGGCGCGGACCAAGTCCCCAGAGCACGCGCCCCCTGCCGGCCCCGCCCCGCCTGGGCGCGCGCGGCTCGCACGCAGACCCGGCCGCAGGTGTTGGGGGTCGCGAAGCGCGCGGGGCCGGGGCGCGGAGAGAGAGGGAAGGGCTGGAGCACGAGGGATGGAGCGCACGTACCGGCCAGGCGAACTGGAAGGGGATGACGACGAGGCCCGGGTCCTGGTCGCCGCCGGCCCGGGCCCGCGCCCGCGCTCGGTCCCCCGCAGCGCCCGCCGGCGGCAGGTAGAAGGAGTTGCCGCCCAGCACGGGCGTGGCGCCGTGGCCGTAGCTGCAGGGCCCCGTGGGCGTCACCTTGGCCTGGTACTCCTTAAGGCACACGCGCACGTACGTGTCGCACTCGTCGTGGCCGCAGCCCCCCGCGCGCGTTGTCCGGCCGTCGCCGTCACAGCAGGCGCCGCTCAGCAGCTCCCCGTTCACGTTCCGCAGCGCGCTCAGCTGCAGCTCGAAATAGCCCATGGGCCGCGCCGCCTAAAAATAAGGCAGCGGGAGAGCGGAGGGAGGCGCGGGCCGGGGTCGGCGGGCCGGGCGCCAGGGGTGGGGGAACAGGCCCCGCCGCCCCGCCCCCACCCAGCCGCGCCCGCCCGGAGCCCCAGCCGCCGCGCGCAGCCTCGAGGGCTTCCGAACCACGGCGGCCCCAGGCAGTGCCCGCCCGGCCCCTAGGGGCGGCCCGGTGTGCCCCGTCCGCGACCCCCGCCGCCCCCGCCGCCCCGCTCACCTGCACCCAGAGCGCCAGCAGCAGCAGCAGCCGCCGGGGAAGGCGCCCCCGGCCCTGCGCCCGCATTGCCCCCGCGACCCGCCCGCCCGGCCCCGCCGCCGCCGCCCGCGCCCGGCTCCCAGCCGCCGCGCCGGCCTCCCAGCGCCCGCCCGCCCTCCGAGCGCCCGCAGAGGCAGCGGCAGCGGCAGAGGCGGCGGCGGCGGCGGCGCGGGCGGGGTCGAGCGCAGCGCCGCGGCGCGCGGGCCTGGGCGGCGGGCGTGCAGGGGCGGCGGCAGCTCCGGCTCGCTGGCGGCCGCGCTCCGGCTGCCCGGCCCGGCTCCCACCCGGCGGCGACGGCGGCGGCGGTGAAGGCAGCGGGTCCCGGCCTCGGCTCTGCGCGCCCGCGCTCCCGGCACCGCAGCCAACAAGTTCGGAACGAGACTGACAGCTCGCTCGCCCATTCGTCACCCGCGCACCTGCATATGCATGAGGGGGCGGGGCCGCGCCGCGGGGTGGGGCCGGGGGGGGGTCCGGGGGCGCCCCAGGCTTTAAAGGCGGTGGAGGGCGTCGCCTGCCAGCGCCCCGGCCCGGCGCGCGCCCCCCAGGGCGCCCGGGCGGCGGGGGCACGGGGCCTCGGGGTCAGCGCGGGCCGCGGGGGCCCCGCTCACACCTCCGCGTGAGTCGGCGAGGCGTGCGCCGGCGCCGCAAAGCTGCCTCCCCTCCTCCGCCTGGGCTCCTGCCGGGTGTCAGAAACCGGGGGTGGGGCGCCCCGAGGTTGCCGTGTGGTCCCCTCCCATCAGTGCGCCACCGCCGCGCTCCTCGCAGTCCCAGAGGAGATGCCGCCTCCTACTCTGATCAGGGCTCGGCCCCCACGCGGGGTGGCGCGGCCCTGGGGCCAGAGCCGGGCCCAGCCCCTACTGCGCGCCCCCCACCTCCTCCGAGAATCTCCCCTTCTCCGCGCCGCTCCTACCGCCTCCACGCCGGCTGCAGGGGGCGCTGCGCCCCTCCGACGCCCCTGCCTTCCCCTCTGCGAGGCGCGCTGGTCAAGCAGCCAGTCAACAAATGCTCCAGGGTGCAGACTGCTCAGCTCGGCGCTGGCGTCGAGGTAGCCAGGCCATGCCCTCAGGAAATGCTCAGGCCACATTCCCCGTTTCCCGCCTCTCGCCCCCCAAACTCAGGTCTGGGCTTGGGGGGCGAGAGGCGGGAAATGGGGAACAAAAGTCGGCAGTGCCTGTCCCTGAAGGCTACCCCGAGAGAGGCCTCCCACTGCTGCCCTGGTCACCAGGCTTCCACACCCCATCCTCTGCGGTCACCTCCTTGCCCTCTCCCTGGGTGACCTCGCAGCTCCTCCACAGGGTCAAAACCAATGGCACCTTCCTCTCCTCCAGTGAGCACGGTCCTTTCCAGAGCTAGGGGTCACCTTGGTGGTTAAAGATCCCCATATGGTCCAGAGGGGTCCTCAACCCATCCCCATGATAACTGAGCTGTCTTCTCTCCCCCTAGCTCCTCTCGCAAATTTGCCCTGTGCCCGGAGCTGGGTGGCTGTGCAGCCCCCCAGCCTGGAGCAAGTCACTGCCACCATGCTGCTGGGGCTGAGGGCTGAAGGAAGAGAGCTTTGGAGGCACAGGGCCTGTGAACACCCCATGCGCAGGGTCTGCCTGCTCCATCCCTGTTTAGCAGCTCCTCCAGGATCCAGGCCGCAGGCTCAGCTGAAGGTCCCTAAAGGGGTGGGTGGGAGCCCCCCATGCCCACCTCAGCTGGCTCTGCTCAGAGTGCCCACCCCAAACTTGGTGGTGGGTAGGCTTCGTGGGGATTAAGACACAAGCCAGGATGAGGCCCGCACAGAGACCCCCACCAAACAAGAGAATCCAAGCTGTGTTCAGAGCCTTCCAGTTGCCGCCTTCCGGTGTGTGGGCGGTGATTACCGCCTACGGGGGGAGGGGCTCCCTGTGGAGATGCCACCTCTCCTGTGCTTTGGCCTGGGGGCAGGTACTCGGGTACTCGAGAGAGGGAAGCCCCAGGACAGAGAAGCCCCCTGCCCGGCTCCAGAGGCCCAGGGCTCCATCCCCACCTGCGCCCACTGCCCCACTATGGTGGGGGAGGGGGTGCTGGGTGCCTCTGCTGGGCACTTGGCCAAGTGGTGAACAAGGGAGACTCCGCCCCTGCACACCCTCAGGAGCCCCCAGCCCGGGGGTGGACAGAGGACTTAGACAAGTCATACAGAAGCTGGCATAGGGGGCCGCCAGAGCGTGGACGGGCATGGGTCAGCCAGACCTCACGATGTCCATGAGAGCACCCAGGTCAGGAAGGTGGCCGCACCTGCCCTTAGGAAGGAGGGGGACATAGGAGGCATCGGAGAGGGGGTCCCTTCCCTGCAGGAATTTCAGCAGCCCTTGAGCCAGAAATGCCAGGCAGCTGGACCCTGGTTTGAGTTTCCAGAAGGCAGCAGTGGGAACCCTCGCCCCTCATACATATTTCACAAAACACATTTGCCCCCTGCTGCACCTTGCTGGGGTGAGGGGCTGAGATCAGTGGCGGCCAGGGCTCCAGCCCCAACCCTCACCAGACCAGGCTACCTGGTCTCTTCTAGTAAGGGACCTCGTCATTGTTCTGGGGCCCACTGGACCACAGCACCCTCCAGCCTCCCAGAGCCACCCGTCCCCCAGCCTGGAGGGCTCCCACTCTGAGCGCTGGGCGGTGCCCAGCTTGTATGCAGAGGGCAAGGGTGCAGCTGCTCAGCCTGGCCAGGGGCTCTGGGCCCATAGGGCAGTCCTGGGGACCAGGCTGAGGACGGGCTGCCAGGGGTTTGGACAGAGCCGGCGAGGCTCCAGAGTAAGCTGTGCTTCCGCTGGGTCCTGCAGTGCTAAATATAGCAGACGGGGAGGGGAGTTTCCGGTTACAACCCCCCCTCCAGTGCCGGGAAATCAATGCCAGCTCCATTAGGCCCGGCAGCACTGCCTGCTGACCCACCCCATCGGGCTGCGGAGCAAAGTGAGGGGCTGGACTACACCCAGGTCCGGGTGCCCTGTCACCTGTCCCCTCAGTGCTTCAGGGGCCAGACCCACCTGGTGCCTGCGAGAGGTCCCTCTGAGGTAGTGGGAGGCCTCTGCTGGTCAACCCGGAGGGCCCATCGCACTCTCGTGGTGTCACCAGGCAGGCTGCTGGTAAGGGCAGCACAGCAAGGCTGCTGTGGGTCAGGCAGAGCTCCTGTCCTGTGAATGTCCTGCTGGGGCCTCATCTGGGTAGAGTGAAGCTGAGGCTGGCCAAGACCCGCACACCCCATACCTGGCAGCCCCTCCCTGGCACACACCCCATACCTGACAGCCCCTCCCCGGCAGCCCTGTCGCTGGCCTTGCTGATGCCCACAGGGCCCCACCTGGGCCACAGCCAGCATTTGCATACAGGTGGCACTGCTTTTGTGGGCCCCTGAGGCACAGCCTCCTCAGGACAGCCTCCAATGCCAGGCTGTCCAGCACTGTGCTGGATGACAACAGGGGGTCAGTCTCCACCTCCCTGCCCAGGGTTCCACCCTGCAGGGTACTGAGGCTCCCTTCACTTCACTGTCCCCTTCTCTACTTTCCTCCTGGGAGCCACAGCCTGGACCTAATGATGTCCAGGAGCGGATCGATCCTGCCGCAGACTGATGGCCCAGCAGTGCCCTCGAATGCCCACAACCAGTGCCAACACACCCATTCACCTGCAGAACCCTTACTGTGCACCTGTGGCCCAGGAAGCAGACCAGGCGAGCTGGGTCCCCTCCTGCCTCACAAGCATTCTGGGCACCTGGGGAGCAGCTCTGAGCTGCACGCATCTCCCACAGCCCCACCCTCAGGACAGGTCAGAAGGCAAGGCCAGGGCATACAGGCCAGAGATGCTCAGGGGCCAGTAGAGCCTGGTGCTGGGCGGCCCAGGCTGAGGCCGTGCCCCGGGACCAGGACCGGGCTGGCACCAGGAACCTGGCCCATGTCAAGACCACTGGCCTTGTGTCCCCACCCTGTGCCGCCACCTGCTCCTCTTGGAGCAAGCCTGCAGACATTTCTGCATACCCCACAGGCCGAGGAAGGTCCCTTGGAAAACTTCCAAGGCTGGGGGTGCACGGATCAGCTACTGGGGCCCCCGACACAGGGCAGCTTTGGCTCCGGGCTCCTGTGGAGTGGCTCTAGCCCAGCCCCAGTCAGGGTGGGGACCCCTCACTTGCCCCAGGAGCAGGGAACATACTTTCCCTGCAGCGTGCAGCCTGCAGTGCTGCCCACCCCATCCTAACTCCTGAGGACTGGCTCAGCCACCACTCTCGTGAGCACAGCTCATGCTGCAGCCCCGTGACCAGCAGGCCCACCCCCAGGCCTGCCATGCCACCCTCCATGAGTCCCGGACCCCACCCCTCCCAGCTCCAAGAGGAGGCACAGCCTGGCCCTGCCCATGGCATCCCCAGGCCTGTCCTCAGCCCCACAGCAACCACCTGCATGGCCTGCCACCAGCTACTCCTCCTACAGGAGAGCTCGCCGTGTCCCGAGGGCCATCTCAGGTCAGGGTCACTGCTTCCCGCCCCTTCCCCAGTCCTCTCCAAGGCCCTGGTCACAGAGCTCAGAACCAGCAGGCAGAAGCTGGAGCTATGCAAGCCTTTATTGGGGTCCGCGGGGTGTGGGGTGAGTGGCCAAGACTGGCCTCTGTCTAGAACCCTGGAGTCTCACTGGAGATCCAGGTTGGGGGCCACCTGGCTGAGGAACCATGAGACACCAAAGATGACGCCGAGGGTCTTGGGGATGTCCGGGTCGTCTGCAAAGGCCTGGGCGCCTTCCAGGGGCAGGTGCACCACCTCAATGAGCTCACCCTCCTCCACCAGGCCCCCACCTGGACCGCTACGCTGGGCATCTGTCACCTCTGTGTAGAACATGGTCTGTCTGGAGCCAGTCAGTCCCACTCCAGACCTACGGGTTGAGACAGGGTCTGCTGAGTCACCCACGCTGGCCCCGCTGGCCCCCTGGCCCTTCTACCACCCTCCAACCCACCCTCTCCACTCTGCTCCCTCCAGCCCTCCAGTAGGCAGGACTCTGGGATGCCCTCTCCCACCCGGATTCCCACCTGGTGTGCACGCCCGTGGCCCCTCCCGCAGCAGGGCATCCCTTCCCTGATCACGTTGTACTCGCCAGGTGGGGTGGGTGTTGTCGATGTGATTAAGGACCCTAACCGGTGACTTGAGCTCATCAGAAGGGAGAGCATCCTAGGCGGGCATGGCCCGATCACGAAGCCCTCCAGAGGGTGTTTCAACGCCAGAAAGGGAGAAATTCAGGCCAGTCCTGCTGGCCCTGAAGGGGAAGCAACCGCCATGCTGGGAAGGGCCAACAGCCAGCAGGGAGGTGGGACCCAGTCCCCAGCCACCAGGAGCTGAATTCTGCCATAACCTCGTGAGCCGGGAAGACCCCAAGCCCCCATGAGATTGCAGATCCGGCTGACAACCTGCCTGCAACCTGTCAAGGCCAAGCAGAAGACCCCACCCCTGTCTGCAGCCCCCAACCAGATACCCTGAGGCTGTTCCCAGTGCTGTTTGGAGCCCCTCAGTCTGTGGCCAGCTGCAGAGGCCCATGCCAGACCCCAGCCCATACCCGGGGACACAGGCTGGCTGGGAAGCAGGGACAAACCCACCAGGCCTTCCCGCAAGGGTTCCCCACCAGGCAC
This sequence comes from Homo sapiens, assembly GCF_000001405.40. Classification (NCBI taxonomy): domain Eukaryota; kingdom Metazoa; phylum Chordata; class Mammalia; order Primates; family Hominidae; genus Homo; species Homo sapiens. Next base: position 105,174,010 of record NC_000014.9, read on the forward strand.
CCACAGGACACAAGTTTCAGACTAGGAACAGCATGCACTGACCGCCCCCCCACCCCCCGTAGCATGGCAGAGTGGGGTGGGGTGGCAGCGAGGTCCTCAGTACCAGGCCCAGTGGCCCAGGCTGGGGAGGGGTAAGAGGAAGCCCCCTCCCTCAGTGGGCAGTGGCCAGAAGGGGGCTGCTGGCAGCCAGGAGGGGTCAGGCACCAAGGGAAGGAGCCTGGACTGGCGTGTGTGGAGGGAGACCACGGGCTAGGAGGACAGGATGGCAGAGGGGCTGGGCTGCATTCTGGAACAGGAGGGGGAGGGCCAGGTGTGGATCTGGGGAGAAACGGGACTGAGGGGCATCTGGGAAGATGACCAGGGGGTGGGGGAGCCCTGGCTCGCCGCAGGAGGGGCTGTCGGGTGCCATGAACCAAGGCCAGCCGGAGGCCTGCAGGGTAGAGGCCGCCCTCTGAGATGTACCCAACATACAGGGGCAGGGACAGAACTGGGGGCTTCCATGCCCCACCCCCAAGGCCTCCCCACCTCCGGGGGGACTCACCCCAGACCGACCTTACCCAGCTGCTTCCTTGCCCTCTAGCCCCTCACCTCCCGCAGACCCCTTCCTGATGGCCCATTTCCGGCGGCGGCCGCGGCTGCGCCTCTGAGGGAAGTGGCGGGTCTGGGGTTTCCAGCCCCGGTTTCCGCCGGCTTGTGAAGGAGACAGGCCCGGCCCTTGGCCCGGGCTGAGAGGAATCTGCCAGCCAGGCTGGGCAACGCCTCCCCCACCCCAGGGCACGTTCCAACTTCACTCCATCACGCCCCAAGCTGACTGCCTCCCTGGGCCTTGTCCTTTGCAGCGGCAGGTAAGAGGCCTGGCTCACCTCCAGAATCAGAGACAGGGAGCCACGGGCCCTGCCACAGGGTGGGTGAACTTTGCTGTCAGTCCAGCCCCCCATCAGGCCCTCAGAGACGGACACCCTGACCCCTAGTCAGCAGCATCTCCAGTCCTGCATCCCTGAAGCCACGGCCTGCTCTTCCCGATGCGAGTCTAAGCAGGATGCCTACTTCCCAGAGCCCTCCTTGGCTCCCCAGCACCCTCACAATCAGGCTGTGGCCCAGAGGCTGTACCAGTAGAACCACCGCGGCCAGGGCTGCTTGACCACTTGCCCTGAGAGCCTGTGCGGTCCCTCTGCCAGGAACCTGCCCAGGCCCACCTCCTCCAGGGGGACCAAGGGGACTCCAGCCCCTCCCATGCCTCCCGGCTGTGCTCAGTACTATGGGCTGGGGAGCTGGGGGCACAGTGGGCGTGGCCCACCACGGGGTAGACACCTGCAGAAAACCAAGGCCCATCCTTCACACCCAAGTCCACCCTTCGGCATGGAAATTCTGTTTTGTTGAGACAGAGTTTCGCTCTTGTTGCCCAGGCTAGAGTGCAATGGCGCGATCTCGGCTCACCGCAACCTCCGCCTCCTGGGTTCAGGCTCACCGCAACCTCCGCCTCCTGGGTTCAAGCGATTCTCCTGCCTCAGTCTCCTGAGTAGCTGGAATTACAGGCTCCTGCCACCACGCCTGGCTAATTTTGTACTTTTAGCAGAGGCGGGGTTTCTCCATGTGGTCAGGCTGGTCTCGAACTCCTGACCTCAGGTGATCCGCCTGCCTCGGCCTCCCAAAGTGCTGGGATTACAGGCGTGAGCCACCGTGCCTGGCCCAGCGTGGAAATGCTGCCTTTAACTTGGGAGTCCACCCATCCAGCCAGGAACGTGCCCAGGTGAAGTCCTTGAGGCTGCTGAGGTGGGAGGGCCCCAGGCTCAACCCTGAGTGGCCCATGTGCCAGGCTGACAGGTGCAGAGACTTCCGGTGCTTCTCCCAGTGGAGCGGGCCCTGGCCTCTGGAGGAGGCTGTGGAGGCTGGTGCTCAGCTGGTGGGGGTGGGGGTCTGTGACACCCTCCTCCTTCCCCAAGACCTCAGCTGGGGTCAGGAGCCCATCGTAGCGTCCCTGGGGAAGTGGATGGGCTTCATACCAACATCTAGTCCTGGGAAGGCAACCCCACCCCAGCTGGCAGCCCTCGCGGGGCAAGAGTTGGTGCCTCGAGTTTGGTGGGTCAGGTCCCAAAGCGCAGGCTCTAGTGCCTGTTCCCCAGGAGAGCTGGAGCCACCCCTTCTCCAGCCCAGGACACAGCTTCTCCCTCATTCCTAAGCCACCCTCTGAGAACAGAGCTGTGAGTCACCCCCACCCCCAGCGCCCGGTCTTAATCCTACAGGAAGTAGAGGCACCTGTCAGCAGCAGCTGTCACCCGGCCTGCCTCACACAGCTGGGGGCCGCAGGCTGGGGGCATGGGGCCGAGACGCTGCAGAGAGAGCCCCAAGAGCCCAGATTCTGGCCTGGCTTAGGAGCTGAGGCGCATTCGGTCCAACCCTCCCCTAATCCCATGTTGGAAAACAAGGAGGAATCCATCCTGCTTGCACACTCCCAGGGACGGGGCCCTCACTCTCTCCCATCTCCTGAGTCACACCACAGGCCTGAGGGCCTGGTCCCACTCACCAGTATGTGGCGACCCGGCGCAGATCAGAGGGGGCCAAGTGGTAGCCACACTCCTCCCAAGCCTCCTTGCAAGCCACTTCCTCCAGCGAGAGCCCAGGCTGGTCCACGAGGCCGGCACACAGCTCAACTGTCACCCCCGCTGAGCCGGGCAGGGCTGGCTGTAGCTCCCGAGGCCCGTCCTGGTCTACAGCTGCTAGGGACCCTGGGAAGCGGCGCTCCACCTCACCCGCATACACAGCTGCGTGGGAAGAAGCCAGACTGTGCTCACAGCCACGTGGTGGCCACCTCCAGGTCACCCACACAGCCAAGCCCCCTCCCAGGGCCTCAGCTTCCCCTGGAGCCCCCTCCCACATCTGTATTCAGACCCTCAGGACCACAGGGACCTGAAGGTGACCCTGCAGATCCCCTTCCCACCCCAGCTGGCCTCACCTGGCCGGAACTGCTTCACCAACACCAGGCTCCTCCGAGAAGAGTTGAATAAGAGAACGGTCACGCTGTGTACGGGGGGAGGGGCTCAGCACAGAAGCACTCCACTGGCCCTCGTGGGGCCCCACCTCCCATCTTTCTGTTCCCAGCGTGGCCATCCCACCTCCTTGCCAGCAGCCCAGGGAGGTCAGGCCCCTTGCTCAGATAGGATGGCTGAGGCCCAGGCGGGACCAGAGCTTTCCAGGGTCACAGTCTGGCCAGGACCCAGACCTGCTGTATTCCAGCTGGCAGGATGGGAGGCGGGGGGCAGGGAAGGACACACGGGCAGCTGAGTAGGTCAGGGTGCTCGCAGCTGAGGCCGGGTGACTGACAGGACGTTTGGCCCTCACTGAGCAGCTGCCCACCAGCCACACTCCTCGAGCCACGTCGCCATCCAGCCCAGACCCTGGATGCTAGGGGCAAAGGCTCCAGGACAGCCTCTCCCTGCCCTGAGAGGGCCTGCCCACCATCATGGTCCCGGTGGCCTGAGCAAAGACCTGACTCAGCCCCCAGGCCTCAGGCTGACCCCTCAGGGATAGGAAACCCAGAGGCCGGGCAGAGAGAAGGGACTTTTGGAGCCCACGCAGGGAACAGCAACGTCAGGGAGGAGAGGGCACCTTCGCCCTGGGCCCAGTGTCCCCGTAGACATCAGTCTGGGGCTTCCCCAGTGGCCAGGCTGGGCCAGGCTCTCACCTGTCATGCGTCTTCATGAAGTCCCAGGACTTCTGGGCACCATTCTAGAAGGGGCAGGTCAGCGGTTAGAATGTCCCAGGATGGGCGGAGGTGCTCGGGGAACCGAGGAGGCCACAGACCCATTGCACCCACTCCTAACCAGGGAGATCGGCTCGTGGCCTGGGCCCACGGGAGCCAGGAACTGCAGCTCCCGTGGGCAGAGGAGCAAGCAGCCTGGGAGGGGCAGGGAGGTCAAGGACAGCCTAATACCCTACGAGTGAGGCAGAAGACCAGGGCAAAGGGCAGGGAAGGTGTCCAGGCACCTCATGAAACACTGCCCAGCACAGACCGAGCACAAGGGGCTGCAGAGAGACGTACACCGTCACCAAGTATAGGAAGGCTCATGGAGGCTCGGGGAGGGCAGGCGTGACTCCCTCACAGCAGGGCAGGAGGGCCCTGCAGGCAGAGGAGAGGTCAGGTTTTCCTGCTGATGCTTCCTTGGGCCACTGAACAGGTGGAGACGGGAGGGCAGGAGGGGCCGGCACCAGGAGTGGATGGGGAAGGGTGGCAGGAGGGGCTGGCACCAGGAGCAGATGAGGAAGGGTGGCGCCCCAGCCAGGTAGGAGATCGCACTGCAGGACTCGGTGACTGTCATGATGGTGACCAGGCTCGGCAGCCCCCCCACACACCCCTACCCCCAGTTTCTGGCCTCGACTCTCCCACATACCCTGTGGTCCCGTTCTCCTGTGGCCACCCTCCACCTTCCCACTCCCCCACACTGGGCACACCACCCTGGCAGGCCCCTGCACCCTGGGTGGCACTCAGTGAACGGAGGAGGCAGGGTGGGCAGGTGTGTGGGCTGGGCCTGCTGGGGGAGGCTGGAACTGATGCATTCTGAGATGCACTCCCATCCTGGGGGCTGAGCCTGGGGTCCCGCGGGGTCCCATCTCCGGCACGCTCAGCCCATCTGCCACTCTGAGGCCCAGGCCAGCTGCTCATCCCCCACCGGGGGCTCTGCCCAGGGCTGTGAAATGGACAAGAGGTCTGAGCAGCAGAGACACAGAAGTGCAGCCAGGACTGCAGAAGAGAGAAGAAGCCTTCCTGAGGACTTTCTGGAGGAGGTGACGGAAGTGAGGGAAGGGACTCTGGGCAGGCAGAGGCGCAGAGGCCCTCTGAGCTTGGCCGGGAGGCAAAGGCGTCCTGGGAGGAGAGTACCGGTTTCCAAGGGAAGGGAGGGCCGGCGTCCCGCGCAGGTCAGGCAGCCCGAGAGGCCGTGGGGTACCACTCCCGGGAGGCGACCCCAGGCCTGCCTGACACCCAGCCACCCCCGAACCACCACCCAGCCAGGGCAGGCTCCAGGGAAGCCCCCTGCCCACAGCCTGCCATGTGCCTGCTGTGCCCATGCCCCTTCCCCACCACTGCTTCCCCCCGAGTAACATCACCCCATGCAGGTCTCAAGGACCCTCTCAGCTCAAGGTCAAAAGCGTGTCAGACCCTTAGGTCCAGCCAGGTCAAGGTGCAGGGAGGTTTAGGGAGGCTGCTGAGGCCTGGGAGGGAGGGGCAGGGCTGGGTGCAAAGAAGACCCCATCGCCTCGGAGCCACGGGGGTCCCCTGCCTTTGGTCTGCCTGACATCACAGGCCTCCCCTGGCTGGACGCAGCAAAAAGCTGAGGGCTGCAGCTGCCCCTGGGTGGCAGCCAGCGTCCAGCCCAATGTCCCTTGGCCCTGAGGAGATGCCGCCCAGCCCGAGCCTACATCCGTGTCCACCACAGCCACAGCCCGAACCAGCTCAGCTCTGGTCACCAGAACCCTTCAGCAGAGCTGTGCCGGCGGGCTGCCCGCTGAGGCTGCAAGGGCTGCCCTGAGGCTTCACGGGGAGTGAGGGAGAGAGTGCTGCCACCAGGGCCACAGAGGGCACCTGCCTGGGCCTGCACCTGCTGCCTGAGACCCAGCCCTGTGGGGACTGTGCAGCCACAAGCAGGCATCCCATATGGCCAACGTCAGGGAAAAGGGCAGTGACCCCATGTCTCCACCTGCTGTACCCCGACTGATCCCAGCTGCCCCCTGCCAGCACCACCAGCTTAGCTTCGCCTTGGGGAGAGGGATCCCCTGTCCTCCAGCGCCAACAGGACTCCCGCAACAGGGAAAGTGAGGGGCACAGGGCCTCTCTCAGGCTGGGGGCCAAGAGGGCTTCTCCAGGATGGCGAGGGGCAGAGTCCTGGATGTGATGGGGGGGACAGGATGCCCCCTGAGGGAGGGAGGCAGGCAGGCAGAGAGGCACTGCGACCTGGACCACCTGACCTGATAGGCTGGGGGGCTGGACTGACTGTGACCAGGAAGGTGGTCTTTGCCTTAATGGCATGAAGGAGCTCTGGCAGAGGGGAGATCTGCTGGGGGCAGGTGGGCATGCAAGCAAAAGGTGGGGCCCTAACTGGACAGGGCTGGGCTTGGAGGAAGACGGCCCGGGACTCAGTGATCCACTGGATGTGGGAAAAGGATGGCAGCAGCTCCTTCACCCAACACATATGCCTCATGCCTGTAATCCCCATGCTTTGGGAAGCCAAGGCAGGAGGATCGGTTGAGGCCAGAAGTTCAAGACCAGCCTGGGCAACAGTGAGACGTCGTCTCTACAAAAAAATTTAAACATTAGCCAGGTGTGGTGGTGTGCACCTGTGGTCCCAGCTACTGGGGCGGGGGCTGAGGCAGGAGGATCGCTTGAGCCCAGGAGGTTGAGGCTGCAGTGAGCTGTGACCATGCCACTGCACTCCAGCCTGGGCGACAGCAAGACCCTGTCTCAAAAACAAAACAAAACAAAATATTCCTTGTGAACCTACCATGTGCCTGGTGCTAAGTGAGGCAATACAGCCTCTTGTGCCGTGGCCTGGCATGGGAGAAGGTGACACCCTAGGAGGTGGGGAAGGCTGAGCTTAGGCAGATGGAGACTCCAAGGAGGTGCCCTCCCTGGAAAAAACCCCAAGGAGGAAGCCTGCTTTGAGAGGCTCTCTCAAGTTCTCACTCAGCTCCTTCTCCTACCTCCCTGCGCCCGGCCTCTGCGCTCCTTGCTCCCTCCTCCTCGGCCCAGCTATCTCCTCCTTCAAGTGGTAGCATGAAAGCCACCACTTCCAGGAAGCCTTCCCTGATCCCCAGGGCAACCAAGGAGTTCCACTGCCAAGAGGGTCGGATTGGGCGGGCGGGAAGGATGGGGCCCAGCAATGCTTCCTTGAAAGGATGAGTGGTGCCCCCTCAGATGTCCCTCCCGCGGCCCCTCCCCGGCCTGGGGGCTCACTGGGTCTGGGAACCCGCGATCCGGCGGGCGGACAAGCGGCCGCCCGGGAGATCGGCGGGAGGCGGGGGCGGGGCTCCGGGGCGGGGCCGGCAGCGCGGAAGATGGTGGGCGGGGCGCGGGTCGTGGGCCGGGCCGCCGGCGGGGGCGCGGGGGACGCGGGGGCGCGGGCTCACCTGGCGGTAATGCAGCGTGAGCGGCCGCAGGTAGGGTGAGGCGGCGCAGCGGCCCACGGACGCCCCCTCGATGCGCTCCATGGCGGCGCCCGGACAGGCGGGGGCCGCGAGCTCTGCGGGGGCCGACACGGGGCGGCGCCCTGTCCCGACAGGAGCCTTCGGGCGGGCGCGTGACCGCGGCTCTGAGCATGCTCCGTGGGCGCGCGGGGCGGGGCGGCCGAGGTGGGCGGGGCGGCCGAGGTGGGCGGGGCTCGCAGGTGCCACCTGTCGGGTGCCGCGCGCCTCGGGGCGCTGGTCGCCGCGGTGCCAGGGAAGCCGCGCAGGCACGTGGGCGTCGCCCGGGGGAAGGACTGGCCGGGTCGACCCCGGCCGCCGGGCGGGGCCAGCCGGGCCGGGGTACAGTGCTTGGGTGGGACTCGGGACCTCTTGGCTGGGGGAGGGAGGGCCTGGCGGTGGTTGGAGCTAAGGGCCTGCAGCTTTGGGGTGCGATGGGCCGAGCGGATGCCTCCCCACTCTGGGGATGGACCACAACCCCGAGATTAAGTTACTCCAGGGGTCCGCGGGCGGGGCCGGGGGCGGGGCAGCCCCCCAGGGAGGGAGGGACTGTGGGCCCAGGAAGAAAATCACAGGAGACCAAAGAGAGAGGGCCCTGGAAGGAAGCTAGGGGAGAGGAGAGTAGGGAGCTGGAGGGGCCAGAGCTTGGGCCGAGGGGGCCTCCCCTCGAGGTTCCTGGTGGCGAGGGTGGCTGGGAGCTGCCACGCTGTCTCTGGAGCTGTCCCTCCTCCACTCAAAAGCCAGCTGCCCTTCCCTCCCCCTGCAAGTCCTACCTTGATGACGGCCCTTCCTGGGTGTGGGAGGGTCCCAGGCAGCTTCAGTGCTTCCTTGGGCATGGATTCCAAGGACCCCCTCCAAATGCCACCACGGCCTCCACGGGGGCAGGAAACAATATTGAGGCCCACACTGGCCCTGAACCCTGACCTGCACCTGCTTTCTGAACTATGGCCCAGGGGACATGCTCAGGGTGGACTGGCCATGTGAGCTTGAAATCGACTCCCAGTTCCCTGTTAACTATTGCCGTGTAACAAAACACTCCTCCAAAGCTTAGTGCCTTAAAGCACCCCGTTATCGCCTGGCCTGTGGGTTGCCCAGCTCAGCCAGGCAGCCCTGTCTTGGGGTCTCTCTGCAGTTGTAATCAGGTGGCAGCTGGGGCTGGAGTCGTCTGAAGGCCAAACGGGGTGGACCGTCCAGGATGGCCTCTTCGCCCCCGCCCTCAGTTGGGTGGCTGGAACAGCTAGGGCCGGCTGGCCTCCCATGTGGCTGGCGTGGGCTTCCCTGCAGCATGGTGGTCTCGGGGTAGTTGGATTCTCCCGTGGCAGCTGGCTCCCTCCAGAGCACGTTCACCAGGCCAGGCCAAGCTGCCAGGCTTTGTGTGACCTGGCCTCAGATGTCATATGGTGTCATTCCTGGGGCATCCTGTGGGTCAGAAAGTCCTGGGCCTCCGGCAGATTCCAGGGGAGGGACATCACCAGGTGGGAACGCTGGGGAGCACGGTCATGAAGCCAGCATCCAAGTCCAGCTGTCACCGCCCCAGTAGCTCTACAGGGGCCTGTGTCTCCCTGCTTTAGCCATTCCGCCTGGTGTCCCGGAAGCCAGAGCGCCCAGCCCAGAAGCTGGCCCCACCCTACCCCACAGCCAGGCAGGCCTCTTCCTCCGGTGCACGAGGGGCCCAGGGTAAGCGCGCACCCTGGCATGTCGCGTGCAGGCTCCTTCCTGCCCGTGGTTGCATGGAAAATGAGGATGAGTCTCAGCTTCCAGCAGCAGCAGCCCCGGGACAGGCAGAGGCAACAGGAGCCCCATCAAGGAGCCCCTGGGAGAGCCAGCAGCTCCTCAAAGCACCGTGCTCCTCAGACTCACTCGGGTCCAGGTGTCTGGCAGTGCAGACTGCAGAGCTGAGTGCCTGAAAATATCAGCAAGGAGCCCACTGTGGGACGCAGCCTGGCGGCTCCTCAAAAAGTTAAGCATAGAATTACCCTGTGGTCCAGCAACTGTCTTCCTGGGTATCCACCCAAAGGAGTTGAAAACAGACACTCAGACAGATGCTTCCTCACAGCAGCCAAAGGGAAGAACAACCCAAGCATCCGTTGCCAGGTGAATGGATCCAGAAAATGCAGTGTAGACGTGTAAGGTAGCACAACTCAGCCATGAGGAGAGAAATTCCCACACAAGCGACAGCGACACTATGCTCAGCAAAAGAAGCCAGACACAAAGGCCGTGTCCTCTGCGATTTTGTGTATATGAAATGTCCAGGCCGGGCGCGGTGGCTCATGCCTGTAATCCCAGCACTTTGGGAGGCCGAGGCAGGCAGATCACGTGATGTCAAGAGTTCGAGACCAGCCTGGACAACATGGTGAAACCCTGTCTCTACTAAAAGCCAGCCGTGGTGGTGTGTGCTTGTAATCCCAGCTTCTCGGGAGGCTGAGGCACGAGAATCGCTTGCACACGGGAGGGAGAGGTTGCGGTGAGCTGAGATCTTGACACTGCATTCCAGCCTGGGTGACAGAGTAAGACTCCATCAAGAAAGGCAAAGGCAAAGGCAAAGGCAAAGCAAGGCAAGGCAAGGCAGAGAAAGGGAGGGAGGGAGACAAAAAGCAAGAAAGAAAAAAGAAAATGTCCAGAACAGGTAAATCCATGAGACGGAAAAGCAGCTGCGGACTGGTGGGGCTGAGGGCGGGAGAATGAAGAATGCTGACTAATGGGTGCCGGCTTTCCTTTCCGTTTGGGGTGAAGAAGGCATTCTGGAAGCAGGCAGTGCTGGTGGCCGCACAGCAGTATGAATGTACTGAATGCCGCTCAGTGTGCACTGTGAAGTGTTTAATGTTCTGTGAATTTCAGTTCCATTTTAAACAAATTTTATTTAGAGATAGGGTCTCATGATGTGGCTCAGGCTGGACTTGAACTCCTGGCCCCAAGCAATTCCCCCACCTCGGCCTGCTGAGTAGCTGGGACTACAGGTTCACACTACCATGCCTGGCTCGGTTCAATTTTTTTTTTTTTAAAAAAAGGAAAAACCAGTGTCACTGAGGCTATTCAGGAACATTCCATGCTGTCTATGACCACAAGGCCACTGCCCACACGTGGAGCTGAGGACAGGGCAAGTGAGGCCTGCTGTCCCTCCGAGATGGAAAGGGAGAAAAGGCAGAAGCAGCCCAGGCACTTTACCAGTTCCTGCTGTGCACTGGGGTGGCTCGAACAGGTGATTCGGGGCAGGCCTGATGTCACAAGAAGTTAGGACAGGCATGCCAAGAGGCAGAGGACAGCCTCCCCGAGGACACGACACTCCCCAGAAACCCGAAGATCCAAGGCAGGAGAAAGGAAGCTGTCCTGGCAGGAGGAGACCGAGGCCAGAAGAGGCGTTGTGGCCCTGGGGGCAGCTCCCTTGGCCTGTGCTTGGCACATCCCCTGGGGCCACTGGAAGTCTCGGAGGGGTTGGGCAGGGCAGGTGGTCAGATGCCCCTCTGGGAGGTCACCGTGGCTGCCTGGGGCCGGGGGAGGAGGAGACTGGTCCGAGGGCCTTTGGCTGTTGTCCAGAGTGGTGGCTGTGCAGAGGATGGCTTCGTTCCCCATGGAAGCAGGTGCAGGAGGAGGAGGAGGAGCTTGATTTGGGGAGGGGCTCCAGGAGGGGGAATGAGAGGACTCCGTGTGGCCAGGTGGCCTGAGAGCCACAGTGGAGAGCTCTGAAAAGCCACCTCTGGCTTTGGCAGTGTGGAGGCTTCAAAGACCCTGCTGAGCATAGTGGCAGAGGCCCCTGCAGATGCCCTGTAGCGGGGCCAGAGGGCATGTGGGGTGAGAGCACCAGTGTCAGCTCCCCAGGGCTGCCAAGACAAACCACTGCCAACCCAGCAGCTGGGAACAGCACGGCCATGGCCTTCCAGCCCTGGGGGACGGGTGTCCAAAACGCATCCCACCGGGTGAAGGTCAAGGGTCACAGGGCGGCTCCTTCTGGGGGCTCCAGGGGAAGATCCATTCCTTGTCTTCTCCAGCTTCCGGAGGCGGCCCCCGCCCCCTCCTCACCTTCAAGGCCAGCAGAGCGCCCCTCCGTCCTCCCCCGACTCTGCCTCCGTCCTCGCGTCTCCACCCTCCTGCTCCCTCTTCTGAGGTCCTTGTGACCACAATTTAGGGCCCCCCCGGGTCATCCGGGGCCATCCGGGGCCATCTCCCACCTCGGGTCCTTCTGTTAGTCAAACCTGCTAAGTCCCCTTTGCCACAGAAGGTCCATACTCGCAGGTTCTGGGGATCCAGGTGTGGACTCTGGGGAGGATGCGTCGGGAGGGCATCACCACCAGGGCAGGACCCTGTGGCGCCAGGATCTGCAGCCTGGGGCCTCGCCCCGCAGCAAGTGGGCGGGTTTCTTGCAGGACACCTAGGAGACCGCTGTGGGCTTCTGTCCCCCTTCCTCTGTAAGGGGAGTGAGGCAAGGGCCCCTGCCAAGGATGAGATGGGAGGGGAGGGAGGCGAAGTGGCCCCTGTTGGCAGGGGGCTTGGGTGCGGGCTCCGAGGGGGCCTGGGGAGCAAGGCTTCCTGGTGGCACCGGGCTGGGGATGCTCCTGGGCCATGCTGGAGGCAGGGCAGGTACAAGGGGGGCCCCTGGGCTCCTCCATGGCTCAGCTCCTTCCCAGTAAGGTCACAGGCAGCAGGTGGATTGGAGAGTTGAGGACACTGAGCAGGGAGCTACAGGCATGACAGAGCCCAGGTGGGGGTGCGGGGGGTGGGGAGGACGTGGGGGAGTCAGGGGCGGGAGGGGTGCAGGAAAGCCAGGGGCGGGGATTCCGAGGTAAGTGCAGAGGGAGTGTCCCGAGAGAGGCTGAGTTGAGGGGAAGCTGGAGGAGGATCAGGATGGGGGGTCAGGAGGTCGGGGGTGTGGGGCACAGAAGTCCACTGGGTGTGGGCAGGAGTTGAGTGCAGAGTGCTCATAAGTGAGCAGAGTGGTGGGCTCCAGGACTGGCAGTGGGGTGCTGGGGGGATACAGCAGAGACCACACCCGGAGGAGCAGCAGGGGGCTGGGCCGTGTGTGTGTGTGTGTGTGTGTGTGTGTGTATCTGTGCATCTCTGTGTGTCTGTGTGTGTAATGGAGAGAAGCAGTATGTGTGTGTGTGGAGGTGTGTGTGGGGGGCTGTGTGTGGGGGGTGTACATGAGTGTGTGGGGGGTATGTGTGTGAGTGTGGGGGAGTATGTGGGGGGGTGTGTGGGAGTGAATGTGGGGGTATGTGTGTGGGGGGGTGTGTGTGTATGGGGTGTGTGTGTGGGGTATGTGAGTGGGTGTGGGGGTATGTGTGTGGGGGGGTATGTGTGTGAGTGTGGGGGAGTATGTGGGGGGGTGTGTGGGAGTGAATGTGGGGGTATGTGTGTGGGGGGGTGTGTGTGTATGGGGTGTGTGTGTGGGGTATGTGAGTGGGTGTGGGGGTATGTGTGTGGGGGGGTATGTGTGTGAGTGTGGGGGAGTATGTGGGGGGGTGTGTGGGAGTGAATGTGGGGGTATGTGTGTGGGGGGGTGTGTGTGTATGGGGTGTGTGTGTGGGGTATGTGAGTGGGTGTGGGGGTATGTGTGGGTGTGTATAGGGGGTGTGTGGGAGGTGTGTGTGTGGGCTGTGTGTGTGGGGGTATCTTTGTGGGGGGTATGGGGGGTGTGGGGGGTGTGTGTGTGTGAGTGTGGGGGGTATGTGTGTGGGGCGTATGTGTATGGGGGTATGTGTGTGTGAGTGTGGGGGGTATGTGTGTGGGGTGTATGTGTATGGGTGTGTGTGTGAGAGTGTGGGGGTATGTGTGTAGGGGGTATGTGTGTGGGGGTGAGTGTGTGGGTGTGTGTGGGTGTGTATAGGGGGTGTGTGGGAGGTGTGTGTGTGTGTGTGGGTATGTGTGTGGGGGTATGTGTGGGGGGTATGTTTGTGGGGGGGTGGGGGGTATGTGTGTGGGGGGATATGTATATGTGGGGGTGTGTATAGGGGGTGTGTGTGTGGGGGTATGTGTGCGTGTGTGTGAGTGTGGGGGGGTATGTGTGGGGGGTGTGTGTGTGAGTGTGTGTGCAGCCAAGCTTCTGCACTGAGTAGGAATAGGGCGGCTTCACTAAGCAAAGGGGCTGAGCAGGTTGGAGCACCTGCAACCCAGGAGTGCGCTGCAGAAGAGGCTGAGTACACAAAGGCTTCCTCCCAGGCTGAAGGTCCTGCCTTCGTGAGGTGCTTGGCAGGGAGAGCCTGGGAACTGCTGTTTTTTCTGGGCATCTGGAAAAGCCTTTTCTTTTCACCTATGATAGGGAGTTTTGGTGATGATAGGTTGTTTTTTGTTTTTCTTTTTTTGGTGGGGGTGTTGTTTTTGTTTTAGACAGGGTCTCACCCTTGCCCAGGCTGGAGTGCAGCGGTGCAATCTTGATTCACTGCAGCCTGGACCTCCTGTGCTCAAGTGATCCTCCCACCTCAGCCTCCTAAGTAGTGAGGACTACAGGTGTGCGCCCCTATGCCCAGCCAATTTTTTATATTTTTTGTAGAGATGAGGTCTCGCTATGTTGCCCAGGCTGGTCTCAAACTCCTAGGTTCAAGCAGTCCTCCCTCCTTGGCCCCCACAAAGTGCTATCAAGGCGTGAGCCAGTGACCCAGCCTGTTTTGCATGTCCTAAGCTATATTATCTTTTGTCTTGCCTAATCTCACAGTGGGCTCAACCTCACCCTGTCAGCTGAAAGTCTCAAGAGAAGAGAACTGAACAGAGCCTGGGGTCAAGGTGTCTTCAGCCTCCCGGGGACTTCACAGGAGCCATTCAGGGCCATCAGTGGGTGGGGACTAGAGGATTCTAAGGATACCCAGGTCCCCACAGTCAGGGCGTGTGACGAGGCTGGCAGGGGCTGCTCTGCAGTTCTGCTTGTAACCCCCCAGCGCCTCGCCACCGTCTCCCAGGTCCCAGGCATGAGTCAGAGCAGGTGCGGTGGAGAAGCAGCATCCTAGCTGCACCACGGGCGCCACCTGCTGTCACACCCTCTACTCTCAACGGCCAGCTCCCACGTGGGCACAGCTGGCCTCCAGACACCTCCCTTCACAGCCCTCTGAAGGCTCCCTCCCCCTGCTCTGGTGGAGCCCATCCTGCAGCCACTTCCTGCGACAGGGTGCGTGGAAGACACATTTTGAGCACCGTGCCTATCTGAGAATGTCTATTACACTCTCATCCTTGAATGATAGCTGGGCTGGGTATAGAAGTCTAGGCTAGGGCCAGGCGTGGTGGCTCACTCCTGTAATCCCAGCACTTTGGGAGGCTGAGGCAGGTGGATCACAAGAGACCAGGAGTTTGAGACCAGCCTGGCCAACATGGTGAAACCCTGTCTCTAATAAAAATATGAAACACTAGCCAGACATGGTGGTGCATGCCACCCAGCGACTCGGGATGCTGAGGCAGGAGAATCACTTCAGCCTAGGAGGTGGAGGCTACAGTGAACTGAGATCACGCCACTGCACTCCAGCCTGGGCGACAGAGCAAGACTCCATCTCAAAAAAAAAAGAAGTCTAGGCTGGAAGTCACTTTCCTCCAGCATTTTGCAGGCATTGCTTCATCGTCTGTCTGTCTCCAGGGGCTGCTTCCACTTCTCAGGCCATTCTGAGGCCCGTTTGAAGACGTAACATGTGTCCATGTGGAGAATGTTCTGTTTGCCCTGTTCGCGGTGTTTTCCACATTGTCGCGTCTTGGCTTGGGGATGCTTGAGCTGGCAGTTTCTGAAAGACGAGTTAGAGATAAAACTGAAATAGGAGGCGACATCTAGGATCGACTTCAAAATAATCACGTCGGGAGAGGGAAAGGAGACGGCAGAACTGGCCCCACGCTGAAGACCACTGAGGCCTTCTCAAAAAAAAAAAAAGGGGGGGGCATAGTGTAGAGAGGTGGTGTGGGAACCGGAGCCGGCCCAGAATGGTGGTGGGGCACGTCACTCACTCCTGTGGCTTCTGCCGCCGAGTGTGGTAGAAACTATGAGAGCGGGGGTGGTCCGCACACTGTGTCTGCCACAGGCCCGTAATGAGCCGTGGCCGGATCCAGGATGTAACCCAACAGCAGATCCAAGAAGAGTTCAACATGAAGGAAACAGGAGAGCCAGAGATATTCCCCAGGTTTTCTGGCCCAAGCACCTGGGAGGTGGGCCCACCTGGAGCAAGGGCAGATGTGGTTTGTTTGTTGTGGAGCTGGGTGGAGTGCGAGGCGTCCTTGGGAAACTGGGTATTCACATGCAAAAGGAGGAAGCTGGATCTTCACCAACCACCCTAATCACCCTAACTCGGGCCAGGTGTGGTGGTACACGTCTGTAGTCCCAGCACCCTGGCAGACCAAGGTAGAGGCTGCAGTGAGCAGCGATCATGCCACTGCACTCCAGCCTGAGCCACAGAACGAGACCTTGTCTCTAAAAAAAAAATAGATTAACTCAAAATGGATGAAAGACCTAAATACAAGAGCTACATCCATAAAACTCTGAGAAGAAACAGAGGAAAAGCTCCAACACATTCCGTTTGATAGTGGCTTTTTTGGGTATGACACCAAAGGTACAGGCAACAAGATAATAAATAGACAAATTGGGCTTTATGAAAATTTAAAACTTGTACCTAAAACAGCTGAAGTCCATCGATGGAGAAATGGATAAGCAAAGTGTGATATATACATACAGCGGAATATTACTTAGCTTTAAAAAGGAAGGAGATTCTGACTCATGGGTGACCCTTGATGACATTATGCTGAGTGAAATACACCAGTCCCAAAAAAGACAGATCCTGCCCAAGTCCACTTATAGGAGATCCTAGAGGAGTCGAAGGTATAAAGACAGAAAGTGGGGTGGTGGCGCCAGGGGCTGGGGAGCATGGACGGGGGCACTGGTGTTGAATGGGAACCGCTTCAGTTTTGGACAATGAAGGGCTCTGGAAATGATAGTGGCAAAAGTTGTGCGCCATCAATGTTCCTTCACAATCCTGAGCTGTTTACTTAGAAATGGTCAAGATGGCCGGGCACGGTGGCTCACACCTGTAATCTCAGCACTTTGGGAAGCTGAGGCAGGCAGATTGCTTGAGCTCAGGATTTCGAGATCAGCCTAGGCAAAATAGCGAGACCCTGTCTCTACAAAAAATTAGCTGGACGTGGTGGTGCACCTGTGGTCCCATCTACTTGGGAGGCTGAGGTGGGAGGATCTCTTGAGCCTAGGAGGTCGAGGCTGCAGTGAGCTATGATGTACTCCAGCCTGGGTGACAGAGCAAGACCCATCTTAACCCCCCCACCAAAAAAAAAAAAGATGGTAAATGTTGTTATTGCATGTTTTAACACAATATAAAACACACAAGCACTGTTGGCCATGGTTGACTCTGGTAGGGAATGCACTGTTCACTGCATACTTTTAGGTGCTATTTAAATTTTACCATGGCATGTATTACTCTTTCAATTTAAAAAACTTTTAAAAAGTGGTTACCATGGTACATTTTACATTGTGTATCTTTTACTACGATGAAAACAAATTGGAAAACTTTGTGAAGTGTCACTGGCTATGTACACGAAAGCTGGAGCGTGTGAGTCGACCCCTGCAGGTGGGGAGGGCCCTGAATCAGTGCTCCAGGGGCCTCCCTGGGTGAGAAGGGCTGGGGAGCCCATAGGAAAGGTGGAAGGTCCCCCAGGCAGAACCCGGGAGCAGCAGCAGAGGTCGCTGAGCAATGGGGAGGGGGTTGCTGAGCGATGGGGAGGGGGACACTGAGCAATGTGGAGGGGGACACTGAGCGATGGGGAGGGGGTCGCTGAGTGATGGGGAGGGGGTCGCTGAGCGATGGGGAGGGGGACAAACGTGCCTTTGAGCCCCAGGGCCTGTTGTCAGATGCCTCGATGCCTTGGGCCCCACCCTCCTGCTGGAGCTGTGAGCCCTTCCTGCTCGAGCTGTTCATCTTTAACCTAGGGAAATTCTGACTTTGTATTTTCAAAGAGTCCTCCTCCAGCGACCTGTTCTCCCTGGGGTGAACAGGAGGATGCCCACACCTCCCCAGGCTCCAAGACCCTGCCCCCACCACTGTGTGTTCTGGGGAAACCCCACCACCACCCGTGTCCAGCTCTGGCCCCTTCCCCGGGGCACCTCTGAGCCTCTGGGTGGTTCTTCCTGGGCCTCTGCCCTGCCCCGGCCCCTCTGTGCATGCCTAGTCCACCTCTTCTTGCTGGCATAGGTGGGCACTTTGCTTCTTTCTCTTCCAGGGCTGCGCACCTGCCATGCCAGCCGCCTCCCCCTGAGACCCATCTCCCCCGGGAACAGACCCACAAGGTGGGAGGTGATAGCACCCGCCGACGGCACACAGGCCCTCTGAGACCCGCAGAGCCGAAAGTGCCTGAGGGGCTGGGCCCAGGTCCTCTTTGCCCGCGGCGTGTTCCAAGCCTGTGGACAGTTCTCACTTAGTCCTGTCTCCTCTGTTGGTCTGTTTTGCTCCCGACCGTGGTTCCAGGACTACGAAGGCAACAGAGGGGCGTCACGTGTTCTGGGTGTGCCCCGACACCCCATGGGGCCCCTGGGACACCAGGGCAGCCTGGCGCAAGAGAGGGTCCCCGTCATGGGATGGGGCGGGTGGGGCTGGGTGGTGGGTACTTGGGGCAGGGCCTGCGGGTGCTCCCTAGACCACCCTCACTGGGCAGTGCCTTCCGGAGAGTGCAGGGGCGGGCCCAGCAGCAGCAGGAGGTGTCCACCATGGGCTTCAGATGCAGCCACAGGCTTGGAGGCCAGAGCTCATAAATGACGAGGCTCTGGCCTGGGCCGCGGAGTCTGGCCCAAGGAGAAGACACAAGTCACTTTCTCTCCCTCAGCCCAATTCCCAGCCCCCCATGGAGCTGGGAGAACAGGGGTGGCTTCTTCCTCCTCCACCTCGGCTCCCGAGTGCTGCTTCTCCTGGGACTTCCGACATGGCTCCCTCGTCCATCCCCATCTGGCATTGCCCTTAGGATGTGGGAGGGGTGCCCGCTGCCCCAGACCTTTGCAGACGATGCCCTGGTTCTCTGGGTAGCACATCAGCCCATAAAGCATTCTCCACGCTGACCCCACACACCCCCCGCAGGACCCTCAGACCCCACGCTGACCCCACACACCCCCGCAGGACCCTCGGTCTCCACGCTGACCCCACACACCCCCGCAGGACCCTCGGTCTCCACGCTGACCCCACACACCCCCGCAGGACCCTCGGTCTCCACGCTGACCCCACACACCCCCACAGGACCCTCGGTCTCCACGCTGACCCCACACATCCCCGCAGGACTCTCGGGCTCCACGCTGACCCCACACACCCCCGCAGGACCCTCGGTCTCCACGCTGACCCCACACACCCCCGCAGGACCCTCGGTCTCCACGCTGACCCCACACACCCCCGCAGGACCCTCGGTCTCCACGCTGACCCCACACATCCCCGCAGGACTCTCGGGCTCCACGCTGACCCCACACACCCCCGCAGGACCCTCGGTCTGCACGCTGACCCCACACACCCCCGCAGGACCCTCGGTCTCCACGCTGACCCCACACACCCCCGCAGGACCCTCGGGCTCCACGCTGACCCCACACACCCCCGCAGGACCCTCGGTCTCCACGCTGACCCCACACACCCCCGCAGGACCCTCGGTCTCCACGCTGACCCCACACACCCCCGCAGGACCCTCGGTCTGCACGCTGACCCCACACATCCCCGCAGGACTCTCGGGCTCCACCTCCTGCTCGGCCCAGCCGCATTCCCCAACCACGGCAGGGTCTCCCCAAGACAGAGCAGCCAAACAGGCCCACAGCAGGGCTGGGGGCTGCAAGCCTTGCCTGGGGGCAGGGGCTGGGCTGGCCTCACAGTTTTAGGGAACGCCTTATGGTCCCTTCCTGGGAAGAGGAGGGAGGGTGTGGCAAGTCAGAGGAGGACACATCTGCCCTCCTCTCCCCAGCCCACCCTGTACATGGGGACTCCGGAAACCACCGCCAGGCACAGAATAGACCTGCCGCACTCAGGCCCACCCAGCCCCTCCTTCGATAGGCCCCCAGCCCTGCTCCTGCCGGCACCCGCCTTGTGGACGTGTGTCACCTGGGGCTGGCCGCTGGACCGAGGCCCCCATTCCTGGCCCCTAGGCGCCCCTGGGTCTCGAAGGGAAACGGCTCAGCCCAGGGCCCCAGCACCAAGTGAGCCCCAGCCCCCGTTGCAGAGCAAGCCCACCCGGAAAGCGCTAGCCCAGGGAACAATGCCCTTCGTGTGACAGACTTTCCCCTCTGTGAGAGAAAATAGAGTTCAGTAGAATGGCAACTTCCTGCATTTGTGCCTGTGCCTGAAGGGGTGATTCACGCACGGACCTCCCACAAAGACAGCCCCCACACCGCGCCCCAGCCAACACCGCCAGGCCCAGTGTCCCAGAGCCTCCCCGCTCTGCCAGCCCCCCGGGGCCGGGCCAGGGCCCACTGCCCTTCCAGGGAGCCCCTGCCTTCTTCCTAGGCTTCAGCTCCACACCCAGCAGCCAGAACACACGCATCAACACAGCTGGTGTAAATCACGGAGGGCTTCCTGAGGAGCCAGGCACAGGGTGCTTGGGCACTGAGGGGCTGTGGTGAGGGCAGGCTGTGGGTGCCCAGGCAGCAAGGGTGGGGTGGGAGTGGTGGTCATGGAGCCCACAGTGGCTGGGGAGTGGGGGGTGTCCCTGGACATGGGGAGGCCAGGGAGGGCCACTGTACAGGGGCCATGGCTGCAGGTGCCCAGTGCCTGCGGGTCCTGGAAAGCATGTGCTCCTGAGTGAGCCCAGAGCCCATGGGACATCTGACCTGCCAGGGGACAGTCCTTCATGGTAAAGGAAACTTGAGGGCACCCCAACATCTTTCCCTTCTGGAGAAGAGAGGTGGAGGGCAACATCTCAGTGGGAGATCTAAAGAAGGTGCAGGAGGAGTCAGCGGAGGTTCCTGCCAACCGAGGCATAGCTCCTCTGCACCCCGCCCCCAGCTTCCGGGAGAATCCACCCAGCTCCAAATCATTGCTCTGAGGGCCCAGCCGCCGTCAGTCTCTCCCCAGCTCTGTATACAACCTGTGTGTGGTCCCCAAGCCTGAGGAGCTCCTGCTACCACGAGGCAGCCTGGAACCCGCCCCCAGACCACTGCCCTTCCTGGGACCACTTGCCTCCTGGTCTCTCTTGGGCAGAGACCCGGCCAACCACCCTGGGGCCTCTGGTCTTCAAGGTTCTCACCCCCTCCCCTCTTCCTTCCATCCCCCAAGTCTCCCCTTAGGAGTCTCTAGCACACAGAGACTGTGGGACCACCCTGCCCCCGGGGGACACACATGCCCTCCTCTGCCACCAGGTGAAGATGGCTGTGACGAGGCTGTGTGCAGACATCCTGACGCAGGAGCCAGTAGACAATGCCCAGCTGCCCAGCGCTGGCCCCGCATCACACTGGCATCGTGCCCAGGCAGCCCCAGCTCTGAGGCTCCTCCCACCCACCACCCAGCTCTCTTACCTCCATCCTTCCCAGCACCCCTGCGTCAGTCAGGCTCTCCCTGCTGCTGTGCCTCCTCCCCTCTCTATCCTTCACCTGCATTTCCCCAGCTGAATCGCACCTGCATGGGATCCTGGTGTCCTCTTCTCAGAGGACCTGAGCTCACACAGGAGACTCAGATTCAGGGCCCTGTTCCATTTCCTGGGCTGTGTGCCCTCTGGCTCCTTATGCCAAGGGCTGCCTCCCCACTTCTCTGGTTCATAGGCAGCATGGCATGGCTCCCCAGAGTGCCCCGGTTCGTGCCAGGCCCTTCATAAACACGTGCTGCTGCTTGTAGAGTGCCCACTAAGATCTGGCACCTCCTTTCACCTGTGTGAACTCCCCCAGGAGCCTCAGAGGCAGGGAAGACTTGTCCAAGGGACAAGCAGCTGGGCTGGGATGGCCATTGGCTTGCTCTCATCGAGTTCCCGGGAGGAGCTGTAGGTGGGAATGCTGAAAGCCATGTGCACGTGGCCCCCAGGCCCACCGTGCCCGTGAGCTGGAGGGTGGGGGACCTCCTGTCCACCTGGGGCCCACTGTGCCTGTGAGCTGGAGGGTGGGGGACCTCCTCTGCACCTGGGGCCCACTGTGCCTGTAAGCTGGAGGGTGGGGGACCTCCTCTCCACCTGGGGCCCACTGTGCCTGGGAGCTGGAGGGTGGGGGGCCTCCTCTCCACCCGGGGCCCGCTGTACTCATGAGCTGGAGGGTGGGGGGCCTCCTCCCCACCTGGGGCCCACCGTGCCCGTGAGCTGGAGGGTGGGGGGCCTCCTCTCCACCAGGGAAGGCTGCCTCCGCATCTCCCACACTCTCTTGCTGACTTCCCTGGAAGCTCTGTCCAAGGAAGTCCAGAAGGAGGAGGGACAGGCCATGTTTGTCCGTCAGTGGCAACTTCAGGTGATGATGGTGGTGGCGGACATGGGGACAGAAAGAGGCAGTGGTGATGACGGCAGGGACGTCAGCAAGAGGGGGTGAACCACTGGCCCAATCTGTGGGGACACGGCAGCAGTGGGACCTGGCTAGCACCCCCCCCAACCCCACCTGCCGGCTGCCTCTTGCAGCAGGAAATTGATTTCCGGCTTGCCAGACTCTCCTCTCTACGTTCCTGCATCCCCTCCAAGCTGTTCGCATTAAGTTCTGCTGTTTGAAATCCCCGCGGTGGCTTCCGTTTGCTGATTGAGTTGGCCTGAGTCAGGGCCAGGGCTTTGCTGGGAAGGCACCCAGGGGGTCTCGGAAAAAGGAACTGCAGGAGACCCCAGGGCACATGGTGGGAAGTGAGCAGCGGCTGTGGCCATCCTGCTCCAGCTGGTTCAGTGGCCTCGAGTGCCATGGGGAGCTCTGGTGGGCACCGGTGGGCTGTGGCACTGGTGCCAACTCCCCCTCCCACCAGCTCCCAGAGACCCAGCCCCAGCTACGGGTGAGCTTACAACCGATGGCCAGCCAACCAGGGTGCTGTGCTGGGCGAACCTGTGGGGCCTGGTGAATGGGCAGCGTGGAGCACAGGGGAGAGAGGACGAGGGGGTGGAGACGGCCTCAGATGGTCAGGAGCGCCGCAGGGCCCCCGTGAAGGAGGGATGAACCCTGGCCGCATCACTCCCCTCCCAGGCCTCAGCCCCTCTTCCCAGCCCACGGTCCTGGGTGGGCGTCTTCCGCATGGGAGGCCGTGGGCGCTGGGTTTTCACGACCCTGAAACTTGAGCCTGCCCTCGCTCTCTCTGAGCCTGTCATCCAGCAGGGAGCAGAGGAAGGCTGCAGAGCTGGGAGGGGCACCCTCTGTCTCAGGGTCTTCCTCCTCCTTCCTCCACCCGCCCCCAGCGCCGCAGGATCTGGAGGCGGGAGCCCCGCCCTCACAGTGTCCCCCTGGAGGGGACATCCCGCTCCTGCCCCCGCCCTGCAGACCGCACACCGAGCCCCAGCCTCACTCCCCAGCCCCCGGGAGCCCCGAGCCAGGTCTGCCGTCGCCTCTGACCCCAGGCTGGGCCGGCCTCCTCGTCTGGGCCTCGGCTCGGAGGGTTTCCTGCCCGCCCGCTCCTAGCCTGGCAGGAAGCGGACACCTCAGAACAAAGGGACCGGCGGACAATGGCCATTGAATTGGGCCGGGGCGCTCGCGCAGGGACAGGCCGCCAGCTGCCCGCGCTGATAAGACCCTCCCCGCGGCGCCCGGCGCGGGGGCTAATGCCCGGCTCGGCCTTCCCTCCTTCGCGGCCTGGGCCTCGGCAGGTGCGGCCGGGACTCGGGACCGCAGGCCGGGAGTGGGAGGCTCAGCTGCGGCCTCAGGGGGCCGTGCCCGCCCCGCTGGGGACTAAAGAGGAGCCAGCGCCCGGGACCAATCCCAGGAGCGCACCGGGGAGCCACCCTAGCACCTGCCCCCCGACCCTGCCCCGCGGTCTGACCCCCCCTTGGATCTGGCCCCGCCTCTACCTCCCCCGACGAACTGAACCCCCTGGGATCTGGCCCTGCCCCTTGCACCTGACCCTGCCCGGAGATCTGAACCCCTAGGATACGGCGGGTCCCGCAGTCTGGGCCCTCTATGATCTGACCCCGTCCCTGCACCTGACCCCGCCCTGGGGTCTGGGGGTCCGGCCCAAGCCCTGGGCAGGCGGGGTCGGGGTGGGGGGCGAGAGTATGTGGGGGCCAGACTCTACCCAGCTGCCTGAGAGCCTGGCCCTTGTGCACGCCAAGGAAGCCGCGCTTTTAAGAGGGCGTGATGTTTGGTATTTCCCCAAAATGCACCAGACGTCATGACACTGGAGAGCCTCAGGGCTTGGCTGCGTTTCCTTCGCATTGTTTTGGACAGAATGACAGCCAGGGAGGGCTGGCCACGTGGCTGCAGCATCTCCTGGCTTTCTGCAGGGTTCGGTCACTTGCTGTCCCCAGGGGCAGCCTGGGCCTCATGCCTGTGTATGCGGCAAGGGGACATGGGGTGGGGGGGGTCTGCTCCAAGGAACATCCTCCCCAGCTGGGCCTCAGGGCAGGGCCATCGGGAGGGAGAGGCCACATTCCTGCCCACCCCCCACCCCCCTGGACTCTGCAGGACTGTCCGACAGCCTCCGAGTCCTCGAGGGCCATGTTTCCGGAAGACTCTCCTTGAAGACTCTACCTCCTCCCGAGGCCTGGGGCAGCTCTGTGTTGGCAGAGACTGAACCTAGGACCAGTGAAGAGGCGGCTCCCTGTCCCCCATCCCCAGGCCTGAGCACCCAGGGAGATCAGGAGTCAGCGCTGTGCTGGCTCCAGAGGGCTCAGGGGCACCACGTTCCCACTCGAATCTGGGAAGGCTTTGTGTGGGCAGGTGCAGAGCTGTCATTAGGGCAAGGGCCGGGAGGGGTTGGGGTGTCTCAGCGTTTTCCCGCAGCAGCCTGGCACCTGGCTGCCCCAGGATTAGATAATCACACAGGAGGGGTGTGGCACTGGGAGGGGTCAGGGGCTGGGGGCTGAAGGAGGAGCAAGAACTCAAGGTTTGGGGAAACTGAGGCAGCCCCTCTCTTCTGGGCAGGATGAGATAGCCCAGGCCCACTTTGGTCTTGGCAAGCCCCAGACAGACGTCCAGCCCATGGCACTTCTTGCCATCATCTCTACCAGCCACAGACCCCTCCCTCAGCAAGCCACTGGCCAGGACAGGGATGACACAAGGTGAGCAGAGTCAGGACAAAGAGACACTTGCCAGCTGCAGAGGTCCCAGAGCAGGTTCTGGCCCAGCCATGGGGGTGAGGGTGGCAAGGAAGGCTTCTTGGAGGTGGCACTTGGGTTGAGTTTGCCAAGGGAGGAGGTGACAGAGGAAAGGCGTGACAGGCAGGGACAGCGGGGCATAGACCCCAGTCAGGGGAAAGCCGGGTGCTGACAGGGAGGGCAAGGAGTCCCAGGGGCACAGGTGGGGACAGCAGGAGCTGAGGCCATGCTGGACCAGGGACAGGAGCAAGGCTCTGGAGTGGCAACCTGGAGGCGGTGGCAAGCCATGGCAGGGCAGGTGGATAGTGGTGACTGCTTATTTGCTGGGGTCCCCAGGAGTCAGGTCAGGTGGGGGTACCAGGGAGAGGGTGCTGGGGCTGTGACCAGAGCTCTAGGGAAGCTCCCCTATGCAGGTCCTACAGGACCACCTTGGCAGCGGTGGTGCTGAGCATGATCACCCTGGGCCCCTGCTGGTGGGCTGGGGTGGTGACCACAGTATGCCAGAAATGCTGGGGTGCTGCAGGCTGCCTTCTGGCTCAGGGGCTCTGAGCATCGTTGCCCAACCAGGGCCCCGCCATCCAAGGAGCCAGCCCC
Source organism: Homo sapiens (assembly GCF_000001405.40). Taxonomy (NCBI): domain Eukaryota; kingdom Metazoa; phylum Chordata; class Mammalia; order Primates; family Hominidae; genus Homo; species Homo sapiens. The sequence goes on from NC_000014.9 coordinate 105,198,895, forward strand.
AGAGTGCCCTACCATGTGCTGTGAGCACCCCCCTCTCCTGGGTACCCCTGAACCCTCTCCGAAGCCTGGTCAAGTGGATACCTGCCTGCCACACCCTCCTCCACCTCACTGGCCTGGCCCTGGTTGTGGCCCTGCTGGGACCACCGTCTCCACTCCACCCTGATCCATAGCCCTTCTGTAGCCTCCTTCCTGTGTGAGCAGAAGCTTCCTGGGTCTCCCTGCACCCACTGGGACAGATCCTGCACGCCCCCGGTGCTCAGCCACGCAGGTCATGGCGTTTGTGCATTCTGTTTTCTGAGCCATCCAGCCCAGGCGGTGGACACCGGCGTCCAGCCCCAGCTCTCAGGCCACAGGAAGTGGGAGGTCCAGCGGCTTCCATTCCTGCCCTCGATCAGCCCTTGCTGCTTCCTGCGGCCAGGCCCCCGCTGGCGCCGGGCGGCCTGGTGAGCAGTGACTCATCCAGAGCCCAGCACCCGAACATCCCACTCCCGGCTCTCAGCAGAGGACCCCGTCCCCACCTCACCCCACCATCTGGCCTGGGCTGCAGGACTGCCACCGCCCAGCACACACCTCCTCCTCAGTGGCCCTGCACCTGCTCCCACCCACCGGCTGGGGGTCCTCCACTATAAAGAGCATGACACCCCAGCCTCAGGGGACTCCAGCCCCCCACTCTCAGAGGCCCTTGCTGTCCCTGGCTGTGGGGCTCTGCCCACCTCTGCCCTGCTCTCCCTACCTCTGCCCTGCTCTCCCTAGAGCCACCAGCCCTGCCGTCACACACCCTCTGTTGCCTGAGTCCTAGGTTGGAAGGCCTACCTACCTCTACACCTGGGACCTTCTGTAGCCCATTTCAGCCGGCCAGCCCCTCCTCTGGGAAGGCTTATGGGCTCCTGAGAGCCCTCTCAGCCCCGCCTCATTGAGGCTGCCTCTCCTGCCTCCACCCCATGGACCTTGTCTTTGAGCTTGGTGTGTCCCCAAGGCAGAACTCACCCTCCAACCCCATCCTATTGCGACCCTCGCCCAACTCGCCTGGAGACACTGCACCGGTCAGGATGAGAATGGAAGTTGGGCCGGAAGTTGGGCCGGGCAGCAGAGAAAGCTCCGAGGAAGCTCCCCTGTGCAGGGTGCCCCGACCCCAAATCCAGGTGGCCACCCCATTTAAGTGACAAAGGAGCTAGCTGCCTCAGTGGACTCCTTCCCTCCCTAGAGGCCTCCTCTCCCATCGGCGAGGCTCCTGCCCTCCTCATGACACTGTCACACACGCCCAATACCTGCAAGAGGGCTGCACCCACACAGGCACTGAGGGCCCCTCAGGCTGCCACCCCACACAGCCCACCCAGCTGTCCCGCAGCGCCTCCTGATGGCCAGGGCCCGAGGGGCCTCCCCCAGCTTGCAGAGCCTGCGAGCATCCTGTGCATGGGTATGTACAGATGCACCTGTCCCCCAGTGGCCATGTGACCACCACACCCCTCCCCTTGGTGGGCTGGGAAATACTGTCTCTGAATAGCAACCTCCCCGGGAGCCAGGCCGGGACACACCAGCCCAAGAGCGTGCCCAGGGCCCTCCAAGGCCACCAGCAGGCTGCTGAGCCCTGATTTTCACCTCCCAGGATCACATCATCCCAGGCTCTTCCAGCCCCAGGCCCTCCACACATTACAGGCCCCTAAATTTGGCCCCACCTGAACCTACTCCTTTCCGCTGTCCCCCTCCCCTAATAACAAATCCCTGCTGAGACCTTCACCAGGGAGCCAGTCTCATCTCCTCCTCCACCCACCTCCCGGCCCCACCCAGGGACACCCCCATCCTCTGGGCCCTTCTCCATCCCCTCCCCAGAGTGCTCCAAAATGGAACTAAGCATGCGCTCTGCTCACAGCCCCACAGCCCACCCTCCAGCAGCTGGCAAGACCACTTCTCCTCTGCCGGCCGGCCGCTGCGCCTCACGCCCTGATTTCCCTGCACAAACTTGTGCCTATGGATCTTGTTGGGGAGGGGGTGGCTCGAAGCGCATCTCCCCTACAAGGACAGGGGCGCTGGCCTGTGGGCAGCACTTCCCGGTTCCCTGCTTCATCCTCGCCGACTCTGCGCACGCACTTGGCTGTCAGGCTTTCTCCACGCTTGCTGAGTGAATCCATGAACAAATGCATGAGAAACACGCATTTTCCAGAACCCCACGTGCAGCTGGAGGGAATGCTCCGGTCAGGGATTTGTGGGAGGGGAAGTCCGAAGGGGTGAGGCCTGGAGGGTGGGCTGTGTGGGGATGGCAGCCACTCCCCATCCTCCGGGCGCCGCGGGGGCAGAGCACAGAGACAGAAGCTCGAACATCGTCTCCATGCTGGGTACATGTCTCCCAGCATGTGTGTTCCTGGACCCCAGGCAGGCGAGGCTGTGGCCTGCAGGTGCTGACCCTAGCTCAGCCTCAGCCCACAGTGCCGCCTCCACCTGCCAGGTTCTGTGGCACCTGCAGTCCGGCCCTGCACTGCCGCCCAGGACCCCCACAGCGGCCAACTCAGCTCAATGGGTGGGTGGTCAAGGCTGGAGCAGAGCCATGGGGGCCAGCCCCCGAGGTGTGCTGGCGGCCGGGTTAGGCTGGGGTCATTTTCCCAGGCTCCACCAAGGCGGGTACCTGGCAGACAACGTTATTGTCCACAGGGAGGCAGCAATGACTCAGTCGGGCTGGTGCAGAGGCCCCCGGCCGCAAAGGAAAGGAGGGTCCCCACATCGTCTGGCAGAGTGGGCACTGCCTCCCCTGGGCAGGTGTGACTGGGCCTTCTGCCCGGCCTCCTATCCCAATCTCAGTCCAGCTAGGGCCTCCTGGGCCTCTGTGGTCCCAGCTTTGCTGTTAAGTGGGTACATGTAACGCTCCCTCCCTGCCTGTCAGCGGGCCTGAGCTGCGGGCACTTCCCCAATCGAGGCCCCCCGGACTGCTCAGGAGTGCCCCGACCCCAGCTGTGGCTCCTCCCTGTCCAGGGTGAGCTGGGGTGTCAGTCCTGGGGGCATCAGTGATGGAACAGAGTCGGGTTGAGGTCAGGGTTGGGTCCCCCAGCCTAGCGCCCCTGACTTCACAGTTCCAGCCGTGCTCATTGTGTGGGGACAATGGCTTCCTGAGCCAGGTTCCTCTCCGGGCAGGAAAACCACACAGAACCTCCTCTTTGCCTCCGCCCACGGCCCCTTTGAAGGGCCTGGGCCAGCCTCAGGCACTGACTGCAGCCTTGGGGCCTGCCCCCGGCGCCACCTCTTACCAGCCTAGCCCAGGCCCCGGTCTCCCCAGGGACCTGCCAGTCCTCCAGACACGTAGTACAGGCTGCAGGGACAGTTACTGACGGCCCAGGAAGCCGCCGGCCAGAACCATGCAGGCAGTGGGCTCAACACAGCATCAGAGCTTGGAAGGACGCAGAGTCCTGGGCCCGGACTCCGTACAGGCTGGAGACGGAGGCAACCGACCCCCCTCGGTGCCTCCCAAGAGGCCAGGGTACATCTGCAGGGTGGCTGAGCCCTGTGGGGGCGGACAGCCAAGGGACCCTGGAGGGTGTTGGCCCTGGAGCAGGCGCACCTAGGCTGGAGAGGGCAGAGGGTCCTGGCACTCAAGGCCTGAGAAGGGCCATCTGTCCTCACACAAGACAGGGGACTCGAAGCGGGGCTGCCTCAGGGCGTGTGCATGCCCTGCTTCCCCAGATGGTCCTGGGATGCCCCTGGAGATGCAGAAATTGGGGACCAGTCCTGCAGGGGAAGGCAGGATTGAGGGCTTTCTAGAGTCACAGGTGGCAGGTGGGTCTGGCAGAGCTCTGCACTCTGAGGCCTCCAGCCGTCTGTTCACCTTGCTGGTGAAGGTCTTAGACCCCAGGCAGAGGAGGCTGGGATGTTCAGGCCTGGGGTGTGTCCAGGGCCCCACTAAGGTCTCTGGTGCCAGGACTGGGACAGGGACTGGGATGCTGCAGGGGCAGGTAATCTCCTGAAGCCCCCAAGGCTCAGGGTTACTTTTCCTCCGAGCCTGTCTCCACCGTCTTGGCCAAGGGGTCCTCAGACCCTGAAAGGGAAGGACCGAGGAGGAAGGCGAGAAGGCCTTGCTGTGTGGGGTTGGGGGCCACCAGCCAGGCAGGGCTCCAAGATTCAACAAAGACCTGATACAACAATTAAGAACATAAAGGCATCTTCGTGGCCTCCGGATTCACCAGATGGGGTGCAAGGTGGGCTTCATCACCCGGGAAAAGGCCAAGTGTCCCAAGAACATAAATGTCCGCTTCCAGATGGTGCCGCCCGTGGCCGCCAGGGGGCGGGCCAGCCGAGTCTCCCGGACACACTGGGCAGGCCGGTCCCGCAGGAGCCTGGATCCCGGGTGCCCATCCCTCAGCGGGTCCACGTCAGCCTGCTGTGTCTCGCTACCACCTCCAAGCTCCATGGGAGAACCACAGGGCGGCCCCCACCCACCATCACCCAGCTGTGGGGGCTGGGAAGGGCGTGCTCCACACTCCTTTGCCCGACTCCCTCAAACCAGGGGAGCGGGTGGCAGTCCCTGGTGGCAGACTCAGACTCTAGACAGTGACAAAAGAGCCCCCATTTCTGGCCCCAGGCCCAGCAGCTCCTCATGCAGCAGCCCCTGCCCCACCTGGAACAGGACCAGAGAGCAGCAGCAGGCCTAGAAGAGGGCTTCTGTCAGTGTCTTGGAGGACACTGGGGGACAGACGGTGGAAAGAGGGGCTGGGAGGTGGAGGGAGGGGATGGGGGGGAGGTGAAGGGAGGGGTGGGGGATGGGGAGCAGGAGGCAGAGGGAGGGGTGGGGGCATCCTCAGGGGCTGCCCGGCATCTGCCCTCGCAGAACCTCTCATTCAGTGAGAGACCCTGCAGGTGTCCCTTGCTGCCCCAGTAATGCTCAGCCCAGGCCCAGGATTCCTGACCCACCCTGGCTGGGCTGACCAGGGGCCTGTTTGGCAGAGGGGCAGACGTGGGCAACAGAAGGCACCTGGGGGTTGGGGGAGCCTGGGACTGTCTGCTGTCCCCTATTCCAGGGGCCTGGGCAGTGGGGGGGTCACGCTGGAGTGCTCACCCAGCCTGGCGCTGCCTCACTCCCCGAACTGCCAGGAAGCTCACCTCACTCCCCACTCTGTGGCCGAGGGATGGAGCAGGTGCCAGGTCACACAGCACTGGTGTGGGCTGGGTGACCATCAGGTGCTGGAGTTACCAGACACAAGCCCCCAGACCATCCCTCCCCGCTGCATCTGTGGGGAGTGGCTGCAGGGGCAGGCCTGGTGACTCCTGGGCCCTGTCACAGTGCCCCTGTGAGGAGAAACTACCATGAGCATCCCCAGCCAGGTGCGGTGGCTCACACCTGCAGTTCCAGCTACTCTGGGGGCCGAGGCAGGAGGATCGCTGGAGCCCAGGGATTTAAGGCCAGCCTGGGCAACATAGCATGACTCAATCTCAAAAAGAAATTTAAAAATTAGAAAGATCACCCACAGGCCCACAAGTGTCCGAGGGCTCAGCCACCATGTGGGTGTGGACTGCGGCCAGTTGTCTGCCCCAACCGGGCCCGACACCCTGAGCTGGTCCAGAGGCTCCCGGCCCTCAGCATCTGTGCATCCAGGTGTGGGTCTGGGTACACACGCTCAAGCCCGTGCACATGGTGGTGGGATGGGTGCGAGCAGACGTGTGTGCGGATGAATGTGTGTACGTGTACACGCGTACTGGGTGTGCATGAATAGCGGCCATGTAGGAGGGTGTGGTGTGCATGGAAGGGCACTCACAGGTGTGCACAGGCACACGTACGTAAGGGCATTATGCATTTCTCTGTGGATGGTCACATGCCTGCACACGTGTGCCCCTGAGGCTGCCAGCTCCGTCCTCTCTCTGGCTGGCTGACTCTAGCTCAGCAGCCAGCAGCCAGCAGCCAGCAGCCCACGTGGCCCTCAGCCCCTGCCCTGCCCTCCCCTCTGGCATGCGGGCAAAGGTGACTTGGACTTGGCAGAGGGCAGGAAACTCCAGGAAAGCTCTGTGGCTGCATGAGTGGGCCGAACCCGCCCACTATGCCCCACCTGAAATTGGGCAGGACATGCGCGCTTCCTGCCCACTGGCCCTGAGCGGTATGTGCTGAGCTGGGGTAGGTGGGTGAACAGAGGGGCCTGGCTGGCCTTGGGTCCTGGCCCTTGGTCCCACAAAGTTCCCAGTACACAACACCAAACTCCACACTAGGACAGGGGTCCAGGATGCTCCAAGGATGCCCGGGCATACGTGTGCACTCATGGATGCACGCACACTCACATGCAGATGTGCTCCATCCCCACAAAGGGCCGGCCCCTGGCTGGTGCACGCCAAGCACAGTGGGGGTACACGAGAGGCCTGCGGACTGTGGAAGGCTGGGGAAGTTGGGGTATCCCTGGCAGAGACCACGGCGGCTGGCTGCCAGTCACACTCCCAGCCTGAAGTAGATCTTACCACATCTGGGGACAGCCCCGGGCCATGGGAGAACCTCCAGGGCTCTGCCCCTCCAGTGCCAACAGAGGCTCCCCAGGGCCCAGCTCTGCTTACCCAGGGTCCTTGGGGTTCCTTGGTCCTGTGCCCCTCCCCCGTGGGGCCCGCTGCTGCCTCTGCCCTTGCAGAGCCTCAGACGTGTGGTGGGAGGCCAGGGGCGGGGAGAGGCCATGCAGGTGCCCCCTCCCACCCCAGCAATGCTCCGGCTTTGCAGCCCTGAGCCTGCTGGGGGACCCCTCCCCAAGGCACCAGAAGAGAAAGAGGCCGCCCAGGCCAGCAGCCGGAAGGACCGAGCCCCAAGTAAAACATCCAGCCAGCCTCCACGAGGACACACTGCCAGGGCTGGGGCCACAGCCTTCTGCAGCCCCGACTCCCACTGCCGCCCTTGAGGCCCTGCCCCTGCTCTTGGCAGCTCTGGGCAGATGCCAGCCTGCCTTGAACACTCAGCCCAGGCAGGCAGCTCAGGCCAGTGGGGAGGGGAGTGTCTGGCCCCCTCTGCCACACAGGGAGCAGCAGCTGGGCTGGACCTGCCTGGGGCCCGACTCTGAAGCTGCCAATCCGCCCACCTGCTGGTGCCCCCAACCTCGCTCCAAGCCACAGGGTAAGGCTCTAGGCGCCCACCCAGCATGAGGCAGCCAGCTGCAGAGGGTGCTGGCCACACTCGCTCCTCTTCCCCTGCTCCTCAGCACTAGACAGAGGCTGCTGGGTCATCCGCTGTCAGCTGTGCTGGACATGGGAACTGCTCCCTCTGGCACTTGGAGTCTCCTGCAAAGCACCTGCGCTCAGGAAGGCCTGGAGACAACCAGCGCCCCTGCAGGGACTTGAGGAAGCCAAAGTCAGGGGCACAGATGCCCGGCCTGTCCCTCCCCTGGCCAGCGTGGTCCACACCCATACGGCTGGACCAAATGAGCATGGGTCAAGATTGTGGGCAGGCATGGCAGCCCCTCTACAGTTGGGGTACAGGGATTGTGGGCAGGCATGGCAGCCCCTCTACAGTTGGGGTACAGGGGTGTGGGCAGGCATGGCAGCCCCTCTACAGTTGGGGTACAGGGATTGTGGGGAGGCATGGCAGCCCCTCTACAGTTGGGGTGCAGGGGTGTGGGCAGGCATAGCAGCCCCTCTACAGTTGGGGTACGGGATTGTGGGCAGGCATGGCAGCCCCTCTACAGTTGGGGTACGGGATTGTGGGCAGGCATGGCAGCCCCTCTACAGTTGGGGTACGGGATTGTGGGCAGACATAGCAGCCCCTCTACAGTTGGGGTACAGGGATTGTGGGGAGGCATGGCAGCCCCTCTACAGTTGGGGTGCAGGGGTGTGGGCAGGCATAGCAGCCCCTCTACAGTTGGGGTACGGGATTGTGGGCAGGCATGGCAGCCCCTCTACAGTTGGGGTACAGGGGTGTGGGCAGGCATGGCAGCCCCTCTACAGTTGGGGTACGGGGTGTGGGCAGCATGGCAGCCCCTCTACAGTTGGGGTACGGGCTGTGGGCAGACATGGCAGCCCCTCTACAGTTGGGGTACAGGGATTGTGGGCAGGCATGGCAGCCCCTCTACAGTTGGGGTACAAGATTGTGGGCAGGCATGGCAGCCCCTCTACAGTTGGGGTACAAGATTGTGGGCAGGCATGGCAGCCCCCTGCAGTTGGGGTACAGGGGTGTGGGGCGTGGCCCAGCTTGTTCTCTGGGTCAGGGAGTGAGGTCACTGGGCAGACATCCCTAAGGACTTGGCAAGGAGCCCAGAGGCGGCAAAGGGTCAGATCTCGTGCCCCACCCTCCAACTCTGGCTCAAGGGGATTCCTCCAGGGGGCTCTCCCCACCCCAGCTCCATGGGCTGCAAAGAAGGAGCCATCCAGGCACAGAACAGCTGGACCAAGACAATGGAGCTCAGGGCCGGCTGTGGTGGAGCCTCGGGCCTGACCCAGTCCTGAGCCCCACATGCCCCACCCCCTCGCTCTATGGAGCTGTGCAGACCACTTCTCCCGGGCACCCCCAAAGGTGGACACATGCTCTGACAAAGTCCTGGAGCCCCCAGGACCACTGAGCCCCCAACTGGCTGTTCTCCAGTCCTGTCAGGACTGTAACGTGGTATCCACGGGGTGGTGGCGGCCACCAAACACCAGGTTCCTAAGCCAGCTCGTAACAGCCTCGGATGGCCCTGCTCTGAGCAGGCAGCAGGAGGCGGCGGTGGCTGCTCAGGGCTGGGGTGTGCATGCCTGGCAGGCCCAGCCCGGAAGGCAGCATTCAAGGGGACAGCTAGCAAGCTAAGAATAGTGATGCGGGGCTGAGAGGCTGGGCTCCCCCTTCCCCGAGGCTGCAGCATGGTCTGGTCCTGGCACTGGGAAGGGCCCAGGCAGAACCTGCCCAAGGTGCTGCTGGACATGCTGGCAGGCCCCGTGCAGCTGCAGCGTCACAGCTGGCCAAGCACTGCTTCAGGCCTGTCAGCGTCCAGGCTGGGAGATGTGGCCCCTAAGCCACCTACGGGACTGAGCAATACAGACCTGAATGCCCAAACCCGCGGTTCAGGCCAGCACCCAAAAGCACCTGGCCACTACGGCTGTCTACTCCCGGGCCGCAGCACCTCCGCACCTCGGCCACCCAAGTGTCTGTGCAGCACAGGTCCCCACGGCTCCAGGACCCGGATGCTGTGTTCCACACCGCACCCTCTCTGGGGAAGAGTCTTTCCGCCACCAGCCCAGAGATGTCCCACCTCCCCTCCAGCCATTGTGGGGCTTGACTCTAGCACACTGGTCACCGCCTGGCCCCGCTTGTGCTCCTCAGCCCCAAACCCCAGCCATCCTCTCCCGCGCCCCAGCCCCCGAGCCCCACCCCACCCTCCCCCTTCTGTGATAACCTCCCCCGCTTCCATCCCCAAAGGGTGGACAGCCACTGCCTCCCGGGCCTCCCTTTCCCCTGGCCCTCACCTCCCACCCACCTCTCCACCCCTCCCTCTCCCTCCAGCCTCAGGCGGGCCGTTCAGCCAATATCCTCAACCACCTGTGGGCCAAGCCGCTCATGCACAGGCAGCCTGGAAACCTTCTTTCCTGGCCTCCCGAGTGGAAGTGCCCAGCCAGAGCTGTCTGTCCTGAAACCCCCTCCAACACCCAACTGGCCCCAAAGCAGGTCTCCCGGGATGAGGATTCCTTCCCTCCTGCGGAGCTGCAGCCCACCTGTGCCTGGGGCCCCACAGCCTGGCAAACAGCACCACCAGAGTCAGACGCTGCCCCCCGCCCTGCACCCCAGCACCCAGGCCGAGGGCTGGATCGCTGCACGGCCTGCCTCGCCTGCGCCCCTCAGCTGCACGTCTGGTCTCCTCCCCAAATAAGATCTGGTGGCAGGTTTCACCCATTTCGCCCCCCAAATCCACCCTCTTCGATCTCCAACAAGACCCCCACTCCATGCCACCTGGCTGTCGTCTCTGGCCCGGCCCCAGTGGCCATCTGCTAGGCCGGGAGCCCCTCCAGCTGGTCCTCAGGGTTCCTCTAAGAGCACCTTCTCCAAGCCCCCCATCCTGCGGTCCCACGGCCCACCTGCACCTCCCTCGGGGCCCCTGGGTGCCAGCTGTGGCCCCCAGGCCCGCCCACCCTGGCCCAGTTGCTGCTTCCTGTTACCCCAGCCTCAGTGAAGCCCCTGTGGGCTGGTCCTGCCGTTTCACTTTCTTCACAGCACTCACCTCCCGGTGCCCACACTGCGCTGGGGGCCCAAGCGGGGACTTGTCCACCCGGTCCCCTGTGGCACACCCATGTCCAGCCCAGGCTGATGCACACCCACTCAACAGCTGCTGCAGTAGTTGGGGGGACCTAAAGACCCCACACCCCTCACTCAGGGCAGCCCCTGGGTCTCAGGGGCTAATATCCACAGCCAGGCCGTGCAGCCAGCAGACCGACATGACGGCTGGCCACAGATCGCAACACAGAATCAGACAAGCCTCAGGCAATTTCTGTTAAGTAACAACAGATCTTCCTGCTTTACTAAATCTATTCTTCCCCCAAGCCCTCGAGAAGCCCTGGCAGGACCCAGGCTGGCTACTGAGCTCTGGGCGGGGGTAGGGGGGTCTGGCCTGCTGCGGGCCAAGTTGGGGCAGGACATACAGCCCATTCCATGGGGAGGATGAGGCCCCTGGGGGTCAGTGAGGCACGGCTCTGCCTCAAGGCCACCCCCTCCTAAGGACACAGGGTGAAGCCCCCTCGGCCACATCCGGGGCAGCCATGCCAGAGCTGAGACCTCCTACGAGTGGTACTGGGGCCTTCCCACGAAGAGGCCTGGGGAGGCTCTCGGGCCTCCGTCTGCCCTCCCTCCTCGATGGGGGGCCTGATCCAGCTCTGACAGGGAGCGCCACTGCCCTCTGGCTCTGTCCACGGGGAACTCCCAGCGCCAGGACACTATGCAGGCTATGCCCGCACTGCCTACAGAGCTATGCTCAGGACGGGTGGGCGCCGGTCTCAGCTGTCGGGCACTCAGTTCACCTGCCGGCAGCCGCAGGGCTCCTGGGCCCACAACTCAAGTGGCCCTGGAGCAGGGGTCTGACCCCCATGCTGCTCCAGGCGGTGCAGGCAGCGGGGAGGGGGGTCTGGAGGAGGCAGGGGTGGGGGTGTCTGCCTCGGACGAGGCAGGTATCTGGATGCAGGGCCACAGCTGGAGGCAGAGGACCTTCAAGGAGCTGCTGCCTCTCAAGTGCCAGATCCTCAGCTCCCACGGCTGCGCCGGACACCTGCAGGGCTCTGGCTTCCACTCTGGCAGAGGCTGCTGGCGCCGAGTGCTGCTCAGGAGGGGACGGTGCGGAGGGTGGGCTGGAGACTCCAGAGCTGGTCCTGAGTCACAGGGCCAGCACACTCAGCCCTCCACACACTTGGACCAGCAGTGGGGCTGCCCCAAGCCTGTTTCCTTAATAGTAGCAACACCACACTGCCAGCCTTGGAGGGTCCTTGGATGAGTCGACGGCAGGCAGCGGGACCCAGCCCTGCACACACCCGGCCCACATCTGATCACACACATGCAGACGCTTGGTCCGGTTTCCCTTGCTGAATAGAAACACAATCCCAATGGTAAGTTCCACATGGGACGAGGGCTGTGGGACAGGTGCCACCTGTCACCAGGAGTCTCGGCGCTGGGGCCTGCCTGCTGCGGTCCTGGAAGCCCGTCTGATGCTGAGGAGACCCGCGAGGCCCCCTGCCAGGACATCACCTGCCTGGAGGCCACACTTCAGTAGCCGTCGTCCTCATCGCCATCACAGCCATAGTCTGCAGAAGAGCACAGTCATGAAGCCCAGGGTCTCTGTGGGACCCAGGAGCCCAGACCCCCCAACCCGCCCTGTTCCTGGTGCCCCCCTAGAAGACTCAGGCTCCAGCCCCAGCCCCAGCCCCCCGCGCCCCGCCAGGAGCCATCTTGGGCTCCTCTCCACCTCCCGGGACTGGCATGCACCCAGAGCAGGGCCTTGCTCCTCGTCGAGGGCACCTGAGAGCAGTGTGGGCTCCCTCAGCCTCCCTCCCTGGGTGTGCAGGTCCGTGGTGGTGTGCAGATCCGGGAACCTCGTGCTGCTGGCTGGGCGGCCCTCGTGGTGGGTACCTCACCGTCCCTAGCCTCTCTGACCCTGGCTGCCTCCAACCTCACAATCGACATGACCAATTTACAAAATGTCTTAGTTCAAATTTCTTTCCAGGGAGAAACAGAAATTTAGTTTGAAGCTAACAGGCCCAAGTTCAGGGATCATGAGGGGCAGTAGCTGATGCCTTTATTTCCCTTGAACCCCTCCCTGTTGTCGGGCCCCACCCACCGTTGCTGCCCATCATCTGCAGGGCACTGACGCAGGGCTCCCCGTCCTCCTCGTCAGGCTCCTCCTCGTCAGCCTCCTCGTCGGCGTGGTATGACACGGGCCCGCTCTCCACCAGCACCGCCTGGGGCCTGGCAGGCTCAGCTCCGAGGGTGGGAGAGCTTGGGAGCAAAGCCTGGAACGAAGTGGGGCTCTGACACACACAGAGCTGGGAGCCCTGTGTATCTCAACAGACCCCTCAGACCCACCAGGGCTGGCCCAGGATGCTCAGCCACTCCCGCCACACCAGTGGCTCCCGGGGTTGGCCAGGGCTCCCAGGCCCACTGGCCCCTTCTGGCCTCCTGGGGGCTGTGCCATGAGCTGTGTCAGCATCAAGATCCCACCCTCAGGCCTCTGCCAGCCCCTGCTCCTGTATCCTACTGGGCCCCACCCCAGTGCTCGGGGAGCATGCAGAACACCTTTCCAGACCATAGGCCTCGGCCGAGGACACTGTGGCCTCAGCCCCCGGGGGCTTGGCCTGCCCTGACCCCCAGAACACAGACAGAGGCTCTGCTCCGGCCCCTGCCCCAGCCCCCGCCACCTGCCAGCACCTTCACCCTCGTTTCCTGGGCCAGACCAGTCCCCAACAAGTGACAGTCCAGGTGAAAGACCCCTGAGCCCTGGAGGGCTGGGCCCTGTGACCTGGCAGTGCCTGCTTCCTACATACAGGCTCCCTGCAGGCACCAGGCCCACAGCAAGGCTGCTCAGCCTTGGCCCGAGCGCTGAGCAGCAGGCACACAACGGTCCCCACTTCCTGCCCGCTCCTGCTCCGGCAACCGGGAGCTCCCACCCTCGGGCCTCGATTCTCTGGCCATGCCAGGCAAGTATGGGGCAGCAGGGGCAGGCGCCTCTGTCAGGCCTGCTCTCCCTGTGGTCACAGACCAAGCATCTGGGCCCAGGAAGAAGTGGGCTGCCTCCCAAGGTCTCCCTGCCCTGGCTGCGTGGGACAACACACCTCTCCCGTGGCCACCTTCTTTGCTGGCTGCGTAGACACCAGAGGCCTCAACCTGCAAAAGGAAGCACAGCATGGCGGCCTCAGCCCAGGCTCCCGAACGCCTGCCCACTTGTTCCCTTTTGCCCATCTTCCCTTTCCCAGTGTTAATTGACTGTTTCTCTGTCCCTTTGGAAGCCTGGTTCTGCGTCCAGGTTCTGTGTGCTCCATCAGTGCTCACTGCACATCAACACAGAGCTCTGACCCGTTCACATTCTCAACAGCGAGCAGCACTCGACACAAACACAGAAGCTGCAGACGCCCCGCTCCCCAGCCCACTCCCCTTCCAACAGTGCCTGAGCCCTCAAGGAGCTGCCTGGTGCCCTACCTCACTCAGGGAGGAGGGGAGGGAGGGTGAAGGGACACTGTCAGACCCGAGAGTGCTTCCCCAACCCTCACCAGGCCCAGGGCAATCCCTACATCTGCTGACAACACCCTGCACAGGGCCTGCTCGCCGGCCCGCCACACACAAAGGCCAAAGGTGCCTTCCACATGCCAAGTCTTCTTGGAGACTGCTGGTCCCCCCAGGGAGACAGGGGGGCCCAGGGGAGAGGACGCAGGCATTACCCACAACCTCCAGCACGGACACACAGGGCTGTCGGGCGGGCAATGAGAGGGCTCAGGGCCTGTGGGGAAGGACGCAGCGGGGCAGAGCCCTTCCCTCCAGGGCACAGCTGTGTGGGGAGGCGGTAGGGGGCCTGAGGCAGGGCCCTGCCTGGCTCTGACGTGTCAGATGAACCCTCGGGACACTGGGAAGGGACCCCATGACAGGTGGACCTTAGCAGAACATCTAGACGTGGAGCTCTGCTCGGGGTGAAGCTGATAGCAGGTGTGAGCCAGGCTGAGGCCCCGGGCTCCCCATGTGGTCCCTCTCCAGACTGGAGACAGTCTGGACACCAGGGCTCCTGGTGGTGCTGTATCCTCAGGCCAGGCCTCCAGCCTGCTTCCTGGAGCCTGACAGCTGCTGCTCCGCCCTCCCCACTCCCATCCCCAGGCCCACTGTGCAGTGGAGTGGGGGCCTCTGGGGATGGCAGCTGGCCCTGCAGCGGGGCTTCTCAGCAGGCTGACCTCAATGAGACACCCCACTGTGGTCTCTCCAGAAGTGGCTGGCGCTCCAGGAGGCAGGCCTGGCAGTTGGGTGGGAGGCCTGATCTTGGCCGGTGGGACTAAGTCCCCAGGAGATTCATGCTCTGGAAGGTGAGGCCAGCAGGCCCCCATTGAGAAGGGCCCTGAGACCCCGCTGGCTCAAGGAGAGGTAGTTTTTTTCTTTTTTTTTTTTCTGAGACGGAATCTTGCTCTGTCGCCAGGCTAGAGTGCAGTGACGCGATCTCGGCCCACTGCAACCTCTGGAAGAGGCAGTTTCTTTGACTTTGGCAGACTGTACCTTAGCTAGAGAGGAGCAGATGCTGGCGGGCAGGAATACGGGGCTACAGGGAGAGCGGTGCTGTTAGGAGGGTGCGCTTCCTGCAGGGACACACCCTCCCTCCCCCACCTGGCACTGAGGACAGGCTGAAATTCAAGCCACAAGGTCCTGCTGCACTGACCCAAGGTCCTGACAGACAAGTCCAGCTTTTCCAGAACCAGGAAGCAGCTGTGCCAGGCCTCACCCTGGGGGGCCAGAAAGCTCCCTACTCCTGCAGAACCCGGCTGGAGAGAGGGTGCGTAGTGTTCATGAGTGCAGAACCGCAAGGGCTCCTGGGGTCTGCGGGCTAGCTGGGGGCCTGTCTCAAGGGCTTCCCCCTCTTCCACGCAGTATCCTGTGTGAACCTGAGGCAGCCAGGCCACACGGGAGGGCCTGAGAGCGCCTGGAGAACAAGCTCCCACCTGGCATCACCTCGGCCATGGCTTTGGCCTGTACGGGGGTCCCCAGCCAGGGGCCTGAGGATGTGGGGCGCTGCGGCCCATTGTTCACGCAAACCCACTGTTGGGCTCAGGCTGCTCCCTCTCGCAGCCGCGCCAGCACCTGCTGACCCCGCTTGGCTGAAGCTCGGCCCCAGCCCAGCCTGGGGGGATCCTGGGGCCTGTAAGCAGGCAAGAGGGCAGCTCATCTGGTGGGCCCCCACTTTGTCCCCCTTCCAGATATGGGCGCTGGGGCCCACAGCCCACACTGGCCCCTCTGCCTGTCCCCAGAGTGGGACGCTCAGGCATGAGGACAGACTGATCTGCATGGGCTAGAGGAAGACCCCGAGGGTCAAAGCAGCCCGAGTGACCACAGAGTGAGGAGGAGACAAGCTCGGAGGGAGCGGCTGCCCACATCCCTGTGTGGCTCAGCTGCCCACACCCATGCATGGCCCACCCCTGCGTGGCTCAGCTGCCCACACCCCTGCGTGGCTCAGCTGCCCACACCCCTGCATGGCTCAGCTGCCCACACCCCTGCGTGGCTCAGCTGCCCACACCCCTGAGTGGCCCAGCTCAGGTTCTGCAGTTGTCTGTCATCAGGGGAAGCATGCATCATGACGCAGGACCAGGGGCAGGTGGCCAGAGGGAGATGGGCTAGGCAGCCACCGGCAGCCAAAGAGAAAGGGGGTGCAGCTCAGGCTGGTTCCCCCACAGCAAGGAGGGACTGCCATGCCTGGGCCACCCAAGGCAGCACAGCTGCTGCTGAGGAACGCTGTGGTCGCTGGGCTGAGGCAGTGCCTCCTCAGCTGAACCCCTCCTTGATGGTCCCTCCCCACCACCCCTCCCCACGTCGGAGCCTCAGCCTCTTTCCAAGTGGTCCAAATCCCTTTTTCCTCACCCGAGTGTGGGTGAAAAGCTGCCCCCATGGGCTGCAAGGGCAACCGGGACAAGCCCTTCTGTCCCCAGGTAGACCCCCTCTCCCCTGCCCCGCTGGAACTGCCTGAGCTGCCCAGGCCTGAGTGGGGGTGGGAGTGTGGGGGGTCCCCAGCCCTGAGGTCTTCATGCTTCCGTCTTAGAACACTAAATATTCCCGAATCAGATCATGGCCATGTTGGGGGGAAGACTGATGGGTTTCTAAAGCAGGAAGCAGTGCACGAACACGCAGATGTGTGTGCACACAGACTCACAGATGCACACACACTGCACACAGTTGAGAGACTTAAGACACACACACACGCCCCACGCACACAGAGAAACACAGTGTATACAGACACATGCATGCACACACGTGTACATAGAGACAAAGACCTGCACACCACAATCTGTAGACATACAGGTACACATGTTGCATGCACACACACTGCATGCACAGAGAGACACATAGGCGTGCACACCTGCATTTGCACACAAAAACTTACACACATGCACACACACTATGTGCAGTCACAGATACAGGCACACACTGTGTGCAGACACCAGAACACATGCACACACACACGTACTGAGTGCACCAACGCACACACGTACTGTGTGCATACGCACTGCATGCACAGACACAGGCACACACACATGCACACATACACTGCAGGCACACAGACACAGGCGCACACACACTGCATACACAGAAACAGGCACACACACACTGCATACACAGACACAGGCACACACACACTGCATACACAGGCACACACACACATGCACACAAATACTGCATGCACACAGGCACACACACACATGCACACACACACACTGCATACACAGACACAGGCACATACACATGCACACACACTGCACACACACACATGCACACACACTGCATACACAGGCACACACACATGCACACACACTGCATACACAGACACAGGCACACACACACATGCACACACACGCTGCAGGCATACAGACACAGGCACACACACACTGCATACGCAGACAGGCACACACACACTGCATACACAGACACAGGCACACACACACATGCACACACACTGCATACACAGGCGCACACACACATGCACACACACGCTGCAGGCATACAGACACAGGCACACACACTGCGTACACAGACACAGGCACACACACACACATGCACACAAATACTGCATGCGCACAGACACAGGCACACACTGCATGCACACAGATACAGGCATACACGCACTGCATGTACATGTATACACACACAGAGAGACACACATGCACACCCGGGCCCTGTCTGGGCCAGCTGGTCAGATGTGACAGAGGGGGCTGTGAACCCTGTCACCAGGCACCAGAATCACCCAACTGGGACAGGACCCCCACCTCCAGCGCTGACAGAGGCTGGCTAGGCAGGCAGAGGACACGGAGACTAAAGCCTCAGATCGGACCTGGGAGTGCTCAGGCACAGGGGAACCGAGCCACAGACCTGCCCTGACTTCACCTCTGCCCCACTGACCTCCTACGCATGCCAGGAGCTGTGCTAGGAATGCACCCCCAGAGGACCAGTGCATGGCTGATGTGGAGGAGACAGCCCATGCGGCCCTCCTGAGGGGCTGAGACGCCGGCTGAGAAGCACCAGCCTGCCAGGAGGTCAGGCTCCCTCACAGAGTAGCACCTGGGCACCCCAGGGGAGGGGCAGGGGCAGGGCCACAGCACAGCCAACTCTCGCGGGGTGCAGTGGCCAGCCTAGCAGCTCAAAAGGCCAAGGAGAAACCACCGCAAATACCGCAAACAACAGGAGGCCCTGACGGGGCTGCCGAGAGTCAGCACTGCCCCACAGGCGGAAGCAGCTGGAGACAACGCAAGAGATCCCAAGAAGCAGTAGGACCAGCAGACACACCCAGCCCGGAGACTCGGTGGGGTGGAGTGAAGGTCGGAACCACCAAAGGGTGGACCCAGAAGCTAAGCCGCCAACCCCATCTCCACTGCCAGAGGGACACATGGACCAGCCACAGGCCCCCAAGACGCAGCAGGTGAGCCCAGCTGCCCATGGCCTCGTCAGGAGAGCCTGCAGCCGCCACCCAGCGGCAAGCTGTGCACAGAGGCCGACCCACTCCAAGGCGGCCCTGCATGGAGCTGCAGAGCCTCGTGACCCTGTGCGCTGAGGCCAGCACATCCCGCCTTTGACGTCCCTCAGCCACGTTCTCCACCCACATCCTCCTTCCTCAGCAGTGTGCTGCTCTCACCCATCACCTCAGCAGAGACGGCAATGCAGCCAGGGTGCGCAGAGCAGGCACAGGGCGGCAGGGCTGGGGACTCTTCTTCCCGAACCCAGGCTGGAGAAGGCACCGACCCCACGGATTGTCCCAGCCCCTCCTTGGGACAAAACAGAGCCTAGGCTGCAGGACCCCCCTGACAGCTGGACCCGCCCGTCCGCTCACAGCCTGCCAGGCCAAGGAGAGTTGAGACACTGTCAAGGTGCCGGAGAAGGCCCACCAGTCCCCAGCATGCAGGTGGCAAATGCCACTCCAGGCACTTCTGTGGCCCCGGCTGGCCCCCGGCAGCTCCAGGACCCGAAGCCATGGGCCTCTGCCCGCCCTGGGCTGCTGCCCTAACCCAGCCACTCAGGACAGGATGGTACCTTTTCCCCACACTGGTCACAGGGTCAGCCCCACTTCTGCTGGCCGGCGTCCTCCTTCGTGACAGCTTCCTGGCACTGGCGCTATGCTCGGGCTGTGCATCCTCCCTGTGCGGACTGCCCCCGCCGGCGCTGCTGAGGCCCCGGAGCACGCTATAATTGATCTTGCTGGAGATCTTCTTCTGCTCCAGCATCTTCTCGATGGCCTCCCTGGCGGTACTGGCCTGAATTGGCTCCCGTCGCTTGCAAGACTTCTTGGGCTTGAGGGAAACAAGCAAGAATGCCTCCCGTGAGTCACGCCCACTGCACTCCACCATCAGGGGCTCCACGTGAGGCCAGGAGTGCAGGCGGGTGAGGCCTGGCTCAGGCCCTCAGAAGGGCCGCTCCTGCCTCCTCCCCCCAGAATGTGGGCCAGCCTGGTGCTCTCTGGGCCTGCCCACGTCAAATCCTGCCCTCCCAGGTGAGTGGGGCACGTGGCCTGGCATGGGTGCTGGCAGGGCCTCCAGACAGCAACAGCAGCAAACATGCCACAGGTGCTCAGGGCCCTGCTGCCCCTGGGTCCCACACAGGGCAGGGCCACATGCACACGGCAGGGCGATGTGCTGCTGCACTGTGAGGGCTGCAGCAGAGATGGCTACTCAGTGAAGACAGACAATCCACCCCAGCACCGCTGCCCACGTCAAAGGCCCCAGCTGCCCGAAGACCCTGGATCTCCTTCTAGGAGCTGGAGCCATAGACCACTTCAGGGCAATCAGCCTGCACCACCCCTGCTGCCCCCCGCTGCACGATGACCTTCCTGCGTGGCCCAGCAAGGCCTGGGACGTGCTGCTGGGTGGGGTGGAGTCCCTGGGCTCCTAACTCTCTGACCACAAGCTCCCCGGGTCCTGCTGAGCGGGTAGGCCCCACATCTGCCATCCCAGCCACCTCCAGCTTCGTCTGAGGGACCCCAGTCTCGCAGGCAGGGAACTGGCTCCCCGTGTTTTCTCCTGCTCAGTCACTCAGAGGCTCAACCACTGCTGCCTGCACCACGAGGCTGAAGGCACATTCCGCCAGAGAGTAAGCTGGCAGAGCAAGTCACCGTGACGGCCACAAGGCAGGGAGGCATGACAGTCGGACTTTCCCAGGGCGTCAGAAGAGCAAACCCGTTAACACAGGCAGGGACCCCAGCGTCCAGCCCCGAGTCTCGACAGTCTGCCCCGGTGCTGCATCCAGAAGGTTACCCCAAAGCTGAGCACACGCCCTCCAAGGTGAGGCCGACGGCTGGGCGCCTGTGGCCAGCACGGGGCAGGACCTAGTGGTTAAGGACGTGGGTCTGGGGTCCAGAGCACATGGCCTCCGGCTGCCTGCCCTGGGGCCTAGACCCTCCTGTCACATGGGGAAGGGACATTCCAGAGACATTTGCCCCCCGTAACCTGGACACCCCCAAGAAGGCCAGGCCCAGCGTCACAGGCGCCCACCTTGTGTTCCTTGTAGATGCCGAGCTCCTTCTCTTTCGCTATTCTTGCTTCTTTTTCTAAAAGTTCAGAAAGGGGGCCAGCGTCACTGAGGGCCCACGCCCCAGGCCTGGGGACTGTGCGTCCTGCGTGTGAGTGTGGGCGGGTGGCGCTTACCCCTCTGTTCCCGCAGGTACTCGGCGTTCTCCCTCATCCACAGCTCGGCCTTCACGCGGGCTTCCGACTCATTCAGGATGTACTGGGCGAGCACAGGGAAGTGGGGCTGGCTTTTAGCCTTCGCACACCGGGGCATGCTAAGGTCGCGCTGGCCAGCGGGAAGTATTTCCACCGTTAGAGGAAGGGGAACCCGGGGCAGCCTCTATTTAGTGCGGAGCCTGGGCTGAGGCCTCATCGCGCGGGGCGAGTTGGGGACCTGTTGCTCTGTGGCCTGTCCCAAGGCCAACCACGCAGGCCACATGTGTGAGACCCCCTAGGGCAGCTTGCAAGCCCTGCCGGCACCAGGACCCTGGCCAGCCAGAGTGCAGGCCACAGGTTCCCACAAAGGGGCCAAGTGAGGGTGAGAGCCTCCCACTCAGGTACAGATGGGCCAGGCTGGAGGGGTCTGAGGCACCACGTGGCCATGAAATCAGGGAAGACGACTTCCTGCCTGACAGAGGGCAAGTATATTGAGATAAACTGCAAAGAGCTGGTCCCAATGGCTGGAAGCCCTGGGGTTTGGGGGCGCACAGCGCATGTGGAGTCAGTGGGTGCCCTCTTGTGTCTAGAGACCCCTCGAGGGGCTGCCCCTGGTGCTATTTGTGCGATGTGTGCCTGCTGCAGGCTATGTGCCGAGGGCCGCAAGGACCAGGCGCAAAGCCAGGGGCCTCTCGACAGGCCGCCCCCGAGCCGACACTGGAGAAGAGAGTGTGGGGGGGGGTCCCGGGAACAGTGGCCAGAAGGCCAGGAGCCCACTTCACCCAGCGGGGTGGGCTCTGGGCAGGGGAGGTGGCCAACCCCGCCCGACCACTCAGGGCTCCTTGGGCTGCAGCGCCCTCCCAAGCCCAGCCCCTCTTGGGAAGGGGTGCTGCCACGTACCCTGTCAATCTCCAGGTCATCAATGCCACTGAGGTCCAGCTCACCGTCTCCTGAAGCATCTTCTGGAGGGAAGCACAGCATCCGCGTCACTCAGGGCCAGCACTGATTATAGGAGCGTGGCCACCACCTGGGCTGGCTCAGGACCCTGGGTCTGGGCTAAGGGCTTTCTAGAACCCCGTCCCCTCCTCTGCACTGGTGGGTCGCGCCCTGTCTGCCCACATGACCGCACCTCTTTAAATGCCTAGCTCAGGACACTAAGCGAAGCCAGCAGAACACTGAACTGAAGCTGCAAAGGAAAACCCCAGCACTTCTGTGCTTTTTGTAAAAAAGCAACTTTTTAAGAACAGGAGACAGAGGCTGTCAGGCCCCAAAGACCGAGGGAGGGCACGGAAGCTGGGCAGGAAGGAAAGGTCAGGCCACGGAGTGAGATGGGGGTCTGTGCTCAGGGGAGCCAGCTCCCCATCACTGAGCCCATAGGTCTGGGGATAGAAATGAGGGAATAGAAATGATTCCGGAGTCCAGGCCTGAGGGAGCCCTCCATGATCATGCTCAGGACACCCCAAAACCTGCCTGTCACCCCTGCCCAGCCCCACGCAGTCCAGGCAGCATCTGCACAGCCTGGAATTGGGACAGCCTCTCCTTGCCACAGCCCCACGCCATAGCTGCCTGCCCCGTGCTGCCAAGTCAACTCCAGCACAGGGCCAGACTGTCTGAGGTGCTCTCCTGCCATGCTGCTCCAGGGCCGAGGCCAGAGACGGCTCCTCTCAGCACTCACAGGCAGCCCTTCCTCAGCTCCAGCCAGAATGGCCCTTTCTGCTCAGGGTCACTGTGCCGCTGGCTGCCCCAGGGCCTGTGCATGTCCCCTCTGCCTGTTGCTCTGTGTGACTCGCCTGGGTTCCACCCACACAGCAGCCCCAACCATCAGGATTGTCTCTACCCCGGCCCAGATATCACTTGATAAACATTCGCCTGGCTCCTCACACAGAGGCCAGGCCCTGGTGCCCGACGGGAGGCAGGGCTTGAGGGTGAAGCGTTGCAGGAAGGTCTAGGCTCTCAGCCAGGGAAGCCTGTCCTGGCAGGGATGGGGGATGGGACCCACCTTTCTCCTAGAGCTCCCAGCCAAATGGGCAAGGTGAGGGGGGGCAAGATGGGCACGGTGGCCTGGCCTGGGCACTATGGGGCAGGGGTGCCTCGTCATTGCCACGCCCAAGCTCAGCAAGTGACGTTCCCCCGACCATGTTGGACAAGCGGATGAGGGGTGGAGCTGCCCCATGGGACTCCTGGACACAACTTGTGGGCTCCATTCTCCGTGGCCCCTGTGACCTGAAGGCGGTCCCAGTGAGGGTGACGAGACTCACTGCATTCTGGCGTCGGCACACACCCAATTCTTCACGCCAGGACCACTGACGCCCACACAGCCCCATTGGGGGGACTGGTGGTGCCACCACCCAAGCCCACCGCCCGAGACCACCACACCTCCCGACAGAGGATGGCAGCATCCGGCTCTCCCCATGAGAGGCACACGCCTGAAAGATCTCCCGATGACCTCAGCGTCCCCCAGGGCCCCATCAGAACTCACTGGGGTCGCTGCTCTGAGAGGAGATGCATTCGCGGATGGAGTCTGAGATGCCCAGGCTGGCTGCAGTGGGGAGGGGGTCCAGCAGGGACCCCAGGGCCGGAGGTCTGCCGCCCCACTCGGGGCTTCCTGCTGCTTCCGAGCTGCCGGGGGCACCACCAAGGAGCTCCCGGTATAAGTCTTTGTTCAGGTGGCTGGCCGCGGCTTCCAGCTCCTCGTCCTCTGTGTCCTCCTCGCCACACAAGCTGGACGCGGTGTCCTCGGTGGAGCCTAGGTGTACACAATCCACCTGTTAACCAGGCAGAGGGCCAGGGTGCCCGCTTTTGTGACAAAAAACAATGCTACCAAGCTGCCAGGTAACCCATAGAACGGCTGTCAGTGCACGGTGCCTGGCGGTCAGGTGCCAAAGAACGAGCCTCAGCCCACACCTCGCACTGCACGCGGAAGTTAGCTCAAAGCAGATCACAGACCTAGGGGGAGAGTTAAAGTACAGACATTTCAGACAAAAACGTAAAAGAAAAACTTTGTGACCTTGGATAAGGCAAACATTTCTAATGGTTCTAAAAGCAGAATCCATAAAACACTGATAAAACGGATTTCCAAAAAATTAAGAACTGCCCTTTGAAAGACATCGTTAAGACAATGAAGACAGCCCACAGGCTTATCTGCAAATCTCGTAACTGATAAAGGACTTAAATCTAGAACAGATGAAGAATTCCCAAAACTTCACAAGAAAACACAACCCAATTAAAAAATGGAAAAAGATCTGAACACTCCGGCGAAGACGACATATTGGTGTAAATGAACATATACAAAGACCTCCAGTCCTGAAGGAAATGCAAATGAAACCACCCCAAGCTCCTCCTTCACAACCATCAGAATGTCTAGCCCTGAAAAGAAAACCAGGCCGCACTTCCCAGACAGGGGGAACACGCTCCCTTGCACTTCCACGCATGGTGCTAACCCTTTGGAGACAACCTGATCAGTTCTTTTTTTTTTTTTGAGACGGAGTCTCGCTCTGTCGCCCAGGCTGGAGTGCAGTGACGCGATCTCGGCTCACTGCAAGCTCCGCCTCCCGGGTTCACGCCATTCTCCTGCCTCAGCCTCCTGAGTAGCTGGGACTACAGGCGCCCGCCACCACACCCGGCTAATTTTTTGTATTTTTAGAAGAGACGGGGTTTCACTGTGTTAGCCAGGATGGTCTTGATCTCCTGACCTTGTGATCTGCCCACCTCAGCCTCCCAAAGTGCTGGGATTACAGGCGTGAGGCTCTGCGCCTGGCTGACAACCTGATCATTTCTTAAAGACAGGCAGTTCGTGGCCGCCCACTTGGGCTCAGGAGTTCCAGACCAGCCTGGGCAACACAGCAAGATCCTGTCTCTATGAAGAAATGTAAAAATTATCTGGGTGTGGTGGTGCCCGCCTGCAGTCCCAGCTACTTGGGAGGCTGAGATGGGAGGGTTGCTTGAGCCCAGGAGGTTGACACTGCAGTGAGCTATGATGGAACTATTGCACTCCACTCTGGGTGACAGAGTAAGACCGTCTCAAAAACAACAAAAAAAGACATACACACTTGCCTTTCACATAACCCAGCAATTTCACTCCTCAGCAATTGACCCAAAAGGAAATCAACGTCCACACAAGGACTTGTACACGAGTGTTCACGAGCGCATCTGAAACAGCCTCAAACGTGCAATGTCCTCTAACAGATGAATGGCTACACACCCTCAGCGTGCTGAAGGACTACCGACTGCCACACAATACAAACGAACAAACCATTGATGCGTGACTCAACACACACCCTCAGCGTGCTGAAGGACTACCGACTGCCACGCCACAACACAAATGAGCAAACCATTGATGCGTGACTCAACATAATTACACTGTGAAAAAAGCCGAAGGGAAAAACATATACTATGTGATCCTACTCCTACGGAATTCTACAGAATACAACTAATTTATCGTGAAAAAAGTAGCTCACTGGTGGCCTGGGGCAGGAGGGGGGGTGGTGACCAAGGGCCTGTGGACCCCGTGGGAGCCACAGATCTGTGGGTCTTCTTGGTTGTCACTATGGCTTCACAGGTGTGTGCAGACATCAAAGTTCAGAAATCAAAGGGCACATTTTAAATATGAGCAGTTTTCATACGGCAATCACACCTCAATAAGGCTGTTAAAAATCACCCAATGGTAAATTTAAAAGACTGAGAAAAGAACTTTCACGGGAGGAATGTGACTCCTCCTCCTTGAGCTACGTGTTCATTTCTTGAAACCACTTGCTGTTGCCACAAGTAGCTCTAAACTAACCCAATAATGCCGCACCCAATAGTTTAACGATGTACAGCCAATCACGAATGAACGTTACTATTGTAAGCCAATGAGAATTCCCAACAGACAACTTTGTATCTATCCAATCACTGTCCCTTTTTGCCTTTAAAAATCCATCTGTAGCTGAGGCTGGCTCACTCCTGTAATCCCGCACTTTGGCGGGCCAAGGTGGACAGATCACTTGAGGTCAGGAGTTCGAGATCAGCCTGGCCAACGTGGCGAAACCCCGTTTCTACAAAAAATACAAAAATTAGCTGGGCGTGGTGGCGCATGCCTGTAGTCCCAACTACTCAGGAGGGTGAGGCAGGAGAATTGCTTCAAACTACAGGGTAGAGGTTGTGGTGAGCTGAGATTATGCAACTGCACTCCAGCCTGGGTGACAGAGTGAGCCTGTCTCCAAAAAAAGAAAAAGTCCATGTGTAACTGCTGCTCACCAGAGTGTATATTCAAGGCAATGGGATATGTCCACCCTGGCTGCAATCCTCAAGCTTGACCCAAATAAATTATGTAGATTACTTTTGCCTCTGCTTCTTCCTTTAAGGTTGGCAAAACTCATCTTAAAACATCCCACTCTGGATTTTGTGTGTGTGTATACTGGGGACAGGGTCTGGCTCTGCTGCCCAGGCTGGAATACAGTGGTGCAATCATAGCTCACTGCACATCGAACTCCTGGGTTCAAGTGATCCTCCGGCCTCAGCCTCCCGAGGAGCTGGGACTACAGGTGCACACTCCCATGCCCAGCTAATTTTTTTATTTTTTGTAGAGATGGGGTCTCACTATGCTGACCAGGCTGGTCTTGAACTCTGCTCAAGCAGTCCTCCTGTATTTGCCTCCCAAAGTGCTGCGATTACAGGCATGAACCACCATGCTTGACCCACTCCCTAGTCTTAGACTGCTTTCTTCTGAATGTGTTCCAATACAAGATTCCTGGCTAGCACTGAGTCCCGGAGGGGTCCCCATGGTGAGGAATGGCTCCTTGGGGGAAAGCACCTGATCCCCAGAGAGCAGCTGTCAGTGGACGATGACCTCTGGACAGAGCAGCCTCTCAGAAGCCCCTCCCCGGGCAAGTGGGCCCAGGCCGCAGGTGCCAGGAGCCTTGGGGGCTCCGGCTGCCACATTCCCGGGACATGCACATTCCCTGGACTGTTGGCTCTGCCCCAAAAGTACTTCCAGAGTTCGACCAGGCTGGGCCAGGTCTCTCACCCTGGGTTCCTGCAACAGCCTCCCTACCTCCTGCCTCTGTTCTCAGGCCCTCCCGTGGCTCCTACTAACCCCCAAGTGAAAATACACAGTACAGAATACAAATCAAAAACAAGATTCTAAGCCCCACAACCAACCAAATGGATCCCTTCTCTTGGCCAAGGAGATTTCAAAGAAACCTGAAAAGCTAGTTCAGACCATGATGGGAAGTGGGGGCGGGGTCAGACACGCCTCATTATACCCGCTTATACCCCCTCCCTTTGGAGTTCAGGCACAGCTCATCAGCATTAACATCAAAACACAGATCTGATGATTGACCAGACTTTGTAGCAACAGATACCAAATTCCAACCTGACTCTAGTACAACATCAATGACAGGTAGCAGGCCCTGAAAGAAATAAAAATATTTTACCCCAAAATATCTTTGACATATTTTGAAATGGCCCCGCAAAGCTGTCTTTTGTAGGGGAAACTTACATTCTTTTTTTTTTTGTTTGAGACGGAGTCTCGCTCTGTCACCCAGGCTGGAGTGCCGTGGTGCGATCTTGGCTCACTGCTACCTCCACTTCCCAGGTTCAAATGATTATCCTGCCTCAGCCTCCCATGGAGCTGGGACTACAGGTGCGCACCACCACGCCCAGCTAATTTTTGCATTTGTAGTAGAGACAGGGTTTCACCATGTTGGCCAGGATGGTCTCCATCTCCTGACCTCGTGATCCGCCTGCCTCAGCCTCCTAAAGTGCTGGGATTACAGGCGTGAGCCACCCTGCCCGGTGGTAAACTTACATTCTGTAGATAATCCCCTTCCCTTTCCAGGTCTTTTTCTGATCCTGAAGAGATCTGCTGAGACTCTAGCACATTTTAAAGGTCTGAATAGGGGCCGGGCACAGTGGACTCACCATCTTTTGCCAGGCTGGCCAGGCCCCCCTTGGCCTTTGGCCGGCTGTTTTCTAGTTCAATCTCAATTGCATCCTGGTAACTGGATATTTCACCTGAAGTCATAAGTTAAAAGCAAAAAGTCAGCATAAAATCAATTTTCCCAACAAAACAGAAGCATTACATGGGAAGATTGGTTGGTTACCTTCAACCTCCTCCAGTTTTTTTGACAGGACTTGTTCAAGCTGAAAGGGAACAGGGCAAGAGGCTTCGTGAAGGGAGGCCCTGGTGCACAGCGCAGCCTCTGGGGTGCCGCGTGGGCCCCAGGGACCACAGGCTGCTAGAACTTAGGGGTACGCAGCGATGGAGGTGGAGCTATGGGCCTGTGTCCCCCATGGGAAGAGGTGGCACTTCCCAGAGTCTGTGTGAGGGGCATCCCGGAGCCTCGGGCTCTGGCTGGTCATAGCACTGAAGAGCGGCTATGAGGCTTTGGGATGGCACCAGCTCTGCTACAACCCCAGTCGGGGTGTGTGGCTTCCCCCCAAGGCTGGCAAGCCCAGCACAGACAGACACCAAAGCCGGCGCTACCTGCTTCATCCGCAGCTTCCTCTGCCCAGCTGTGTACGAGGGGGGGTCGCACTCCTCCTCCAGGTCGATCTTCATGAACTCATCAATGGTCAACTGACTGGTGGGGGTGTCTTCAAATTCCGTGAGCCTAAAATGGAGCCAGACATGGGAAATGGAGCTGGTGGCTCTGAAACCAGCTGTTTAAAACTGAGCTTTCGCCTGGGCGTGGCTCATGCCTGTGATCCCAGTGCTTTGGGAGCCCAAGGTGGGTGGATTGCTTGAGTCCAAGACTTTGAGACCAGCCTAGGCAACACAGTGAGACTCTGTCTCTACCCAAAAAAAAAAAAAAAAATTAGCCACGCATGGTGGTACACACCTGTAGTTTCTGCTACTTGGGAGGCTGAGGTCAGGGAGAATCGCTTGAGCCCAGGAGGTTGAGGCTGTAACGAGCTGTGATAGCGCCACTGGCCTCCAGCCTGGGCAGCAGAGTGAGATTTTGTCTCAAAAAATACATAAAAAATAAAAGGCCAGGTGCTGTGGCTCATGCCTGTAATCCCAGCATGTGGGAGGCCGAAGTGGTAGGATCACCTGAGGTCAGGAGTTTGAGACCAGCCAGGCCAACACGGTGAAACCCCATCTCTATTAAAAATAACAAAAATTAGCTGGGCATGGTGGTGGGAGCCTGTAATCTCGGCTACTCGGGAGGCTGAGGCCGGAGAATCGCTTGAATCCAGGAGGCGGAGCTTGCAGTGAGCCAAGATCGTGCCACTGTACTCCAGCCTGGGCGGCAAGAGCGAAAATCTGTGTCAAAAAAATGAATAAATAACAATAAAAACAAATACCTGAACTGTGCTTGTCGGATGTTCCTCCACGGGGCCTGGCACTCAGGCCTTGCCCCTCGGCGCCCAGGTCCCTTCTGGCGGCTTCTCCACCCCTACCCGATCCTGCCCGGACCTCTGCTCACTAGGAGAAAGGCCCACAGGCACCCTCATCCCTCACAAGAGAACCCCAATCCTAGGCGGAAGACTCAGAAGGCCTGAAGAGAGGAGGCTGGGCTAGAACCTCAGCACCTGGCAGTCGGGCAGGAAGGGGCCCTGCAGGCCTGTGAGCCATGGGGCTCAGTTCTTACGAACGCCTCTACACGCTACACAACCTTCAAACACGTTTCATCAAAGATTTTTTTTACAGAATCAATGGTCAGATGTTTAAAGTGAAATACTTTACAGCTGGTTTTGGAAAATGCCACAGGACACAATCTCAGCTGAAAAACAGCAGTCCTGTGTTTAAGATTTGTGATAAATGTCACAGCAGTTACAGGTGGCAGCAACTCCACTGTCACATTTACCTTGTCAAAGTCTATGAAACAGGGCTGCGGTGCAGGCGAGCTGTGAGGAACCCCGACAAATACCACCCAGCAAAGCCGGGGTGCAAAGCCCCACCCCTGCCTGCCTGGCTTGCTACGCCACTCATTTCACTGATGCGGGGACCTCTTATGGCACTCCGGCTTCTCACTGGGACAGGGGTCACCTGGGCTCTCAAAGTCCAGGACGGGCCACAGCAAAAAGGAGACGGACCAGGCTTCTGACGTCAAAGACAGCCTCATGCCTGTTTGTGACTTAGGGCAACTTTACACATCACCCTCCGCCTCAACTTAGAAACACGGGGCGCGGTGGCTCATGCCTGTAATCCCAGCACTTTGGGAGGCCAAGACGGGCAGATCACGAGGTCAGGAGTTCAAGACCAGCATGACCAACATGGTGAGACCCCATCTCTACTAAAAAATTAGCCAGGCGTGGTGGCACACGCCTGTAATCCCAGCTACTCAGGAGGCTGAGGCAGGAGAATCTCTTGGACCCGGGAGGCAGAGGTTACAGTGAGCCGAGATCACGCTATTGCACTCCAGCCTAAGCGACAGAGCAAGGCTGTTCCTCAAAAAAAAAAAAAAAATACAGGGATCGGAGGAGGAGGATGCCTCCGCAGGATAGGGCCGGCCCCAGAAGGACTAGCAGGGAACTCTCTGGAGGGAGGCGAGGCAGCCCACCAGCACGTCCAAGCCATAGTGTGACCGGGGCTGGGCTAGGTCCTGGCCAGCAGCCAGGCGGGGGACGGCAGGGTCCCGGGAGGTGGCGCCTGCTCTGGCAAGCAGGCCTGAGCTGGACTGATGAAGCCTCTGTGTGGTCCCCATGCCATGAATGAGAGCCCCTCACCTCTTCCGCAGCGTGGACTCACACACTTTGACCACACTGATGACCTCCTTCACAGTCCTCCTGAAGTCATGCATTCTGGCTGCAACCAGGAGCGCTGGAAGGCAACGAGACGGGCCTCGTCAACCACGGCTGGGAACCAGGGCAACATCTGTGGCGGCCCAGGACAACACTGCGGATCCCGGTCACGGAGATGATGGCCTGAGAAGACGTGTCTGTGCCAGGCAGTGAGACCCTCACTTGGCATGGCTACTCCTGAACGACATGACCCTCTCTATCTTATTGTGGGTGGCGGCTGCACCCATTCCATTTTCAAATCAAGGAAAATTAAAATGAAGGCTTCCGAGAGCTTCACGTAATCCCTCAAAGCAAACAAACTAACTCTAAGATGACTGTGCGGGAAACACAGCTTGTGATGGGAGCTGGGGACTCTGAGGATGCGGAGCCAGGCTGGGCAGGAAAGGGGCGAGGCCACAGCTGGCAGCTGACACAGGTTCACCAAGGCCACAGTGGGCCCAGAACCTCCAGTGCAAACATGGAGATCATGTGTGCAGATGGAACGGCTTCTCAGGTGGACTGAATCCTGCAGCGCAGGGATGCCGGTACCTGGCCTGCCGGGTAGAGTGGACTCTGTGGGCACGAGGGTAAGGGCCCGGATGAGGAGTGAGGGCCCTGCCGACCTGGGGCTCCAATTCCGGAGCTGGGGTAGTTGACCAGGCCACGGCCACATCCACCCACCAGCACCAAGGGCAAAGTGAGAGTCTGAGTGACAGCTGCGACCTGGGGGGTCACAGAGGTCCAACTAGAACAGTCGCCCAGCTGGGGGCGGGGGACAGCCTGGCAGCCCCGTGGCACCCTCAGGAGCAACAACCTAGCATCTCAGGAGAGAGAGGCCACACCACTGTCCGCGTAGTCGCCCAGCTGGGGGCGGGGGACAGCCTGGCAGCCCTGTGGCACCCTCAGGAGCAACAACCTAGCATCTCAGGAGAGAGAGGCCACACCACTGTCCGCGTAGTCGCCCAGCTGGGGGCGGGGGACAGCCTGGCAGCCCCGTGGCACCCTCAGGAGCAACAACCTAGCATCTCAGGAGAGAGAGGCCACACCACTGTCCGCGTAGTCGCCCAGCTGGGGGCGGGGGACAGCCTGGCAGCCCCGTGGCACCCTCAGGAGCAACAACCTAGCATCTCAGGAGAGAGAGGCCACACCACTGTCCGCGTAGTCGCCCAGCTGGGGGCGGGGGACAGCCTGGCAGCCCCGTGGCACCCTCAGGAGCAACAACCTAGCATCTCAGGAGAGAGAGGCCACACCACTGTCCGCGTAGTCGCCCAGCTGGGGGCGGGGGACAGCCTGGCAGCCCTGTGGCACCCTCAGGAGCAACAACCTAGCATCTCAGGAGAGAGAGGCCACACCACTGTCCGCGTAGTCGCCCAGCTGGGGGCGGGGGACAGCCTGGCAGCCCTGTGGCACCCTCAGGAGCAACAACCTAGCATCTCAGGAGAGAGAGGCCACACCACTGTCCGCGTAGTCGCCCAGCTGGGGGCGGGGGACAGCCTGGCAGCCCCGTGGCACCCTCAGGAGCAACAACCTAGCATCTCAGGAGAGAGAGGCCACACCACTGTCCGCGTAGTCGCCCAGCTGGGGGCGGGGGACAGCCTGGCAGCCCCGTGGCACCCTCAGGAGCAACAACCTAGCATCTCAGGAGAGAGAGGCCACACCACTGTCCGCGTAGTCGCCCAGCTGGGGGCGGGGGACAGCCTGGCAGCCCCGTGGCACCCTCAGGAGCAACAACCTAGCATCTCAGGAGAGAGAGGCCACACCACTGTCCGCGTAGTCGCCCAGCTGGGGGCGGGGGACAGCCTGGCAGCCCCGTGGCACCCTCAGGAGCAACAACCTAGCATCTCAGGAGAGAGAGGCCACACCACTGTCCGCGTAGTCGCCCAGCTGGGGGCGGGGGACAGCCTGGCAGCCCCGTGGCACCCTCAGGAGCAACAACCTAGCATCTCAGGAGAGAGAGGCCACACCACTGTCCGTGTAGTCGCCCAGCTGGGGGCGGGGGACAGCCTGGCAGCCCCGTGGCACCCTCAGGAGCAACAACCTAGCATCTCAGGAGAGAGAGGCCACACCACTGTCCGCGTAGTCGCCCAGCTGGGGGCGGGGGACAGCCTGGCAGCCCCGTGGCACCCTCAGGAGCAACAACCTAGCATCTCAGGAGAGAGAGGCCACACCACTGTCCGCGTAGTCGCCCAGCTGGGGGCGGGGGACAGCCTGGCAGCCCCGTGGCACCCTCAGGAGCAACAACCTAGCATCTCAGGAGAGAGAGGCCACACCACTGTCCGCGTAGTCGCCCAGCTGGGGGCGGGGGACAGCCTGGCAGCCCCGTGGCACCCTCAGGAGCAACAACCTAGCATCTCAGGAGAGAGAGGCCACACCACTGTCCGCGTAGTCGCCCAGCTGGGGGCGGGGGACAGCCTGGCAGCCCCGTGGCACCCTCAGGAGCAACAACCTAGCATCTCAGGAGAGAGAGGCCACACCACTGTCCGCGTAGTCGCCCAGCTGGGGGCGGGGGACAGCCTGGCAGCCCCGTGGCACCCTCAGGAGCAACAACCTAGCATCTCAGGAGAGAGAGGCCACACCACTGTCCGCGTAGTCGCCCAGCTGGGGGCGGGGGACAGCCTGGCAGCCCCGTGGCACCCTCAGGAGCAACAACCTAGCATCTCAGGAGAGAGAGGCCACACCACTGTCCGCGTAGTCGCCCAGCTGGGGGCGGGGGACAGCCTGGCAGCCCTGTGGCACCCTCAGGAGCAACAACCTAGCATCTCAGGAGAGAGAGGCCACACCACTGTCCGCGTAGTCGCCCAGCTGGGGGCGGGGGACAGCCTGGCAGCCCCGTGGCACCCTCAGGAGCAACAACCTAGCATCTCAGGAGAGAGAGGCCACACCACTGTCCGCGTAGTCGCCCAGCTGGGGGCGGGGGACAGCCTGGCAGCCCCGTGGCACCCTCAGGAGCAACAACCTAGCATCTCAGGAGAGAGAGGCCACACCACTGTCCGCGTAGTCGCCCAGCTGGGGGCGGGGGACAGCCTGGCAGCCCCGTGGCACCCTCAGGAGCAACAACCTAGCATCTCAGGAGAGAGAGGCCACACCACTGTCCGCGTAGTCGCCCAGCTGGGGGCGGGGGACAGCCTGACAGCCCTGTGGCACCCTCAGGAGCAACAACCTAGCATCTCAGGAGAGAGAGGCCACACCACTATCCGCGTAGTCGCCCAGCTGGGGGCGGGGGACAGCCTGGCAGCCCTGTGGCACCCTCAGGAGCAACAACCTAGCATCTCAGGAGAGAGAGGCCACACCACTGTCCGCGTAGTCGCCCAGCTGGGGGCGGGGGACAGCCTGGCAGCCCTGTGGCACCCTCAGGAGCAACAACCTAGCATCTCAGGAGAGAGAGGCCACACCACTGTCCGCGTAGTCGCCCAGCTGGGGGCGGGGGACAGCCTGGCAGCCCTGTGGCACCCTCAGGAGCAACAACCTAGCATCTCAGGAGAGAGAGGCCACACCACTGTCCGCGTAGTCGCCCAGCTGGGGGCGGGGGACAGCCTGACAGCCCCGTGGCACCCTCAGGAGCAACAACCTAGCATCTCAGGAGAGAGAGGCCACACCACTGTCCGCGTAGTCGCCCAGCTGGGGGCGGGGGACAGCCTGGCAGCCCTGTGGCACCCTCAGGAGCAACAACCTAGCATCTCAGGAGAGAGAGGCCACACCACTGTCCGCGTAGTCGCCCAGCTGGGGGCGGGGGACAGCCTGGCAGCCCTGTGGCACCCTCAGGAGCAACAACCTAGCATCTCAGGAGAGAGAGGCCACACCACTGTCCGCGTAGTCGCCCAGCTGGGGGCGGGGGACAGCCTGACAGCCCTGTGGCACCCTCAGGAGCAACAACCTAGCATCTCAGGAGAGAGAGGCCACACCACTGTCCGCGTAGTCGCCCAGCTGGGGGCGGGGGACAGCCTGGCAGCCCTGTGGCACCCTCAGGAGCAACAACCTAGCATCTCAGGAGAGAGAGGCCACACCACTGTCCGCGTAGTCGCCCAGCTGGGGGCGGGGGACAGCCTGACAGCCCTGTGGCACCCTCAGGAGCAACAACCTAGCATCTCAGGAGAGAGAGGCCACACCACTGTCCGCGTAGTCGCCCAGCTGGGGGCGGGGGACAGCCTGACAGCCCTGTGGCACCCTCAGGAGCAACAACCTAGCATCTCAGGAGAGAGAGGCCACACCACTGTCCGCGTAGTCGCCCAGCTGGGGGCGGGGGACAGCCTGGCAGCCCTGTGGCACCCTCAGGAGCAACAACCTAGCATCTCAGGAGAGAGAGGCCACACCACTGTCCGCGTAGTCGCCCAGCTGGGGGCGGGGGACAGCCTGGCAGCCCCGTGGCACCCTCAGGAGCAACAACCTAGCATCTCAGGAGAGAGAGGCCACACCACTGTCCGCGTAGTCGCCCAGCTGGGGGCGGGGGACAGCCTGGCAGCCCCGTGGCACCCTCAGGAGCAACAACCTAGCATCTCAGGAGAGAGAGGCCACACCACTGTCCGCGTAGTCGCCCAGCTGGGGGCGGGGGACAGCCTGGCAGCCCCGTGGCACCCTCAGGAGCAACAACCTAGCATCTCAGGAGAGAGAGGCCACACCACTGTCCGCGTAGTCGCCCAGCTGGGGGCGGGGGACAGCCTGGCAGCCCTGTGGCACCCTCAGGAGCAACAACCTAGCATCTCAGGAGAGAGAGGCCACACCACTGTCCGCGTAGTCGCCCAGCTGGGGGCGGGGGACAGCCTGGCAGCCCTGTGGCACCCTCAGGAGCAACAACCTAGCATCTCAGGAGAGAGAGGCCACACCACTGTCCGCGTAGTCGCCCAGCTGGGGGCGGGGGACAGCCTGGCAGCCCCGTGGCACCCTCAGGAGCAACAACCTAGCATCTCAGGAGAGAGAGGCCACACCACTGTCCGCGTAGTCGCCCAGCTGGGGGCGGGGGACAGCCTGGCAGCCCCGTGGCACCCTCAGGAGCAACAACCTAGCATCTCAGGAGAGAGAGGCCACACCACTGTCCGCGTAGTCGCCCAGCTGGGGGCGGGGGACAGCCTGGCAGCCCCGTGGCACCCTCAGGAGCAACAACCTAGCATCTCAGGAGAGAGAGGCCACACCACTGTCCGCGTAGTCGCCCAGCTGGGGGCGGGGGACAGCCTGGCAGCCCTGTGGCACCCTCAGGAGCAACAACCTAGCATCTCAGGAGAGAGAGGCCACACCACTGTCCGCGTAGTCGCCCAGCTGGGGGCGGGGGACAGCCTGGCAGCCCCGTGGCACCCTCAGGAGCAACAACCTAGCATCTCAGGAGAGAGAGGCCACACCACTGTCCGCGTAGTCGCCCAGCTGGGGGCGGGGGACAGCCTGGCAGCCCTGTGGCACCCTCAGGAGCAACAACCTAGCATCTCAGGAGAGAGAGGCCACACCACTGTCCGCGTAGTCGCCCAGCTGGGGGCGGGGGACAGCCTGACAGCCCTGTGGCACCCTCAGGAGCAACAACCTAGCATCTCAGGAGAGAGAGGCCACACCACTGTCCGCGTAGTCGCCCAGCTGGGGGCGGGGGACAGCCTGGCAGCCCCGTGGCACCCTCAGGAGCAACAACCTAGCATCTCAGGAGAGAGAGGCCACACCACTGTCCGCGTAGTCGCCCAGCTGGGGGCGGGGGACAGCCTGGCAGCCCCGTGGCACCCTCAGGAGCAACAACCTAGCATCTCAGGAGAGAGAGGCCACACCACTGTCCGCGTAGTCGCCCAGCTGGGGGCGGGGGACAGCCTGACAGCCCTGTGGCACCCTCAGGAGCAACAACCTAGCATCTCAGGAGAGAGAGGCCACACCACTGTCCGCGTAGTCGCCCAGCTGGGGGCGGGGGACAGCCTGGCAGCCCTGTGGCACCCTCAGGAGCAACAACCTAGCATCTCAGGAGAGAGAGGCCACACCACTGTCCGCGTAGTCGCCCAGCTGGGGGCGGGGGACAGCCTGACAGCCCTGTGGCACCCTCAGGAGCAACAACCTAGCATCTCAGGAGAGAGAGGCCACACCACTATCCGCGTAGTCGCCCAGCTGGGGGCGGGGGACAGCCTGGCAGCCCTGTGGCACCCTCAGGAGCAACAACCTAGCATCTCAGGAGAGAGAGGCCACACCACTGTCCGCGTAGTCGCCCAGCTGGGGGCGGGGGACAGCCTGGCAGCCCTGTGGCACCCTCAGGAGCAACAACCTAGCATCTCAGGAGAGAGAGGCCACACCACTGTCCGCGTAGTCGCCCAGCTGGGGGCGGGGGACAGCCTGGCAGCCCTGTGGCACCCTCAGGAGCAACAACCTAGCATCTCAGGAGAGAGAGGCCACACCACTGTCCGCGTAGTCGCCCAGCTGGGGGCGGGGGACAGCCTGGCAGCCCTGTGGCACCCTCAGGAGCAACAACCTAGCATCTCAGGAGAGAGAGGCCACACCACTGTCCGCGTAGTCGCCCAGCTGGGGGCGGGGGACAGCCTGACAGCCCTGTGGCACCCTCAGGAGCAACAACCTAGCATCTCAGGAGAGAGAGGCCACACCACTATCCGCGTAGTCGCCCAGCTGGGGGCGGGGGACAGCCTGGCAGCCCTGTGGCACCCTCAGGAGCAACAACCTAGCATCTCAGGAGAGAGAGGCCACACCACTGTCCGCGTAGTCGCCCAGCTGGGGGCGGGGGACAGCCTGGCAGCCCTGTGGCACCCTCAGGAGCAACAACCTAGCATCTCAGGAGAGAGAGGCCACACCACTGTCCGCGTAGTCGCCCAGCTGGGGGCGGGGGACAGCCTGACAGCCCTGTGGCACCCTCAGGAGCAACAACCTAGCATCTCAGGAGAGAGAGGCCACACCACTATCCGCGTAGTCGCCCAGCTGGGGGCGGGGGACAGCCTGGCAGCCCTGTGGCACCCTCAGGAGCAACAACCTAGCATCTCAGGAGAGAGAGGCCACACCACTGTCCGCGTAGTCGCCCAGCTGGGGGCGGGGGACAGCCTGGCAGCCCTGTGGCACCCTCAGGAGCAACAACCTAGCATCTCAGGAGAGAGAGGCCACACCACTGTCCGCGTAGTCGCCCAGCTGGGGGCGGGGGACAGCCTGGCAGCCCTGTGGCACCCTCAGGAGCAACAACCTAGCATCTCAGGAGAGAGAGGCCACACCACTGTCCGCGTAGTCGCCCAGCTGGGGGCGGGGGACAGCCTGACAGCCCTGTGGCACCCTCAGGAGCAACAACCTAGCATCTCAGGAGAGAGAGGCCACACCACTGTCCGCGTAGTCGCCCAGCTGGGGGCGGGGGACAGCCTGGCAGCCCCGTGGCACCCTCAGGAGCAACAACCTAGCATCTCAGGAGAGAGAGGCCACACCACTGTCCGCGTAGTCGCCCAGCTGGGGGCGGGGGACAGCCTGGCAGCCCCGTGGCACCCTCAGGAGCAACAACCTAGCATCTCAGGAGAGAGAGGCCACACCACTGTCCGCGTAGTCGCCCAGCTGGGGGCGGGGGACAGCCTGACAGCCCTGTGGCACCCTCAGGAGCAACAACCTAGCATCTCAGGAGAGAGAGGCCACACCACTGTCCGCGTAGTCGCCCAGCTGGGGGCGGGGGACAGCCTGGCAGCCCTGTGGCACCCTCAGGAGCAACAACCTAGCATCTCAGGAGAGAGAGGCCACACCACTGTCCGCGTAGTCGCCCAGCTGGGGGCGGGGGACAGCCTGACAGCCCTGTGGCACCCTCAGGAGCCACAACCTAGCATCTCAGGAGAGAGAGGCCACACCACTGTCCGCGTAGTCGCCCAGCTGGGGGCGGGGGACAGCCTGACAGCCCTGTGGCACCCTCAGGAGCCACAACCTAGCATCTCAGGAGAAAAAGGCCACACCACTGTCCGCGTAGTCGCCCAGCTGGGGGCGGGGGACAGCCTGGCAGCCCTGTGGCACCCTCAGGAGCACAACCTAGCATCTCAGGAGAAAAAGGCCACACCACTGTCCGCGTAGTCGCCCAGCTGGGGGCGGGGGACAGCCTGGCAGCCCTGTGGCACCCTCAGGAGCGACAACCTAGCATCTCAGGAGAGAGAGGCCACACCACTGTCCGCGTAGTCGCCCAGCTGGGGGCGGGGGACAGCCTGGCAGCCCTGTGGCACCCTCAGGAGCAACAACCTAGCATCTCAGGAGAGAGAGGCCACACCACTGTCCGCGTAGTCGCCCAGCTGGGGGCGGGGGACAGCCTGGCAGCCCTGTGGCACCCTCAGGAGCAACAACCTAGCATCTCAGGAGAGAGAGGCCACACCACTGTCCGCGTAGTCGCCCAGCTGGGGGCGGGGGACAGCCTGGCAGC
This sequence comes from Homo sapiens, assembly GCF_000001405.40. NCBI lineage: Eukaryota > Metazoa > Chordata > Mammalia > Primates > Hominidae > Homo > Homo sapiens. The sequence goes on from NC_000014.9 coordinate 105,237,209, forward strand.
CCTGTGGCACCCTCAGGAGCAACAACCTAGCATCTCAGGAGAGAGAGGCCACACCACTGTCCGCGTAGTCGCCCAGCTGGGGGCGGGGGACAGCCTGGCAGCCCCGTGGCACCCTCAGGAGCAACAACCTAGCATCTCAGGAGAGAGAGGCCACACCACTGTCCGCGTAGTCGCCCAGCTGGGGGCGGGGGACAGCCTGACAGCCCTGTGGCACCCTCAGGAGCAACAACCTAGCATCTCAGGAGAGAGAGGCCACACCACTGTCCGCGTAGTCGCCCAGCTGGGGGCGGGGGACAGCCTGACAGCCCTGTGGCACCCTCAGGAGCAACAACCTAGCATCTCAGGAGAGAGAGGCCACACCACTGTCCGCGTAGTCGCCCAGCTGGGGGCGGGGGACAGCCTGGCAGCCCTGTGGCACCCTCAGGAGCAACAACCTAGCATCTCAGGAGAGAGAGGCCACACCACTGTCCGCGTAGTCGCCCAGCTGGGGGCGGGGGACAGCCTGGCAGCCCTGTGGCACCCTCAGGAGCAACAACCTAGCATCTCAGGAGAGAGAGGCCACACCACTGTCCGCGTAGTCGCCCAGCTGGGGGCGGGGGACAGCCTGACAGCCCTGTGGCACCCTCAGGAGCAACAACCTAGCATCTCAGGAGAGAGAGGCCACACCACTATCCGCGTAGTCGCCCAGCTGGGGGCGGGGGACAGCCTGGCAGCCCTGTGGCACCCTCAGGAGCAACAACCTAGCATCTCAGGAGAGAGAGGCCACACCACTGTCCGCGTAGTCGCCCAGCTGGGGGCGGGGGACAGCCTGGCAGCCCTGTGGCACCCTCAGGAGCAACAACCTAGCATCTCAGGAGAGAGAGGCCACACCACTGTCCGCGTAGTCGCCCAGCTGGGGGCGGGGGACAGCCTGGCAGCCCCGTGGCACCCTCAGGAGCAACAACCTAGCATCTCAGGAGAGAGAGGCCACACCACTGTCCGCGTAGTCGCCCAGCTGGGGGCGGGGGACAGCCTGGCAGCCCTGTGGCACCCTCAGGAGCAACAACCTAGCATCTCAGGAGAGAGAGGCCACACCACTGTCCGCGTAGTCGCCCAGCTGGGGGCGGGGGACAGCCTGGCAGCCCTGTGGCACCCTCAGGAGCAACAACCTAGCATCTCAGGAGAGAGAGGCCACACCACTATCCGCGTAGTCGCCCAGCTGGGGGCGGGGGACAGCCTGGCAGCCCTGTGGCACCCTCAGGAGCAACAACCTAGCATCTCAGGAGAGAGAGGCCACACCACTATCCGCGTAGTCGCCCAGCTGGGGGCGGGGGACAGCCTGGCAGCCCTGTGGCACCCTCAGGAGCAACAACCTAGCATCTCAGGAGAGAGAGGCCACACCACTGTCCGCGTAGTCGCCCAGCTGGGGGCGGGGGACAGCCTGGCAGCCCTGTGGCACCCTCAGGAGCAACAACCTAGCATCTCAGGAGAGAGAGGCCACACCACTGTCCGCGTAGTCGCCCAGCTGGGGGCGGGGGACAGCCTGGCAGCCCTGTGGCACCCTCAGGAGCAACAACCTAGCATCTCAGGAGAGAGAGGCCACACCACTGTCCGCGTAGTCGCCCAGCTGGGGGCGGGGGACAGCCTGGCAGCCCTGTGGCACCCTCAGGAGCAACAACCTAGCATCTCAGGAGAGAGAGGCCACACCACTATCCGCGTAGTCGCCCAGCTGGGGGCGGGGGACAGCCTGGCAGCCCTGTGGCACCCTCAGGAGCAACAACCTAGCATCTCAGGAGAGAGAGGCCACACCACTGTCCGCGTAGTCGCCCAGCTGGGGGCGGGGGACAGCCTGGCAGCCCCGTGGCACCCTCAGGAGCAACAACCTAGCATCTCAGGAGAGAGAGGCCACACCACTGTCCGCGTAGTCGCCCAGCTGGGGGCGGGGGACAGCCTGGCAGCCCTGTGGCACCCTCAGGAGCAACAACCTAGCATCTCAGGAGAGAGAGGCCACACCACTGTCCGCGTAGTCGCCCAGCTGGGGGCGGGGGACAGCCTGGCAGCCCTGTGGCACCCTCAGGAGCAACAACCTAGCATCTCAGGAGAGAGAGGCCACACCACTGTCCGCGTAGTCGCCCAGCTGGGGGCGGGGGACAGCCTGGCAGCCCCGTGGCACCCTCAGGAGCAACAACCTAGCATCTCAGGAGAGAGAGGCCACACCACTGTCCGCGTAGTCGCCCAGCTGGGGGCGGGGGACAGCCTGACAGCCCTGTGGCACCCTCAGGAGCAACAACCTAGCATCTCAGGAGAGAGAGGCCACACCACTGTCCGCGTAGTCGCCCAGCTGGGGGCGGGGGACAGCCTGACAGCCCTGTGGCACCCTCAGGAGCAACAACCTAGCATCTCAGGAGAGAGAGGCCACACCACTGTCCGCGTAGTCGCCCAGCTGGGGGCGGGGGACAGCCTGGCAGCCCTGTGGCACCCTCAGGAGCAACAACCTAGCATCTCAGGAGAGAGAGGCCACACCACTGTCCGCGTAGTCGCCCAGCTGGGGGCGGGGGACAGCCTGGCAGCCCTGTGGCACCCTCAGGAGCAACAACCTAGCATCTCAGGAGAGAGAGGCCACACCACTGTCCGCGTAGTCGCCCAGCTGGGGGCGGGGGACAGCCTGGCAGCCCTGTGGCACCCTCAGGAGCAACAACCTAGCATCTCAGGAGAGAGAGGCCACACCACTGTCCGCGTAGTCGCCCAGCTGGGGGCGGGGGACAGCCTGGCAGCCCTGTGGCACCCTCAGGAGCAACAACCTAGCATCTCAGGAGAGAGAGGCCACACCACTGTCCGCGTAGTCGCCCAGCTGGGGGCGGGGGACAGCCTGGCAGCCCTGTGGCACCCTCAGGAGCAACAACCTAGCATCTCAGGAGAGAGAGGCCACACCACTGTCCGCGTAGTCGCCCAGCTGGGGGCGGGGGACAGCCTGGCAGCCCTGTGGCACCCTCAGGAGCAACAACCTAGCATCTCAGGAGAGAGAGGCCACACCACTGTCCGCGTAGTCGCCCAGCTGGGGGCGGGGGACAGCCTGGCAGCCCTGTGGCACCCTCAGGAGCAACAACCTAGCATCTCAGGAGAGAGAGGCCACACCACTGTCCGCGTAGTCGCCCAGCTGGGGGCGGGGGACAGCCTGACAGCCCTGTGGCACCCTCAGGAGCAACAACCTAGCATCTCAGGAGAGAGAGGCCACACCACTGTCCGCGTAGTCGCCCAGCTGGGGGCGGGGGACAGCCTGGCAGCCCTGTGGCACCCTCAGGAGCAACAACCTAGCATCTCAGGAGAGAGAGGCCACACCACTATCCGCGTAGTCGCCCAGCTGGGGGCGGGGGACAGCCTGGCAGCCCTGTGGCACCCTCAGGAGCAACAACCTAGCATCTCAGGAGAGAGAGGCCACACCACTGTCCGCGTAGTCGCCCAGCTGGGGGCGGGGGACAGCCTGACAGCCCTGTGGCACCCTCAGGAGCAACAACCTAGCATCTCAGGAGAGAGAGGCCACACCACTATCCGCGTAGTCGCCCAGCTGGGGGCGGGGGACAGCCTGGCAGCCCTGTGGCACCCTCAGGAGCAACAACCTAGCATCTCAGGAGAGAGAGGCCACACCACTATCCGCGTAGTCGCCCAGCTGGGGGCGGGGGACAGCCTGGCAGCCCTGTGGCACCCTCAGGAGCAACAACCTAGCATCTCAGGAGAGAGAGGCCACACCACTGTCCGCGTCAGAAGCCGGGCCCCACGAGACCACGGGCAGGGATGCCCATGCAGCCGCACCCCAGAAGTAGGCAACCTGGGGTCAAGGCCGCTCTGCCCTGAGAGTTCTGCCCCTTATGCCAGGACACGCAGAGGCCAACGGGGCAGCCAGGAGGTCCTGGAGGGCTGAGGACCCCGGTGGGCCAGGCCAGAGTCAGCCCCGGGAGGCTGGAGGCAGCTCTCAGTGCTCTGCAAACATACGGCCCAGCCCACCAGCACTCAGGAGTCAGGAAAGTGTGAGGCCAGGACCCAGACCAGCATCCCCCAGGCAGGCAGGGCCCGCTGTACCTGCTCCGCAGAGGCCCGAGGGGCGCCGGCCTGTGTGCATCCAGTCCCGCTTCATCCTCTGTAGGAGCCTCAGGGCAGTCATGGACACCTCGTGGTTCTTCTCCCCGAATTCCAGCAGGTGCGCAAAGCGTGGAATATACAGGCACGGGTCTGCGGCAGACACAGCACCTCAGTGCCCACCTCCATGTGCCATGGCACGTGCACAGGCGGCCCACGCAGCCCAGGGGTGGGGCAACCTGCACTTGTCTTTCCAGGCCCCCAGGCCCCCCACCAGTTCCCCTCCCCTGGACAAAGCCTCTCTGACCCTCAGCTAGGGCAGCCATCGCACCGAACCCAGGAGAGCCACTGGCCACCTGCTGCCAGCCAGCCTGCTGCAGACACGCTAGGGCCAGGCAGCGTGCTCCTACTGCATGGCCGCCCTGCTCAGGACACAGAGGGGCGCACACCCAGCAGCCTTCCCTCCAGACCATGCAGACAGCACCACACGCAACAACGGTCCGGGGACTCTTAGAGCAAGACAGGCGTGGGCTGGGTACACAAGTCGCCAGCCGGCCGGCATCAGCTGACACTCATGGGTGAGAGGAGGGCCCACTTCTGGCATCTCTACCAGCATGGCGGTGCCACGGGGGCTGTGTGTGCACACTGAGGCCTGGCGCTGTGCACCTCTGCCAGCACGGCACAGTGCCACGGGGGAGTGCCTGGAGCAGGACAGGCTGGGCGCTGCACAGCCTGGGCCCTGAGCGACTGCATGGACCTAAGCAGCGCTCCCCTATGCCGAGCATGAGGCCGGGATGTGACTCCACAGGGCCCTGCTGTGCCCCACCAGGCTCAGGTGGCTATGACTTGCATCCATTCATACTCACGACGCAGCCCCCCTTTCCAGCTGAGGGTGTCCATAACACGAAGGATAAATGCTTGAGGTGAAAGATGTCCCATTTACCCTGATGTGACTGTTACACACTGCATGAACGCATCAAGACACCTCACATGCCCCAAAATACACGCACCCGCTGTGCACCCACAACTAAAGATAAAAACCAATGATTTGTGGTGATTTGGCTGCTAAAATAGATATTATTTGGAGAAAAAAATTAGATAATTTAAAACAATTGCTAAGATTTTTAATGATTTTCAATAAGATACAATCATCGCAGCTAGAAATAAAGAGAACGATAAAAAATATGCTCATAGGCTGGGCGCGGTGGCTCACACCTCTAATCCCAGCACTTTGGGGGCCGAGGCGGGCGGATCACCTGAGGTCCGCAGTTCGAGACCGGCCTGACCAACATGGAGAAACCCCATCTTTACTAAAAATACAAAATTTGCAGGGCGTGGTGGTGCATGCCTCTAGTCCCAGCTACTCAAGAGGCTGAGGCTGGAGAATTGCTTGAACCAGGGAGGTGGAGGTTTTGGTGAGCTGAGATCGCAGCATTGCACTCCAGCCTGGGCAACAAGAGCGAAGTTCTGACTCAAAAAAAAAAAAAAAAAAAAAAAAAAAAAGATACGCTTATAGACTGGGCAATACAGAGACGAAGTCTATACAAAAGTTTTTGAAAAAAATTTGGCCGGGGCCAGGTGCTGCGGCTTACGCCTGTAATCCCAACACTTTGGGAGATTAGGGCGGGTGGATGACCTGAGCTCAGGAGATCGAGACCACCCTGGGCAACATGGTGAAACCCCGTCTCAACTAAAATACAAAAAATGAGCTGGGCGTGGTGGTGCACGCCTGTAATCCCACCTACTTGGGAGGCTGAGGCAGGAGAATCGCTTGAACCTAGGAGGCGGAGATTGCAGTGAGCCAAGATCATGCCACTGCACTCCAGCCTGGATGACAGAGTGAGACTCTGTCTCAAAAAACAAACAAACAAACAAACAAAAAAATTAGTGGGTGTGAGGCTGGGTGTGGTGGCTCACATCTGTAATCCCAGAATTTTGGGAGGCCAAGGCAGGTGGATTGCCTGAGCTTAGGAGTTCGAGACCACCCTGGACACCATAGTGAAACCCAGTCTTTACTAAAATACAAAAAAAAAAAAAAATTAGCCGGGTGTGGTGGCGGGCACCTATAGTCCCAGATACTTGAAAGGCTGAGACTACAGCATTGCTTGAAGCTGGGAGGTGGAGGTTATAGTGAGCCAAGATCATGCCACTGCACTCCAGCCTGGGCGACAGAGCAGCAAGACTCTGTCTCTTAAAAAAAAAAAAATAAAAATAAAAAATTAGTGGGTGTGGTCTAGTCCCAGCTACTGAGGAGGCTGAGGCAGTAGGATCACTTGAGCCCGGGAGGTTGAGGCTGCAGTGAGCTGTGATTGCACCACTGTACTCAGGCCTGGGCAACAGAAAAAAAAAAAGAGAGAGAAAGAAAAAGATGTACTAATGTGGGTGAGACTTTGATGCTCATTAATTATTGAAATAGAAAACTCATTTCAAAAACACTGGTAAATATATCAACGGCTGGGCACAGTGGCTCACACCTGTAATCCCAGCACTTTGGGAGGCCGAGGAGGGTGGATCACCTGACGTCAGGAATTCAAGACCAGCCTGGCCAATATAGTGAAACCCCATCTCTACTAAAGATACAAAAATTAGCTGGGGGTGGTGGTGTGCGCCTGTAGTCATCCCAGGTACTAAGGAGGCTGAAACAGGAGAATTTGCTTGAACCCGGGAGGTGGAGGTTGCAATGAACCAAGACTGCGCCACTGTACTCCAGCCTAGGCGACAGAGCGAGACTCCATCTCAAACAAACAAACAAAAAATTCAAGACAAGCCAGGCAGAGTGGCTCATACCTACATTCCTAGCTACTTGGAAGGCCGAGGTGGGAGGATTGCTTGAGCCCGGGAGTTCGAGGTCAGCCTGGGAAACACAGCAAGACCCCATCTCTTAAAACAAAAATCTGGGGCCGGATGCAGTGGCTCACACCTGTGAGTCCCAGAACTTTGGGAGGCCAAGGCAGGAGGATCGCTTGAGCCCAGGAGTTTGAAACCAGCCTAGGCAATATAGTGAGACCCCCATCTTTACAAAAAATGAAAAATTTAGCCTAGTGTAGTGATGCATACCTGTTGTCTCAGCTACTTGGGAGGCTGAGGTGGGAGGATTGCTTGAGTCCAGGAGGTCGGGGCTGCATTGAGCCATGACCTTGCCACTGCATTCTAGCCTAGGTGACTGACACCATGTCTCAAAACAAAAAACAAAAAAGACAAGCAAAAAGTGTTTTTTTCAAGACAAATCTGTCAGTGACTAGGGTGGAGGAGGAAGTGGTGGGCAGCGGCGGCACGGTGGGCAAACGCGGAGTGGCAGAGCGGCACGGGACAGGCATGGCATTTCATCATGGAAAGGAACCCATGTCAAGCAGCCTGGAATCTGCAGGCGCACAGCGACAGAGGAAGAATTAAATGAAGGAAAAACACTGGAAACAACCTTCAAAACCACAATAATAGGGGATTTTAACATGGTTCTCTGAAATTTGACAGACTGATTAGGAAAAAAAAGACTAAGGGACGACTTAAGACACATCACCATAGACTCAATCTGACAAGGATGTTCTAAATTCTGTACCCCATGGAGTCATCATGCTTCTCCAGTGTCTGTGGGACAGTTATGAAAATGACCAGGTATGATAGAACAAAGAAACCCTCAATATATTTCAGGTAACAGCACATAGGACATGCCATTTGACCCCAAGTGCAAAAAAAAAAAAACTAAAAATGAGCAAAAACAAGTAGTCCCCTCACCTCCAAACGCTGTTAGAAATTAAAGTTCAATCCTTCAGGTAACTTTATTAACTCAAGCGCTTTGTGTATTTAAGGCAGCAATGGGTCAGGCGTGGTGGCTCACACCTGTAATCCTAGCACTTTGGGAGGCCGAGGCAGGTGGATTGCCTGAGCTCAGAAGTTTGAAACCAGCCCGGGCAACACAGCGAAACCCCGTCTCTACTAAAAAATACAAAAAATTAGCCGGGCATGGTGGCAAGTGCCTGTAATCCCAGCTACTCAGGAGACTGAGACAGGAGAATCACTTGAACCTGGGAGGTGGAGGTTGCAGTGAGCTGAGATCGTGCCACTGCACTCCAGCCTGAGTGACAGAGCAAGACTCCATCTCAAAAAAAATAAATAAATAAATAAAGGAAGCAATGAAATTAATGAACTAAAATAACAGAAAACTAAAAATTAACAAAATTAATTATTTAAAGTAGGCAAAGGGACTAATAAGAAAAAGAAGCAAATAAATTACCACTGTCAAGAAAAGAATTAAAAAGTCCAACAGCCAGTATGGTGCTGACATAAAGACAGACCTACAGACCAACAGAACAGAACAGGACAGGACAGGACAGGACAGGACAGCACAGGGCCAGAAATGACAATGACAGACAGATGACCTTCAACAAGGGTGACAAGAACTTCTTGCACAATGGGGAAAGGATGGTCTCTTCAATATGCAGCGCTGGGAAAACTGGATATCCACTTGCAAATAAAGATAGACCCTTACCTTACATCATACACAAAAACTAACTCAAAACCGATGCAAGACCCAAACACAGACTTGAAACTGTAAAACCCTTAGAAGAAAACAAAGGGAAAGACTTCACGACATTGGTCTTGGCAATGATTTCTTGAACATGACACCAACAGCAAGGGCAACGAAAGTAAAAATAGACAAATGGGATGACCTCAAACTAAAAAGTTTCTGCACAGCAAAGGAATCTATTAACAGAAATGATATCCTATAGAATGGAAGAGACTATGTGCAAACCATCTATCTCATAAGGGGTTAACAGCCTGAATATACAAAAAACTCCAACTCAGGAACAAAATCGATTAAAAATGGGCAAACTGCACTTTTGTAATCCCAGCTCTTTGGGAGGCTGAGGCACAAGAATCGCTTGAACCTGGAAGGCGGATGTTGCAGTGCACCCTCACCACCGCACTCCAGCCTGGGCAACGGAGTAAGACTCTGTCTCAAAAAAAAAAGGCAAAGCCCTTGAACAGACGTTTCTCCAAACACGCCATGCAAATAGCCAACAAGCACATGAGTAGATGGTCAACATCATTATTTATCAGGGACATGCAAATCAAAACCACATGACACTACCTCATGTCCATTAGGATGACCATTATCACAAACAAAAAAGAATAGGCTGGGCGCGGTGGCTCACACCTGTAATCCCAGCACTTTGGGAGGCCTAGGCAGGTAGATCACTTGAGGCCAGGAGTTTAAGACCAGCCTGGTCAACGGAGTCTCGCTCTGTCATCCAGGCTGGAGTGCAGTAGCATGATCTCAGCTCACTGCAACCTCCGCCTCCCTGGTTCGAGCCATTCTCCTTCCTTGGCCTCCCGAATAGCTGGGATTACAGGTGCCCGTTAATTTTTGTATTTTTAGTAGAGATGGGGTTTCACCATGTTGGCCAGGCTGGTCTCAAACTCCTGACCTCAAGTGATCCGCCCACCTTGGCCTCCCAAAGTGCTGGGATTACAGGCGTGAGCCACCGCGCCCAACCTACACTGTAACATATTTAAAAATCAAAGTGCAAAGGGTGGTTTCTTTCTAAGGATGAAAATTATTATTCACATGCTCCACACCACCATGCAGATCAAGACGCTGACTACCTCTGGCGGCTCAGCAATTCTATCCTGGCACCCCCGGAGACAGCTGTCGCCCAGGTCTTGTGTGCTGCTGTAAGTTATTCCTTCTCACTGCATTCCCCAAATGGACCCACCACAACCTGCTGATCCTTTCTGTTGCTGATGGACATGTAGGCTGTCTCCACTCTGGCCATTTGTATTTCTCCTGGAAACTGCTTATGCCCGTTACCTTTTTCTATGGAAACAGACGGCTGGGACAGAAACCACGGCCACAGCAGCCAGCGTGTCTTTGCCAGTGGGGTCCCACACTATGAAATCGCAGCTGTGGCCTCGGTGGGTGTGTCCTTGGCGGGTGCATCCACACACTTTCTCTCGGAACTTTCCGGACTCTCATGCATATGCTACAGCTTTCCAAACGGCTTGGCCGTGCGGAGTTACGCACCCACCTGCAGCAGGTGATCTCCAGCTGCTCTGCATTCCACCAACACTACGTGACAAGTCTCAAGTTCAGCCGCCTGGGGGCTCGGGCACCCCATTCCTGGGAGAAATGATGATTTGTGCACTCTGGGCCATTGCATGGTGTCTGTTCACGTCCTTTGCCCGTTTTTTAAAAAACTGGGTTGTCAGCCTTTTCCTTCCTGACTTGTAGTTGCTCCTCCATCCTGGAGAGTCCTTTGTTGAAAATACCGCAAATATCTTCTGAAGAGGACTCTCCCAGGGAACATTCACTACAACTGTAACGACCACAGAGACACAGAGCTCCTGTTCACTGTTTAGCCCAGGACTGCGGTGACAGGTGCACCCATGACCCGAGATGCTGGCTGCGTCCTGTGGGGTTTCCTGCATATGGAAGTTTTAAAAGTCTAAAGCCTGGCGGTCCAGGAGGTTGCGTGTGTGTCCTCGGGGAGGAACCCTCCTGACAGCCAGGCCTCTGGAGCTTCGTCTGCACGCGAGCTTGGCATGCACCAGCTGTGCGGCCCAGGCCAGGTGACACGGCCTCTGAAGTCTGGTCTCCTCATCAGCAAAGCCAGTGCCCCATGCCACGCACCTCCCAGGATTAGCCCCAGGCCGGGAGGCTAGAGGCCCCACAAGGAGCGAGCCTGCGACTGCGATCCACAGGCAGAGCCACAGAGGCAGGGCGCGCCCTGGGGCCCAAGCTCCAGGGCTGCAGGCCCAGGGCCAGATCCTGACTTGCCCACCCGCCGGCTGTGTGACCTTCAGCGCGCGACTAACCTCTCTGTGCCTATTTCCTCGAGGAAAATGCCGGGAAATAGCAGCGCCTGCCCCTGTAAAGCCCTCAGAGCAGAGTGGACCGCGCTCTCTGCAAGCGCTGGCTGCTGGCGTCCGTAGCAAGCTAAATCGCGAAGCATCTGAACGAACGAGGAAGCCCAACGACCATCCCACAGGCCGCGGCCAGAGGCAGACTCCGGAATGCAAATGGCCAAACAAGCAGGTCCACCTGCGTTCCTAACCAAAAGATCGCTAACTGAAGAACGGGCGCAAGCACCTGCGCATGGCACTGCGGGTCTGGGGGCGGCCGCCTGCCAGCGCCGGGAGCCGCCTTCCACGGCTACCTCTGCACAGCGCGCGGCTCGCGCCGGTTGCTGGGCAGAAGCTCGAGCAGCTTCGAGGATGTCGGGCCTGGGGGCGGGGCCGCGAGGCAGCGACGTCGCGCGGGGCGCGGCCCTGACGCAGCGTGACGCACCGGCGCCGCGGCGGGTACGGGCTCGGGCGGGCGGGCGGGCGGGACGGCGCCCCCCGCGGCCGGGCCTGGCCGGGCTGCGCTAGGCTGGGCTCGGGCAGGGTCGCAGGGGCGGGGGTGGCAGGGGAGCGGGTGGCAGCCCCGCGGGTCACAGCGCCGCCGCCGCCCATGCTGCTGCCCCTAGCCTGCCTGCACGGCCGCGTCGCTCAGTGCCTGACCTCCTTGCTTTTGCTTGCAGAGCCGCTCCCGAGGCCCCGGCGCGGCGCGAGGGCGCGGGGCGCGGCGTCCACAGGCGCCGAGGCTGCCCCCGCCGCCCCGCCCGCGAAGATGGCGGCGGAACTCTACGCTCCCGCCAGCGCCGCGGCCGCGGACCTAGCCAACAGCAACGCCGGCGCCGCCGTGGGCAGGAAGGCCGGGCCGCGCAGCCCGCCCAGCGCCCCCGCGCCAGCGCCGCCGCCGCCCGCGCCCGCGCCGCCCACACTCGGCAACAACCACCAGGAGAGCCCCGGCTGGCGGTGCTGCCGCCCCACGCTGCGCGAGAGGTGAGCCCGTGCCCCGCGGCCCCCGCGCCCGCGCGCGCCCACGCCCCCAGCCCGTGCCTCTACCTTTGCAGGAACGCGCTCATGTTCAACAACGAGCTCATGGCCGACGTGCACTTCGTCGTGGGGCCCCCGGGGGCGACCAGGACGGTGCCCGCCCACAAGGTGGGTAGCGGCGGCCCCTCTCGGAACGCGTGCCCCGTCCGCCCCGTCCGCCGTGTGGCTGACACGCAGCCTGCGGGAGAGCCAGGCTCACGGCGGCGCTTTCTCCTCCCAGTACGTCTTGGCTGTCGGCAGCTCCGTCTTCTATGCCATGTTCTACGGAGACCTGGCGGAAGTCAAATCTGAAATTCACATTCCAGACGTGGAGCCCGCAGCCTTTCTGATCCTCTTAAAGTAAGTCCACTCTACTGGGGAGGGACGGGTGGGTCCGTTTTAGGCGGCCTCCGGAGGCTTCTGAAGGGAAGCACACAGGAGCTGATGGACTCCTCTCCCAGGCCCAGCCCCGCGATGGGTGCTTGGGAGCCAGCCCCTGACGCGGGCCCTGCCTCGCCTAGGTACATGTACAGTGATGAGATCGATCTGGAAGCCGACACGGTGCTGGCCACTCTGTACGCTGCTAAGAAGTACATCGTCCCAGCATTGGCAAAAGCCTGTGTCAACTTTCTGGAGACAAGTTTGGAAGCCAAGAACGCCTGCGTCCTGCTGTCCCAGAGCCGGCTGTTTGAGGAGCCCGAGCTGACGCAGCGCTGCTGGGAGGTCATTGACGCACAGGCCGAGATGGCCCTACGGTCCGAAGGCTTCTGTGAGATAGACCGGCAGACGCTGGAGATCATTGTCACTCGGGAGGCCCTCAACACCAAAGAGGCGGTGGTCTTCGAGGCCGTCCTGAACTGGGCCGAGGCGGAGTGCAAGAGGCAGGGGCTGCCAATCACCCCACGAAACAAGAGGCATGTTCTGGGGCGAGCCCTCTATCTGGTCCGAATTCCAACCATGACCCTAGAGGAGTTTGCCAACGGCGCTGCCCAGTCAGACATCCTGACTCTGGAGGAGACCCACAGCATCTTCCTGTGGTACACGGCCACCAACAAGCCCCGCCTGGACTTTCCCCTGACCAAGAGGAAGGGCCTCGCCCCGCAGAGGTGCCACCGATTCCAGTCTTCTGCCTACCGCAGCAACCAGTGGCGGTACCGCGGGCGCTGCGACAGCATCCAGTTTGCAGTGGACAGAAGGGTATTTATTGCAGGGCTGGGCCTGTATGGCTCCAGCTCTGGGAAGGCTGAGTACAGCGTGAAGATTGAGCTCAAGCGGCTCGGGGTGGTTCTGGCTCAGAACTTGACCAAGTTCATGTCAGACGGATCCAGTAACACCTTCCCGGTCTGGTTTGAACACCCGGTCCAGGTTGAACAAGACACCTTCTACACGGCCAGTGCCGTCCTGGACGGCAGCGAACTCAGCTACTTTGGGCAGGAGGGGATGACGGAAGTGCAGTGTGGAAAGGTGGCCTTCCAGTTCCAGTGCTCCTCGGACAGCACCAACGGGACTGGGGTCCAGGGTGGGCAGATCCCTGAGCTCATTTTCTATGCCTGAGGTGCCCGGGGAGGCTGCAGCAGGTCAGCGAGTGAGTGGAGGGGAAGTCAAGATGCTAACTGCTTCTTGACACCATGAAAGGCTGCTCTTAACTTTGTCTCTCTTTGACATGTAGTCAGCTGAAGCTTGACTGTGTAGAGACATTTTCCACACAGCCAGAACCCAGGGATTGGAGTCTTAGGCATCTCTGGTACAGTGGGGTGCACGTCTCAGGTGGAGGAAGATTTACGGCTCAAGACAGGCCCCAGATCCCCTCCCAGTGGCACCCATGCCACCTGCTTTGAGGGGTTGGATCTTCCTGCTACCCTCTTGGATTCTAAGTGGTTCCAAGCTTAACTTGAGACCTTCCCTTCAAATCTAAAATTGGCAAAAAGTCACTTAAAATAGTGGACTTCTGTAATAAAGGTTGCCTAAAATAACACCCACGTGTCAGTAAATGACTACAGCAGTTGTACAGTGGGGTATTCTCTTTCTCATGCAACAGAACAGCTCCCTCCCATCCCGAGGAGAAAACCTGTCATGCTGAACATGCTATGTGGTTAGGAGCAAACTGCGCCCCAGTGAAGCCCATCTGTCCCCTGGGTTGCTGGCTGGCTTCTGGGCCACCCTAGGAAACACCAGGTGCCTGGTTGTCTCTATGTCCTAATGCATCACTAGCACCTCAGAGTCCTACCCTATGAACAGACTGTCGGGGGAGCATTCTGCTGGGCCCAGCGTTCTGGACCCTGGGGACTGTCACTAGCTGTGACACTGCTGCGGGACAGCCTGTTGCAGGAGTGGACTATAGGGTGAAACAGGCTCTCCCACCCCTTGTCTCTCTCCTCCCACTCTGCATACCCTGTAGGCAGTTGTTTTCTGGAAAACCTGTATGACCCCCGAAAAGAGGGATGGCCCCTCTTGGCACCTGGGAGAGGGCATGGGCCGAGTGTATAGCCTCAGCCGGTGCCCCTCTGCTGCTGCAGCCCGTGTTGCTCAGTCCTGTTGGTGACCCAGCCCCACCTGGTGCTTCTCTACCCAAAGGACATACGCTCCTAGATGCAAACAGGCAAAGTAAGAAAGGGGCCTCTAAGCGGGCCATGGAAACCAGTCATCTGCTTGGTAAAGAAAGGGTAGGTCAGAACCATCGGGCAGTGAGTGCTGTTTTGATCCTTTCCTTCTAGACTTTTCCGCTAGGTTAGATTCTGCATGCATGAACACTGCTGCTGCCTCGAGGGAGAGACAGGACTTACCCTACACCTAACACACATCAAGAAAGGCATACAGGAGTTCCACAAACTCGCACACAACACAGAACAAAAGTGGCAGAAAAACCACAAAAGAGGGCTGTGGCTGGAAAGCACAACCAGGAGCTGCCCCACTGTCCCCATCTGTCCAGAGGCACCTGGAGCCAGGTGTGTCCCTTAAACCTTGTCCACACAAGATGCTCCCAGCACGCAGCACTTGTTTCCCTGTCTACACCTTCCTGCCACCTGACAGGCACTGACAACAGGCCTTCTGGTTTTGCAGCAGAAAGCAAGCCCCAGGCCAGGTGCGGTCTCATGCCTGTAATCCCAGTGCTTTGGGAGGCGAAGGCACGAGGATCACTTGAGGCCAGGAGTTTGAGGCTGCAGTGAGCTACGATTGTGCCACTGCACTCCAGCCTGGACAACAGCGAGACTGTGTCTTAGAAAATAAGGCCCCACATTACTGAGCTCCTAGCAGCTTTAAGAAACATTTCTTACCTTGAGGGGTCCCATGCTTGGACAGGATTTCCCTCCACTGTTCAAAGGACATTTGGCACGCTGGTCCCTACAGCAGCCTGCCGGACACCCCAGCATCTCACCCAGATGCCTACCTATGGCCGGCGCATTGATGCAGAGCTCTCTTGCCAAGAGAAGAAACGTCTTTCCAAGCACGTACACATTCACCTGAGATGGAGAGATCACAACCAGAAACAGCATTGGTATTTAAGGAAATGTTTGCTTTTTTTCTCTTAAAATGCATCTCTTGTGCAGTCTTTAAAGACTCCGATGGCCCGTGGAGCAGCCACCCCACACCCGCAAGCCTGGCTGGCCTCCCTTGGCTGCTGGGGCTCCCAGGGCCCTGCCTTCTTCCTCTAAGCCGCTGCTTTAGGCCGTGCTGCCGTCTCGCCAATGATGGCATCTGCTTAGAAGAAAACCTGACTGCAAGGTTCCTCCCAGGGCGTCATCACACGGTGCACGCAGCATTTCATTCACAACTGCACACCCATGAACACAAAACCAGTTCTGTCCACATGTGCTCCCACCAGCCACACCTCCAGCCCAGATTCCGATGGGCCCAGGGGTCTTGGCCTCAGCCCCCTTGCTGGGACTGAGATCTGTGTTCCTCAGTGACTCCCCTGCCCCCCACACTGTTCCTACCTTAGGTCCAAATCCACACAGATCCTGTCACCCCTGCCTCGGCTATCTGCCATAGGGCAGTGGAGGTGAGGCCCAGACCGAGAAGGGCAACGCCGAGGGCTGGCAGTGATGGGAGCACCGCTGCTTGTCCTCAGCAAAACAAGGACTCTAGCCTGTGTGCAGACCCTGTGCACAGCCCTGCCGTGGGCCGAGTACCCCTAAGGAGCCCTGCTGGCTGGGGGAGGACACTTCAGAGCAATGTCTGCTGGCAGGTGTGGATGAGGTGCACAGCGGGAATAGCCTGGTCCCTACTGGAGCCTGCAAGAGCCCTGCCCACACTTGGCTGTCTTCATCCCAGGCTTGCCCCTGGGGCCCCCGGGCCTCACAGGCTTGGCCAGTCTGACCCTCTGCCACTAGCCTCCCCCAAAGAATTCCCTCGCCTGACCAAGCCCGGCTCGTGGGCCCTTAGACAAGTCCCCTTGTCCTGGCCCGCCAGTGGCACTTCCAGGTGCTTGCTGACTCCAGGGTACTGGGAGACCTAAGGGACCGCACACAAAGGGTCCTGTCTGCGCTAGAGGCAAGAGACAGAGGCAAGAGCCAGAGGCAGCGCTTGTGGGGGATGCCTCTGATCAGGGACCCTGCCCGCTGGGAGGGCTGGGCCCCCACAGCAGCTCCTCCTGGTCACCATCCACCCCAGTGGGGCGCAGCTTCCATCTTCTCCATTATATCCGAGGGCTCCATCACAAGGGCTGGTGGCTCACAGAGTGTGCCTTCTGAAGGAATTTCCCCTCCTCACAGTTTCTGGGGGTTCCAGGGATCCCTGGGGTCTGCTCACCAAACTGGGGGGCGTGTCAGCACATGTAGTGTGTGTGTGCATCCGCATGCAGTGTGCAGACATGCATGTGTGTACACACGCATACAGTGTGTCTAGGTGTGACTCACGCATGTCATGTATGAGTGCCCCAGCCCCTGTGCTGGGTTCCTGCCAGGCCCCTGCATCTTGATCGTCCTGATCCCACCATCTCTCTTTAAGCCACAGCAGAACCATGATCTGCTGCTGGCCTCTGCCTGCCCACCTCAAACTCCACACCCCCCAACCTTGTGTCCCAGAGACACAGGGATCAATGAGACCTGAACACTGCAAGTGAGGAATCTCCAAAGGGCCTTTACATGGAAACTCACGTTTAAAAAGCCATGTGTGCAAAACGCGTGCAGTTTTTTTGTTTTAGTTTGTTTGTTTTTGAGACGGAGTCTTGCTCTGTCGCCCAGGCTGGAGTGCAGTGGTGCAATCTCTGCTCACTGCAAGCTCTGCCTCCCGGGTTCACGTCATTCTCCTGCCTCAGCCTCCTGAGTAGTCAGGACTACAGGCGCCCACCACCACGCCCAGCTAATTTTTTTGTGTTTTTAGTAGAGATGGAGTTTCACCGCGTTAGACAGGATGGTCTCGATCTCCAGACCTCCTGATCTGCCCGCCTCGGCCTCCCAAAGTGCTGGGATTACAGGAGTGAGCCACCGCACCTGGCCGCAGTTTTTTGTTTGTTTTCTTGAGACAGAGTTTCACTCTTGTTGCCCAGGCTGGAGTGCAATGGCGCAATCGTGACTCACTGCAACCTCCACCTCAAGGGTTCAAGCGATTCTCCTGTCTCACCCTCCTAAGTAGCTGGGATTATAGGCATCCGCCACAACGCTCAGCTAATTTTTGTATTTTTAGTAGAGACGGGGTTTCACCATGTTGGCCAGGCTGGTCTTGAACTCCTGACCTCAGGTGATCTGCCTGCCTCAGCCTCCCAAAGTGCGGGGATTACAGGTGTGAGCCACCGCGCCCGGCCTAAATACATGCAGTTCTTTACAGAGTTGCTACCATGTATGAGGACCATTTATTGGAAATTCTCTTGCTAACAGTCTAACTGTGGCTGCTCCTTGAGGGCAGGTCAGGGTGGGGCACAGCCAGCTGCCCCCCCCATCTCTCTTCCTGGGCAGCAGGTGGATTCTGCCTGCAGACTGCCCTCGTGGGTGTCTGATGAGCTGTGTGCCCAGGCCAGTGAACAACCTGGGTCTGCCCTAAGGCAGGGATCAAGAGGGAGACTCCATGAGCTCGCCATGGGACCATCTGAGTCCCCAGGAGCCTGACCACTTCCGGAGCAGCTGCCCTGGCCCTGGCCCTCATACTCATCTTCCCTGGGAAGTCGTGGGGTTGGAACCAGGGTCATGTGGTTTTGCCCTGCACTGAGCAGAGAGCATCTGAAATGTGGACTTGCTGGATTATCACAATTCCAGCAGACTATTTTTAGCTTGACCACAAAATGTTTCAGCAGTAGCTTCTGAGTTGCCATTTATAAAGACAGCTGGGAGGACAAGGACCCCAGATGCCACCTGACACGGGCAGAAGCCTAACTGTGGGCTGCTGCCAAAGGCGGAAAGCCCTTGAGGACCAGAGGTGGCAGCACAGCCTGTGGGTGCCCAGAACCCCTGTGGGCACCTGGATCTGGACAGAGCTCCCTTTGAGGAGTGAAATCTACATGAATTCTGCACTGTGGTCACAACTGTTTTCAATATTTCTGAGTCCTCAGCAGCATGGTCACCAAGGACCTGTGGTGCAGCCCCCAGCACCGTCCCTGCAGAGCCTCGGTGCCCCCACCCTGTATCCTGTCTGCACAGGGGTCCCTGGGGTTGGTCTTTCCACTCTGTCACTTTGTTCAGTCATGTGGAAAGAGAGATGTAACTGAAAGTGCTTTCTGTGGTACCCAGAAAGTGAGTGTCTCCAAACAGACTGTAATATAAGATTTTTCTACAATTTAAAATGCATGCAAGAGGCCAGGTATGGTTGTTCATGCCTGTGACCCCAGTACTTAGGGAGGCCTTGGTGGGAGGGTTGCTTGAGCTCAGGAGTTCAAGAGCAGCCTGGGCAACATAGCAAGACCCCGTCTCTACTAAAAATACAAAATAGCCGAGCATGGTGGTGGGCACCTGTGGTCCCAGCTACTTGGGAGGCTGAGGTGGGAGGATTGCTTGAGCCCAGGAGGCAGAGGTTGCAGTAAGCTGAGATCACGCCACTGCACTCCAGCCTGGGTGACAGAGCGAGACTCCATCTCATAAATAAATAAATAAATAAAATGCAAGGTCAAAAGAAATAATCTCCTATACCAAACTAGGTACTCACAAAAAAATTTTTTAATTGAAAATAATCTCCTTTGTGTAGGACAAAAGTTCACTGTTCACCCAGGCCTAGCTAACACCCAACCGTGCCCAGCATTGGCAGGTGCCCTCCTGCCATGGAGACCCACACTCCCACAAGTCTCGGACTGTGACCCCCATGTCATGAAGGCCCCTCATCCTACAGACCAAAACTTCCTGACTGGGCAGGCAGCACAGACCGGCCACTGAGATGCGTGGAGGCACCTGGGGTACACCCCGGTCACAACCCTGGTCACAACCCCCAGGTCACAACCCCAGGTGGGGAAAGATGCAGGACGGAGGCTGTCTACCTGGAGCAGGTCGCTGAGGTCCAGGAGCATGTCTGCAGCAGGAGTCAAGGATCCTGTCGAGTGGCTGCAAGCTCAGGTTACTCGCCCACCTTCAAATGGGCAGGACCGCAGGACTGCACCTGCAGGGAGCTGGAGTCGCCCCTCCAAATATAAGCTCCACCTTTGATCAGGAAGGAAAGGTGGTATGGAAGCGAGGCGCGGCACGCTCAGGCCTCACCAGAACCTCCCAGCCCCAGGCACAAGTGAGACTTCTGTGAACCCAGTACCAGGACAAGGGACTGCAAGGAACCTGGAGCCGGGTCGGGGGAACCAGAAACGGTGGGGGCTTCCATCTGATCCTGGAGAAAGCGTGCACCCCCACACACCCGCCTGCCCAGTCAGGTGCCCACCATATGGTGGATCTGCTGCCCACACACAGCACAGAAGAGACAGTGGCACTCATGCTCCATCCCAAGGGCACTTGCTGAGCACCTATCAGGCGTCAGGCAGGCAGTCCTCCCGAGAGACAGAAAACTAGACCTGGGGCCCCCTTGGTGAGTGGTGAGCCTGCAGGCGCCACTGGGGGCTGCGCTCGAGAGACAGGTGTGGGGACCCCGCACAGGACCTGTCTTCGCTCAGATGAACAAACAGGACCAAGAATGTGTCCTAAGTGATTCAAAACTCACATGGATACATAAGTTATCAAACACAAGTCACTGGTTAATACACTCTGCCAGACAGCTGAAGTGCACATCTCCCATGGGCCCACTGTAGCTTCGAGAAGTCACTAAGGACACCTCCTGGAGCTGGATCAGGAGTCCAGAGCAGGGGTCCAAAGGAAGATCCCCGGGACCAGAGCAGCAAAGCCCCACCACGCAAGAACCTCGCAAGCAATCAGATGGTTAGGACGCCAGCCCACTCATCCACGCCCTGGGCTGGAGGCCCCTGACCTCTCTTGCAACTCCATGCAGAACAGCAAGGCCTCCCACCCTAAGAAGGTGCCAGGGCTGGGTACAGGGGCATTCCGACACAGAGCAGAACCCCCAGGACGGCTGGGACGTGAGCGGTGAGGCCCGTGAACAAAGGTGCATCTGAAGGCAGGCAGTCCCAGAGGGCCGAGACAACGGGCAGGACCGACTGCAGCACAGCCAACAGCCTCACAAGAGGCACTATGAGAAGACCGGCGGCAGGGGTGGGGCCAGTGACATCAAAGGAAACCAAAGGAAAGCAGTAAGAACTACCTGGGGAAACGCCCGTGACAGCCAACACACACCAACGGGAAAAGTGAACGAGGCCAGAAGGCTACACCCTGTGTGACTCCAAGCATACACCTTCCGGAAAAGGCAAAACTATGGAGACAGCATTAGGTCAGTGGCCACCAAGGGCTGGGGAAAGGCAGGGTGGGTGGGCCGAGAGGAGGGTTCCAGGACGCTGCAGCTCTGCACCACTCCGCACTGGTGGGTTCACATATTGCATATTTGTGAAAACCCATAGAAGGCACAGCCCCAAGAGTGAACCTCAATGTGAACTGTGGACTTTTCTTATCAACAACTTGGCAAGACGGGCTCATCAACCATAACAAATGGACCAGCTAACACAAGATGTTAATAACATAGGGAAATTGGGGATTGAAGGGGGTGTATGGGAACTCTGTACTTTCTACACAATTTTTCTGTAAACTAAGACTGCTCTAAGAAATAAACTCTACTGGGCTGGACGCGGTGACTCACGCCTGTAATCCCAGCACTTCGGGAGGCCGAGGTGGGTGGATCACAAGGTCAGGAGATCGAGACCATCCTGGCTAACATGGTGAAACCCCGTCTCTACTAAAAATACAAAAAAATTAGCCGGGCGTGTTGGCGGGCACCTGTAGTCCCAGCTACTTGGGAGGCTGAGGCAGGAGAATGGCGTGAACCCAGAAGGCGGAGCTTGCAGTGAGCCGAGATGGCGCCACCGCACTCCAGCCTGGGCGACAGAGCGAGACTCCGTCTCAAAAAAAAAAAAAGAAATGAACTCTAAGGCCAGGCGCAGTGGCTCACGCCTGTAATCCCAACACTTTGGGAGGCCGAGGTGGGAGGATCACCTGAGGTCAGGAGTTTGAGACCAGCCTGGCCAACATGGTGAAACCCCGTCTCTACTAAAAATACAAAAATTACCCAGGGGGTGGTGGCGGGCACCTGTAATCCCAGCTACTTGGGAGGCTGAGGTGGGAGAATTGCTTGAACCCAGGAAGCAGAAGTTGCAGTAAGCAAATATCGCACCACTGCACTCCAGCCTGGGCAACAGAGCGAGACTCAGTCTCAAAAAAAAGAACTCTATTTAAATAAGAAAAAGAATAAAGGCCAAAATAAAAAAAGGCAAAACAATTCAACAGAAGCTTCATGAAGACAAAAAAAAATAGCCAACAAGCACATGAAAAAGAACTCAACTGCATTAATCATCAGAAATGCAAACAAAACTGTGACAATGCCACGAGCCCGCGACGTCACTGAATGCCGGCGAGGATGTGGGGCAAGCACAGCTCACCCATGCTGCTGATGGAAGCGTGAAGTGGTACAACCACCTTGGGAAAAGGCCTGGAAGTTTCTTACAAAGCTAAACACACACCTCTGACCCACCTATTCCACTCCTAGGTATTTACCCAAGAGAAATAAAAACAGATGTCAGCCAGGTGCAGTGGCTCACACCCATAATCCCAGCACTTTAGGAGGCTGAGGCCAGCAGATCACCAGAGCCCAGGAGTTCAAGACCGGCCTGGGCAACACAGTGAGACCCTGTTTCTACAAAAAAATCCAAAAATTAGCCGGGTATGGTGACAAACACTTATTGTCCCAGCTACTCAGAAGGCTAAGGCAGGAGGATTGCTTGCACCCAAGAGGTCGAGGTTGCAGTGAGCTGTGATTGCACCACTGCACTGAGCTGGGGCCACAGAGTGAGACTCTGTCTCTAAAAATAAAAAGAAATATGTCCACAAAAAAACTTGTAGAAAAATGTTCATAGCAGCTTCATTCAGAACAGCCAAAAACGGGGAGCAGTCCAGGTGTCCATTAATACAAGAATACTCTGGCTGGTATTCACACAGCAATACCACTCACCATACAAAACACCATGGGCGCCTCTCAAAACCATGTCCACCGGACACGGGGCTCACGCCTGTAATCCCAGCACCTTGGGAGGCCAAGGCGGGCAGTCACTTGAGGCCAGGAGTTTGAGACCAGCCTGGCCTACACAGCAAAACCCTGTCTCTACTAAAAATACAAAAGATGAGCTGGACATGGTGGCGTGCCCCTGTAGTCCCAACTACTTGAGAGGCTAAGGCATTAGAATCGCTTGAACCCAGGAGACAGAGGTTGCAGTAAGCTGAGATGGAACCATACTGCACTCAGCCTGGGCGACAGAGCTACATTCTGTCACCAAAAAAAAAAGCATGTGAAGTGACAGGGCACAGATCATATGATTCCATTTATAGGGCATTCTAGAACAGGCACAACTGGTCTGTAGTGGAAGGAAATGGAAACAGCGGTTGCCTTTTGCGGGGCTGGGACTGTTGGAAGGGGCATGAGGTCTGTCCACAGAGCCCTGCTCTGGGCTGACGGGTGACCGTTTGTCAGAACTCTCCAGATGGAGCAATTAGGGCCTGTGCATCTCACTTTAAGCCAACTTTACCTTCAGAGGAGAAAAAGACCCAGGAACGATGCTCACCCCCATTGAGCTGATGGTCTGCCTGCTGAAGGACTGTGTGCAGTACACAGACGTCTGCAACTTGCCTTGAAATGTGCCAAAAAATAAGATGGTGAGGGCAGCATAGCTTTGGGGAGCGGACCACAGGTGTGAGCGAGGGGACTCCACAATTCACTTCAACTTTGCAGGTGTTCGAATTTTTTTTTTTTCCCGAGATGAAGTCTTGCCCTGTCGCCCAGGCTGGAGTGCAATGGTACAATCTTGGATCACTACAACCTCTGCCTACCAGGTTCAAGCGATTCTCCTGCCTCAGCCTCCCAAGTAGCTTGGACTACAGGCATGCACCACCATGCCTGGCTAATTTTTTTTTGTATTTTTAGTAGAGATGGGGTTTCACCATGTTGGCCGAGCTGGTCTCAAACTCCTGACCTCAGGTGATCTGCTCACCTCAGCCTCCCAAAGTGCTGGGATTACAGACATAAGCCACCAAGCTCCACAGAAAATTTTCTTAATAAAACAATGGGATAAGTGTGTACATTTTTAAAAGGAGCTTCAAATTAAACATTTAACGAAGTTAGAATTACTGCTTTCCTTGAAATGAAAATCACCTGGCACTTGATCCGCATTCACCTGGCTCTATCAGGCGCTTTCAGGGAAGTTTCCAGACGATGGAAGCTCAATTATGTGCTTCCCTTGTGAGGATATCACATTCCCTCTGGCCAATCCCGGGAGGGCCTACTAATGCCTTTGGGGCCCAGCCTACAGGTCCCCCAGCTAATGAGCTCCCAGGGCTCTGGAGGTTCTCCTGTGTCCAGCATGGCTGGTACCTGTGTCCTCCCAGCAGCCCCTCCCTTTTGCTGAGCAGCTGCTTCTGACCATCTGGGAATCAGAAAAAAGTCTGCAGAGAAGAGGCCCTGTCTGCGGCCCCCAGGGTGCGAAAGCCTGGATTCTGCCAGCTGGGGCCTCTTTCTGCCTCCCTTCTGGCCCCTGCCACGCTGTGCCGGGTGGTCTTCTGCTCGGTGCAGCTGAGTGCCAGTCAAAGGAGAGACGCGGGAGCACAATAGAGGGCAGGTGACACAATGCCCTCAAAGGGCGCCAGACATTCCTGAGTGCGGCAGAGGCCCACGCGAGGCTCCCATCAGCAGATGACAAGGCCCAGAAATGGTCCAGTCATGACGGTGCAGCCCTGCACCCCACTGCTGTGCCATCAAACTGTCCCGGCTCCAGGAACCAACCAGGCTTCCCCACCACAGCTGTGGACAACACAGCGAGGGGCCACTCCACTGTGAAGAGGATGGGGAAACTGAGGCTGCCCACACCCTGGCTGGCTGCACGATGCTTGCAGGGAGAAAAACTGCAGATGGGTCCTGACTCAGACACACTTTCCTTACATGGAAAAGTTTACAGAGATTTACATAAGGCAGAACTAAAACTTAAAAAAACAAGAAATTTCTCTCAACAGCCTCACATACAAATGCTCTTACTGGATACCCAAAGAGAGAAGCGAGGGAAAGTGCTCTTGTATATAGAGCCCCACAGAAAGGGCTGTGTCCACAACAGCCAGCAGTGCAGGGGCCGGCAGGGCCCCACCCTGAGCGGACACCAGCATTCCCGGCCCCATGGGACTGGAGAGGGGGACTGCGGCGCCCACACGGCGTGAGGACCAAGGAGCGAAACCCACACCTTCTGGAGAATGATGCCCAGCACTGCACCGGCCCACGGCTCACTGCCCCTACCCAGTGCCACTCCCCTTCTGCAGGCCCCCCCTGCTCTGAGTGCTCCTCACCGGCAGCCAACACCACCTGGCACGGGAACACACGGCCCGGCCGAAGCTCCGTGTAGAGCAGTAGTGCCCAGCCCCAACCCACCAAGGGCAAGGCCCTGGCAGCACTCAGCATACAGCACTCAGCGGCCGACCAAGCACCCACACAGGAGCCCGGCAGGCAGACTGGGCATCCTCAGGCCCCGCACATGCCTGGACGGGGCTATGACGGATCCTAGCTTGGAATGGGGTCACTCACCCCAGAGCTCGGATGCCCTCAGCACCCCAAGAGCAGGACCCATCAAGACCCAGGGCCTAGGTCATGAGCAGCCCTGCCCTCCCGAACTTCCCAGAGACCACCCTGCTCCTCCGCCTGGAGGTGTGGCACAGAGCAGGTGCTCTGGGAGTCCCTGAATGACTGATGCGGGGTAGGAGACCTGCTGGCTGCCCTTTGTCCAGATACCTCTGACCTCCAGGGAAGAGCCAGTGGGTCATTGCTGGGCCTTGCCCATCCCCTGCACAGTGACTAAATCCCTGAGCCACTGCTGGCTGCCACACCCCACGGTGGGCTCCTGTGTGCAGTACACCCTGAATAATCTAGCACCTCACCGCTGTCATCATGCATGGCCTCTGTGAAGTTCAAGGGTACCCAGGTGCCTTCTCAAAGATCCCTGCTCTGAAGACTGAGCCTCCCACAGAGCTGGGAGCCTGGCTCTGTCCCAGCCACACTGAGGTGGTCTCACGGATAATGCAGCTGCTATCCAGGCAGTCACCTGACGCTCCCAGCCCCTGGCTTTCAAGCACACACATGCAACCAGGCACATGGATGGCCCCAGGAGGAGCTGAGTGGCACGAGTGTAAGGTGCAGTGTCTCAGCTCGGGCCTCCTTCCAATTCTCGCCAATTCTAATAAGCTGTCATAGTCTGGCAGTGCCAGGCCAGGATTGCCTGAGGACAGGAGTTCAAGACCAGCCTGGACAACATAGCAAGACCCCATCTCCATTTAAAAAAAAAAAAAGTGGCTGGACACGGTGGCTCACGCCTGTAATCCCAACACTTTGGGAGGCCGAGGCGGGCAGATGACAACGTCAAGAGTCCGAGACCAGCCTGGCCAATATGGTGAAACCCTATCTCTACTAAAAATACAAGTTAGCCAGGCATGGTGGTGGGCACCTATAATCCCAGCTACTCGGGAGGCTGAGGCAGGAGAATCGCTTGAACCCGGGAGGCAGAGGTTGCAGTGAGCCGAGATGGCACCACTGCACTCCAGCCTGGGCAACAGAGTAAGACTCCATCAAAAAAAAAAAAAAAAAAAAAGTAGGAGCCTAGTGCTCACAGTCTCGCTTGGCAAGGGAAGATAGAGTTTACAGTTCAGTGGCTTCCGAGCCAGCCAGACACGAGGGGCCAAGCTGCCAAGAGAAGAGGAAGCAACTTCAACAAGCGAGCAGGGCACAGTGCACTTAGTCCCTTTACGGCAGCTGCCGCCCCTGGAGCCACAGGCACCAGGCTGAGGCCCGCCAAGCCCAGAAGTCAGCTCTGAAAGGCAAAAGAGCCGAGCAGGAAGTTCTGCAGTCCCGAGGTGCCAGGAAGGGACACCTGGGTCCTGCCACGATCCTTCAGCCGGGAACCAAGACGGACCAGCAGCAACTGGATCAGAGTGAGCTACCTGCGTGCTCTCTGCTTGCTCAAGAAAAGTTAAATTCCCGGCCGGGCGCGATGGCTCACGCCTGTAATCCCAACACTTTGGAAGGGTGAGATGGGCGGACCACGAGGTCAGGAGATCGAGACCATCCTGGCTAACACGGCGAAACCCTGTCTCTACTAAAAATACAAAAAATCAGCCGGATGTGGTGGCGGGCACCTATAGTCCCAGCTACTTGGGAGACTGAGGCAGGAGAATGGCATGAACCTGGGAGGCGGAGCTTGCAGTGAGCAGAGATGGTGCCACTGCATTCCAGCCTGGGCAACAGAGTGAGACTCTGTCTCAAAAAAAAAAAAAAAGAAAAGTTAAATTCCCTCTGGATGGAAAAGTATCCATCATCTCTGTAATATTTTAGACCTAATATTCCAGCGATTCAATGAAAAATTACCAAGCATGACAAAAGACAAGACCAAAGGAACAAAAACAAAAAGAAAATCAAGATAATAAAAACAGAACCACAAATGATTCAACTATTTGGCTTATCAATGACTTTCACCTAACTATGAAGAAATGAAGAATCTTACCAAAGAACTGGACTCTAATAAAAGGAGTCTTAGTGATGGCTCACATCTATAATCCTAGCACGTTGGGAGGCCAAGGCAGGAGAATAGCTTCTGCCCAGGAGTTCAAGACCAGGCTGGGCAACATAGCAAGACACCATTCTCTACAAAAAATAAAGAGCCCAGGAGTTCAAGACCAGCCTGGGCAACACAGTGAGACCTCATCTCTATAAAAAATTGATGGCCAGGCGCGATTGCTCACACCTATAATCCCAGCACTTTGGGAGGCCGAGGTGGGCGGATCACGAGGTCAGGATATCGGGACCATCCTGGCTAACACAGTGAAACACCGTCTCTACTAAAAATACAAAAAAAAATTAGCCGGGCATGGTGGCGGGTGCCTGTAGTCCCAGCTACTCGGGAAGCTGAGGCAGGAGAATGGCATGAACCCGGGAGGCAGAGCATGCAGTGAGCCGAGATTGTGCCACTGAACTCCAGCCTGGGTGACAGAATGAGACTCCATCTCAAAAAAAAAAAAAAAAAAAAAAAAATTGAGTGGGTGTGGTGGCGCATACCTGTAGTCCCAACTACTATGGAGGCTGAGGTGAGAGGATTGCTCGAGCCTGGGAGGTCAAGGCTGCAGTGAGCTGTGACTGCACCACTGCACTCCAGCCTGGGCAACACAGCGATATTCCATCTCTTAAAAAAAAAATTAAGAAGTTAGTAGATGGGTTCAACACCTGATTAGACACAGCAAAAGAAAGGATGAGCAAAAGAGAGAAAGGCTAATATATGGAGTCCCAGAACAGGAAGAGAGAGTGGAGCAGAAACTTTATTTGAAAAGATACTACCCAAGATGTCTCCAACGTAGACAAAAGACATCAAGTCATAAGTTCTACTTATCCTTTTTTTTGTTTTTTTTTTGTTTGTTTGTTTTTTTAGAGACAGGGTCTCACTCTGTCGCCCAGGCTGGAATGCACTGATGCACTGATGTCATCACAGCTCACTGCAGCCTTGACCCCTGGGCTTAAGTGATCCTCCTGCCTCAGCCTCCTGAGTAGCTGGGACTACAGGTGTGCACCACCACACCTGGCTAATTTCTTTTATTAGCCTAGGCTGGTCCTAAACTCCTGGCCTCAAGTGATCCACCCACCTCAGCCTCCCAAAGCGCTGGGATTACACCCATAAACTACCACACCCAGCCAAGTCACAAATCCTTGAACTTCTACAAAAAATAATCTGGATAAACACAAAGAAAACCACATCTAGGTACATCAGAGTCAAACTGCCAAATCCAAACACAAAAATATTTCTTAAAAGCAGGTAGTGGGCCGGGTGCAGTGGTTCACGCCTGTAATCCCAGCACTTTGGGAGGCTAAGGTGGGCAGATCACCTGATGTCAGGAGTTTGAGACCAGCCTGGCCAACATGGTGAAACCCCTCTCTACTAAAAATACAAAAATTAGCTGGGCATGGGCCAGGCATAGTGGCTCACACCTGTAATCCCAGCAGTATTGGGAGGCCGAGGCGGATGGATCACGAGGTCAGGAGATTGAGACCATCCTGGCTAACACAGTGAAACCCCTTCTCTACTAAAAATTCAAAAACAAAATTAGCCAGGTGTGGTGGCGGGCACCTGTATTCC
This sequence comes from Homo sapiens, assembly GCF_000001405.40. Taxonomy (NCBI): domain Eukaryota; kingdom Metazoa; phylum Chordata; class Mammalia; order Primates; family Hominidae; genus Homo; species Homo sapiens. Next base: position 105,265,785 of record NC_000014.9, read on the forward strand.
CAGCTACTCGGGAAGCTGAGGCGGGAGAATGGTGTGAACCCGCGAGGCAGAGCTTGTAGTGAGCTGAGATCATGCCACTGCACTCCAGCCTGGGCGACAGAGCAAGACTCCCTCTCAAAAAAAAAAAAAAAAAAAAATTAGGTGGGCATGGTGGCATGCACCTGTAATCCCAGCTACTCGGGAGGCTGAGGCAGGAGAATCACTTGAACCCAGAGGGCAGAGGTTGCAGTGAGCCGAGATGGCACCACTGCACTCCAGCCTGGGTGAGGCAGTGAGACTCTGTCTCAAAAAAAAACAAAACAAACAAAAAACCGTGTGATGTAACGAAACTCACCTAGAGAGAAATTTATAGCCTCGAGTGCTTATGTTAGAAAAAACAGGCCAGATACAATAGCTCACACCTGTAATCCCAACACTTTGGGAGTCCAAGATGAGAAGATAACTGGAACCCAGGAGTTTGAGGCCAGCCTGGGCAATACAGTGAGACCCCATCTCTAGTGCACCTATGGTCCCGGCTACTCGGGATGCTGAGGCGAGAGAGTCGCCTGAGCCAGGGAGTTGGAGGTTGCAACGAGCTAGGGTGGTGCCACAGTGGTACAGCCTGGGAGAACAGAGCAAGACCCTGTTTCTAAAAAATTTTAAAAAATTAATCAGTGTTATTTACGTTAGGTAACAGATTAAGGGGAAAATGTACATGAAAAAATCATACCAATAAATACATTGGTGTTTGATAAAATTCAGTATTTTTCATGACAAAAACTCTTGGAAAATTAGAAAGCAAGGTAACATCCTCAAGCTGATAAAGAGTCCTATACACAAAAGTCTACCGCAGATACATAGAGCGAAGGGCAGAAAACACCCCTCCCAGGACAGGAGAGAGCCAGGCACATCTCCCTCCCCAGGACCATGCTGAGTCCTCGGCATACAAAAGGCAGGACAAACAGATGAGAGGTGTGTGGGTTAGAAAGGAAGAACCAAGGCTGGGCGGGGGGTTCACACCTAGAATCCCAGCACTTTGGGAGACTGAGGGAGGCAGATCACTTGAGCTCAGAAGTTTGAGACCAGCTTGGACAATACAGCAAAACCCCGTCGCCACAAAAAGTACAAAAATTAGCCAGGGGTGGTGGTGTATGCCTGTAGTCCAGCTACACGGGAGGCTGAGGTGGGAGGATCGCTTGAGCCTGGGAGGCAGAAGCTGCAGTGAGCCAAGACTGCGCCACTGCACTCCAGCCTGGGTGATCAAGTGAGATCCTGTCTCATGAAAAAAATGAAAAGAAAGAAGCAGAACTGGCATTATGAGCAGCAGACACAGTTGTGTGCATTAAAGGAGAGACTCCAAAACTCAAACAGTAAGATCGACAATTGAATTTGGTAGGAATGATGTATTAATAATGTCAACATACAAAACTCAGCTAAACCTCTGCTACGCCAGCAACAAGACACCACCGACAAGGGGCCCACATGGGCCCACGCTGGGTGTGCCGGTGTTTCCAGGTCAGCCTTTCGGAAGTCTGAAATGGCAACTTTTTTTTTTTTTTGAGACGGGGCTCACTCTATTGCCTAGGCTGGAGTGTAGTGGTGCGATCATGGCTCACTGCAGCCTCGACCTCCTGGGTTCAAGCGATCCTCCCACCTCAGCCTCCCCAGTAGGTGAGACCACAGGTACACACCACCAGCTGGATTTTTTTTTTTGTTTTCTTTTTCTTTTGTAGAGACGGGGTTTCACCATGTTGCCCAAGCTGGTCTCAAACTCCTGGACTCAAGCAATCCTCCTGCCTGGGCCTCCCAAAGTGATGGGATTTACAGGCGTGAGCCACTGTGCCTGACCTGAAATGCCAACGTCTTCATGCCTAATGATGTGTGCACCATTTGATTCCCTCATCAGCCATCCTAATACCTTCTTCTGACCACTTAAACTGTTATAAATGCCCTGTCCTTGAGAAGGCAGCAGAGGGAGAGGAGCAGGAACAAGGGGGCCTGGTGGCAGAAGGAGGTGCTGGCCAGAACAGGGGGGCAGAGAAGTGTGGGCTCTGAAAGCCCATCCCAGACCCCAGAATGGAATAAGCTGAATGCACATGGCCCCTGCTGACCTGAACGGACGGTTCTGCAGCCTGAGAGAGGAGCTGGGTCTGAAGGGAGTGTGGCGGCTGGCGGCAGAGGCCTTGCTCCCACGCGTGGCCAGGCACGCCATGGAGGCTGAGGCTGGCAGGCCATGGAAGCTGGGCATGCTCTTTGCAGACCTACGTGGGGACAGGTGATGGCACCATCCACAGTGCTGGCCCCAGGGCTCTGACGCCCTCTAGGGCTCACCAGCCTGTCACCATCCCAAGATGCCCTCTCACATGCAGGCCTAGGGCAGCCTGGCTGGACAGGAACAAATGTCAAAGACCCACAAACCAGCTGTGGGCAAAAGCTGCAATAACAAGTCGAGACACACAGCCAGGAAAAGCACACTGGCCACAAACTACCTGCTCGACAATGGCAGAGGTGCTCATTCCAGCTGAGTCTCTGCCCGGCATGTCCAGGTCCCGTGTCTCAGCCCTGCTGCCCACGCAGCCTCCCTGGGCTGGGAGCCAGGAGCAGACTCAGGCCTAGGGTCAGCCGGGCCTTGCCAGACTCAGTGGGACTCAGCAGCACCCCGTTCCTCCTCCAGGAATCCGGGACTGGCTGTGTCAGCCACCAGGCTACGGGGCCAAGAGAGGAGGTGTGTGTGCACAGCCCCCGGCACTTTCGGGGTGATAGTGGACACACCTGAGGATCGGGCAACAATGAAGGGTGGGCAGAAGGAGGAATAAGCTTGGATGTTCTTAAATCAAGCCCTTGTTCCTTCTGAGAGAGGATTTCTTGTATCCAGCCCTGGGCTCAGGGCACTGGTCCCACCCATGGGCTGGACGATACGATAGGAGGATCCTGGGGGGCCTCTCCTGGGGTGGGGGCCATGCACCCCACAACGTAAGCTCACTGCACAGGACCCTCCACGTCCTGCTGACGGCAGGGTGGAGGTGGGGTGGTGGGTGCTGTTGCGCCCTGGCTAAAGGTGGCGAGTCCAGAAGGTGACGGGAGCTGTGCAGGCAGCAGGGCTGGGCCAAGCAGCCCTGTCTCGGAGAAGAGAGCCTGGCTGCACACACCCTCTCCTGGGTGGATTTTCTGTGGAAGGGAAGTGGGTGGAGCTATTGAGGAAACTGAGGCAGCACATGAGCCCAGCCAGCCAGCTGGGGCTGCAGGAGGCGAGGACAGTGGCCAGAGCCAATGCAGGTCAGCAGGGAGGGAGAAGGCACAGGGGCAGGAGAAAACAAGGAGGGCGGTGAGAGACGGAGACGTGTCCAGGATGGGTCTGGGGGCTCTGGCTGGCAGGCCTAGGGCACGGTGCTGCCCGCAACCTGAAGGGAGGGCAGAGCGGGACATGCTACACCTGGCCTGACCCACTTCCCTCTAAAGTGCCGGCAAAGCAGGGGTGGGCTGGGAAGTGAGGGCTACAGCTACCCGAGACCAGCCCGAAGCATCCTCTGAGGATGCTGAAGGGAGCCCCACCAGGCCACCAGCAGCCAGAGGGGATAGAGTGCGGCCTCCCGTGAGCACAGTCCTGTTCCAAGCTGTCTTGTCCTTAGCAGCTTTATAAGGTACAAGTTTGTGCCACAAACCTGCCTGTTCACAGTGCACCGGGCAGTGGGTTTTCGTAAATCCCCAGAGCTGAGCAACCACCACCAGGATCTAATTTTAGAATGCGTGGGGGACACGGGGTGGCTTCCTGGATGCTGCCACTGTGAGCACTGTGCGTGAGCCTCGGTGGGGACACAGGTACTCTTTTCCCTTGGGCACACACTTAGTAGGAGGATCGCTGGAGCGTGTGGGAACTTTGTGGCTAAAGGTGGTCCTGCCAGACTCAGAGGCAGCCCCGGCAGTGCCACAGGACTGCTCTCCGTCCTGCCTGTCATCACCCCATGAAGGCCCATGTCCCAGGGCATCTGTCCCCCCCACAGGAGGCCCAGTGAGGCAGCAGCATGGACGTGGTTCCACCCCACCTTGCTGACGCTGGGGTCCCAGTGCCGGCCTGCACCCTAGGCCCTGCTCCACAGCAGTCCCCACACAGCTCCTACAAACACAAGGGAGGCAGGGCCATGGGCTGACCCTGGGCTCTGCTCAGCTTCTCGCTCAGGACCTTGGTCTGCTTCTAAGAGAGCAGGATCGGAGCAGGCCTCTCAGTGGGACCCCAGGGTGGAGCCGGGGCAAGCAGACAGCAGGCGGGGCGGGCAGGGACGCGGGCGTGGGCTCTGTCTCTCGCCCTGCAGTGGGCTGCCTGGGCACTCTGCATCATCCCTGTCCCTAAAGGCACACGTGTGCTTTAAACACTTTTACGCAGAAATGACAAATTTCAAAATGTTGAAAGGACTTTTTTTTTTTTTTTTTGAGACGGAGTCTCACTCTGTAGCCCAGGCTGGAGTGCAGTGGCGCGATCTCGGCTCACTGCAAGCTCCGCCTCCCGGGTTCCCGCCATTCTCCTGCCTCAGCCTCCCGAGTAGCTGGGACTACAGGAGCCTGCCACCACGCCCGGCTAATTTTTTTTGTATTTTTAGTACAGACGGGGTTTCATGGTGTTAGACAGGATGGTCTCGATCTCCTGACCTCGTGATCCGCCCACCTAGGCCTCCCAAAGTGCTGGGATTACAGGCGTGAGCCACCATGCCCAGCCCAAATTTCAAAATGTTAAAAGGACATTTTCAGGGTTGGATGCAGTGGCTCATGCCTATAATCCCAGCACTTTGGGAGGCCAGGGCGGGTGGATCACTTGAGGCCAGGAGTTTGAGACCAGCCTGGCCAACATGGGGAAACCCCATCTCTACTAAAAATACAAAAAAATTAGCCAGGTATGGTGGTGCACACCTGTAATCCCAGCTACTCGAGAGGCTAAGGCACAAGAATTGCTTGAACCTGGGAGGCAGAGGTTGCAGTAAGCTGAGATACTACCACTGCACTCCAGCCTGGGTGACAGAGCAAGACCCTGTCTGGAAAAAAAAAAAAAAAGTAACATTTTAATGAAAGATCCTGATACTGAGGGTTGCCTGGCCAGAGGCACCGTCAGCAGGCTACCAGCTCGTCATCTCCAGGAGCCCTCCCTGCACCCCACTCAAAAGAGAAGCAGGCCACCAGGATCACCTGGCACCCAGGACACCCCTCGAGGGGGACCAACCAGAAAAACAGACCAAGACAGAAAAGAGCTCAAGGTGAGAAGATGCCACACTCAGGAAGACGGGAGATTATAAAAAAGATTCGGAAAAGACCCAGAGCTCTTAGAGATGAAAAACATGAAAGAAATGAAACAGCCTGCTGGAAGCTAAAGTTCAGGTGCTGTCCCAAAGCAAAAAGATAGCCACGTGCAAAAAAGGATGAGATAACACATGGGTTCAGTGTGGCAGGCAGAGTAACAGAGAAGAAGGGAGACACATCTAACGACGAATTCAACAGAAGCTCAGGACAGGAAGCTGTCAGAGAGCAAAGGCCTGATGGGCTCACACTGCCGTGAGATTTCTGAACGTGGAGATTAGAGGCAAGGAGCTGAAGCCCCGCAGCTGCACAGCAAGGGCCAGGAGCCAGAGGGCCACAGAACTGCCCAGTGAGAATGCTGGAGGCAAGGCGACGGCAGGGGCGCAGGCTGGGAGGCAGACATGTGGCCGGGCACGCCACGCCCACCAGACACAGGGCAGGGAGGGGGACCACCTTCAGAGGGGCGCAGCTCGGAAAAGGTCCCTCTCCCAGGGAGCCATTGCAGGAGGCACCTCACAAGATGAGGAGGGTGTGGACCAGGAAGCGGGGAGTCCCCAGAGAGCAGGGAAAAGATGCAGGTGCACAGCAGGTGTGGACAGCACAGCACAGAGCAGAGGAGGCTGGAAGGCTCTGGGCTCCCTGTCAAGAGGCCGAAGGCAGCTCCTGACCCATGTGTGTGTCTGCAGATGGCAGCAGTGGGCACAGGACCAGATGCACAGAGACCAGTGCAAGAGAACACCAGACACTGGATCTCCACGCAAGGCCAAGCTGCACACCGCTGAGGGTCGGCAGCCTCCCCGCCCACCGCCTGCAGTCACGGTGTCCACGCACAAGGCCAAGCTGCACACCGCTGAGGGTCGGCGGCCTCCCCGCCCACCGCCTGCAGTCACGGTGTCCACGCACAAGGCCAAGCTGCACACCGCTGAGGGTCGGCGGCCTCCCCGCCCACCGCCTGCAGTCACGGTGTCCACGCACAAGGCCAAGCTGCACACCGCTGAGGGTCGGCGGCCTCCCCGCCCACCGCCTGCAGTCACGGTGTCCACGCACAAGGCCAAGCTGCACACCGCTGAGGGTCGGGGGCCTCCTCGCCCACCGCCTGCGGTCACGGTGTCCACACACAAGGCCAAGCTGCACACCGCTGAGGGTCGGCGGCCTCCCCACCCACGGCCTGCAGTCACGGTATCCACGCACAAGGCCGAGCTGCACACCGCTGAGGGTCGGCGGCCTCCCCACCCATCGCCCACAGTCACGGTGTCCACAGCTGCAGGCACTCGGTGTACGCCTGGCTGCAGCCCACTCAGCAACAGCACCCCACCTGCTCAGGCCAGAGGGCGGCCTGAACCACAGGGGACGTGGAGACAGCACCCAAGGCGCAGTAGGTCCACAAGTGGGGAGAATCCAGGGCATGATTCTCAGGCACCGACAGAACCCTCGCTCTGCATGCCCAAGGGCTGTGCGAGGAAGGCAGGTGCCCAGCTCCCCAGTTCTTCGATCCAGTAAAAGGAGACCCCAAATTCAGAAAGCCCTGGATCAACTGAAACAGTTCTTCCAGTAAGGTGTTTTTCTATTAAAGACAAACACCAAGTTACTGCAACTACCAAGTCCCAATATTCGAGGGGAGCCAACTAAGCATCAAGATGGGGCCCTCTGGGAGGCTCTCAAACCAAAGGATACGCGGCGTGCCCTCCGTACGGCAGACCAGGTAGAGGCAGGCAGCAATCACGTGGGCCATCTTCCGGCCGCGGGTCAGGTGCCTGCTCACGGCCATCTTGAAGAAGTTGAAGGCGGTGTCCAGGCAGTGCTGGTTCAGCTGCAGCTGGTTCCCCAGGTGGTGGATGTGGCGCCTCCCTAGGACACAGCACGAGGCAGCTCTTAGCCAAATGTTCCCACAGAACATGAAAAGTATCACACGGCCACAGCAGCAACTTTAAGAATATAGATTTGTGCTTTTCCTTGTAAGTTTCTGAGCTCACTTTTTATATGTGGGTTCCAATCACTTTTTATTTAAGGACACTGAAATGTGAATTTTCTGTGATCTCCATGTGCCATGAGATCCTGTTCTACCTGTTTCCCTTCTTTAGGCTCTGAGTGGCGTGTGCGGTGTGGCTGAATGTGCCTCTCTCCAGGGCTCTGAGGTGCGGCGTGTCTGGCAAGGGCTTGGTTTGGGCTGGCTGGCAGGTGCTATGCCCCTGACTGCCCTGGGCTACAGTGGGAATGCCCCTTTTCCTACAGCCACATGCCCCAGCGCCACCGCCTTCCCCAACCGCACAGAGTCTGGGTCAGCCCACCCGTCCCTTCTCAGCAGGGCCCATTCTGCTCAGCCCTGCGCCCGCCAGCCTCTCCTCTAAGAGCCAGCCACCCGGCCTGAGAAAAAGCCAGGCTAGCGCCATCCCCTGCACCTGCCCAGAGGGAGGGCCATGGTGTAGGGAAAAGGAAGAGAGGTCAGACTGTTACTGTGTCTATGCAGAAAGGGAAGACATAAGAGACTCCATTTTGACCTGTGCCCTGAACAACTGCTTTGCCCTGAGGTGTTAATCTGTAACTCTGCCCCAGCCACTTTGCCCCAACCTGGAGCTCACAGAAACCTGTGCTGTATGGAATCAAGGTTTCAGGGATCTAGGGCTGTGCAGGACGTGCCTTGTTAACAAAGTGTTCACAGGCAGTATGCTTGGTAAAAGTCATCGCCATTCTCCAGTCTCGATGAACCAGGGGCACAATACACTGCGGAAAGCTGCAGGGACCTCTGCCCTGGAAAGCCGGGTATTGTCCACGGTTTCTCCCCATGTGATAGTCTGAAATATGGCCTCGTGGGATGAGAAAGACCTGACCGTCCCCCAGCCCGACACCCGTGAAGGGTCTGTGCTGAGGTGGATTGGTAAAAGAGGAAGGCCTCTTGCAGTTGAGATACAGGAAGGCCTCTGTCTCCTGCCTGCCCCTGGGAACTGAATGTCTCGATATAAAACCCGATTGTACACTTGTTCAATTCTGAGATAGGAGAAAAACCGCCCTATGGCGGGAGATTAGACACGTTGGTAGCAATACTGCCTTGTTATTCTTTACTCCGCTGAGATGTTTGGGCGGAGAGAAACATAAATCTGGCCTATGTGCACATCCAGGCATAGTACCTTCCCTTGAACTTAATTATGACACAGATTATTTGGTTCACATGTTTTCTTGCTGACCTTCTCCCCACTATCACCCTGCTCTCCTGCCGCATTCTTCTTGCTGAGATAGTGAAAATAATAATCAATAAAAACTGAGGGAACTCAGAGACCGGTGCCGGTGCAGGTCCTTGGTATGCTGAGTGCCGGTCCCCTGGCCCCACTGTTCTTTCTCTATACTTTGTCTCTGTGTCATTTCTTTTCTCAGTCTCTCGTCCCACCTGACGAGATATACCCACAGGTGTGGAGGGGCAGGCCACCCCTTCACCATGGTAAGGGCATGCCCAGCAGACCGGAGGCCACTGCGCCCTCCTAGGGGCTGCGAGGTGCTGGAGGTGGCCAGGACGGCAACATCCGAGCACACGCGCCTCCCTGGAGCAAGACCCTCCCAAAGCTGCGGGCCACATGATGGCATCAGGAGGGAAATGGCAAAGCTGCCCTGCAGGCAGGAGGAACCTTGGGAAACAAATGTCAATGCAGAGTACAGGCCAACCTCACTGCCCCACTCTGTCTGCAGAGCACAGGCTGTGTGGGGAGCACCTGGGCCAACCTCACTGCCCCCACTTCTGTCTGCAGAGCACAGGCTGTGTGGGGAGCACCTGAGCCAACTTTACTGCCCCCACTTCTGTCTGCACAGTGGGCGTCGTGGGCAGGCAGAGTCCTTGCTCCAGGCAATTAGCCCCATGGGGTACCCAGAGGACATGTGTGGTGGGTCACGGCTCGATGCAGAGGAATGCTGCCGCCATGGAGATTCCAGTTCCCACTGCATCCTCTGGCACCCAAACCCACAGTCCTCCTGCAAAGACTACCTGAGGCGGCCTCCATCCCCATATAAAGTCAAAAACTGACCTCCCAGATTTATTTGATAAGGGCACATGAGCTGGAGAAAGTGAGGGCTGATGTTTTGCTCACGCCAAACTTCACTAATGATGACCAGCAGCCAGAGGTGGGCAGCTGCTGAGCCTGCATCCCAAGGAAGCCGGTGGCCAGGGTACACAGTCTGGCAGGTCCAGGTCAAGCCTCACACTGCCAGGCCCCTGGCAGTCAGCAGCATCACATGGAGCCCCCAGCCCGGCTGTGGCCCTGCCACCTTGAGCACCTAAGGCCACCTGCCTAGAGCTCATACAGCTCTGAGGCCTGCAGTCCAGCTGAGCTGACGTGGAAGGCTGGTCACTGTCCCCAGAGCTGAGGCCTGGGCCAAGCCAAGACCCCAAAAGAATGGACAGAAAGGGCATCGTGCCAGCTGCCACCTGCACATGTGCAGCACCAGCCAGACACACCAGCACAGACCGTCCCCGCGGCCCAGCAAGGCCCAGAGGGAAACAGAGTCAGCTGACAGGGGACCCGCTGAAGCTACGGCTCCTTACCTACCAGCTCTCTGCTGTATGTTTGAAAATTCTGTAATAAAAGGTAAGAGAGAGGTACTCTCTGAGGCCACACACTTGAGGCTGGGACTCGATCCCAAGCCCCGACCCCACAGGCACCAGCTCGTGTTCCCAGCATGCAGGGCTGCTATGGTCAGAATGTCTGACTCCTAAAATTCCTATGTTGAAATCCTATCCCCTACGGGGATGGTATTAAGATGCAGGGCCTTTGCGGGAGACTAGGTCAGGAGGCAGAGCACTAATGATGAGCTCAGTGCCCTTAAAAACCGGACCCCAGAGAACTAGCCCAGCTCTTCTACCACGTGAGGCCACAGTGAGAAGGAGCTGAGAGGCGGCCCTCACTAGAGAGCTGGGGAGGAGGCCACAGTGAGAAGGAGCTGAGAGGGGGCCCTCACTAGAGAGCTGGGGAGGAGGCCACAGTGAGAAGGAGCTGAGAGGCGGCCCTCACTAGAGAGCTGGGGAGGAGGCCACAGTGAGAAGGAGCTGAGAGGGGGCCCTCACTAGAGAGCTGGGGAGGAGGCCACAGTGAGAAGGAGCCGAGAGGCGGCCCTCACTAGAGAGCTGGGGAGGAGGCCACAGTGAGAAGGAGCCGAGAGGCGGCCCTCACTAGAGAGCTGGGGAGGAGGCCACAGTGAGAAGGAGCCGAGAGGGGGCCCTCACTAGAGAGCTGGGGAGGAGGCCACAGTGAGAAGGAGCCGAGAGGCGGCCCTCACTAGAGAGCTGGGGAGGAGGCCACAGTGAGAAGGAGCCGAGAGGCGGCCCTCACTAGAGAGCTGGGGAGGAGGCCACAGTGAGAAGGAGCTGAGAGGGGGCCCTCACTAGAGAGCTGGGGAGGAGGCCACAGTGAGAAGGAGCCGAGAGGCGGCCCTCACTAGAGAGCTGGGGAGGAGGCCACAGTGAGAAGGAGCCGAGAGGGGGCCCTCACTAGAGAGCTGGGGAGGAGGCCACAGTGAGAAGGAGCCGAGAGGCGGCCCTCACTAGAGAGCTGGGGAGGAGGCCACAGTGAGAAGGAGCCGAGAGGGGGCCCTCACTAGAGAGCTGGGGAGGAGGCCACAGTGAGAAGGAGCTGAGAGGCGGCCCTCACTAGAGAGCTGGGGAGGAGGCCACAGTGAGAAGGAGCCGAGAGGCGGCCCTCACTAGAGAGCTGGGGAGGAGGCCACAGTGAGAAGGAGCTGAGAGGCGGCCCTCACTAGAGAGCTGGGGAGGAGGCCACAGTGAGAAGGAGCCGAGAGGCGGCCCTCACTAGAGAGCTGGGGAGGAGGCCACAGTGAGAAGGAGCCGAGAGGCGGCCCTCACTAGAGAGCTGGGGAGGAGGCCACAGTGAGAAGGAGCCGAGAGGGGGCCCTCACTAGGGAGCTGGGGAGGAGGCCACAGTGAGAAGGAGCTGAGAGGGGGCCCTCACTAGAGAGCTGGGGAGGAGGCCACAGTGAGAAGGAGCCGAGAGGCGGCCCTCACTAGAGAGCTGGGGAGGAGGCCACAGTGAGAAGGAGCCGAGAGGCGGCCCTCACTAGAGAGCTGGGGAGGAGGCCACAGTGAGAAGGAGCCGAGAGGGGGCCCTCACTAGGGAGCTGGGGAGGAGGCCACAGTGAGAAGGAGCTGAGAGGGGGCCCTCACTAGAGAGCTGGGGAGGAGGCCACAGTGAGAAGGAGCTGAGAGGGGGCCCTCACTAGAGAGCTGGGGAGGAGGCCACAGTGAGAAGGAGCCGAGAGGCGGCCCTCACTAGAGAGCTGGGGAGGAGGCCACAGTGAGAAGGAGCTGAGAGGGGGCCCTCACTAGAGAGCTGGGGAGGAGGCCACAGTGAGAAGGAGCCGAGAGGCGGCCCTCACTAGAGAGCTGGGGAGGAGGCCACAGTGAGAAGGAGCTGAGAGGGGGCCCTCACTAGAGAGCTGGGGAGGAGGCCACAGTGAGAAGGAGCTGAGAGGCGGCCCTCACTAGAGAGCTGGGGAGGAGGCCACAGTGAGAAGGAGCTGAGAGGCGGCCCTCACTAGAGAGCTGGGGAGGAGGCAACTGTCTCCCCCATCTCCAGCTCAAACTTTCCAGCTCCAAAAGTGTGAGAAACACATTCCTGCTGTTTTGCCTTTCTGGTCTATGGTGTTCTGTTACAGCAGCCCAAAAGGACTAAAATGGGGGCTTATGATGACTGCAGTAAGTTATTTTTTACCATCTTCTTTCTCTTTTTTGAGATGGAGTCTCGCTCTGTCACCCAGGCTAGAGTGCAGTGGTGCGATCTCAGCTCACTGCAACCTCTGCTTCCCGGGTTCAAGTGATTCTCCTGCCTCAGCCTCTTGAGTAGCTGGGACTACAGGCACATGCCACTGCACCCAGCTAATTTTTTGTATTTTTAGTACAGACAGGGTTTCACACTGTTGGCCAGGATGGTCTCGAACTCCTGACCTTGTGATCCACCCATCTCCGCCTCCCAAAGTGCTGGGATACAAGCATGAGCCACTGTGCCTGGCCAAATATGTTATTAATAAACAGATATTCACATAGAAACCAACTACTAATTAGCTAGCCATAGCCTGCGAGTCTCCTTAGACTTCCTTCCAACAAATGAATTCTAAAAGTAAACTCAGGCTGTGTGCCGTGGCTCATGCCTGTAGTAATCCCAGCACTTCGGGAGGCTGAAGCAGGTAGATCACTTGAGCCCAGAAGTTCAAGACCAGCCTGGGCAACATAGTGAGATCCAACTGCTAAAATAATCAGCCAGGTGTGGTGGTGCAAGCCTGTAGGCCCAGCCAAGGTAGGAGGACTGCTTGAGCTTGGAAGGTTGAGGCTGCAGTGAGCCATGATCCTGCCACTGCAGTCCAGCCTGGGCAGCAAGAGAGCGAGACCCTGTCTCCAAAAAAAAAAAAAAAGATTTGAGGCATATCACCACTTACATGTAAAGTATAAAGCAATAAAGCTTCCAGAGGAAAACACAAGAGTATCTTCAGACCTTGGAGTAGATAAGAATTTCTTGAACAAGTCACAAACAGCCCTAACCATAAAAACTGATATACTGGGACTTCATTATAATTAAGAAATTTCTGGCAGGGTGCAGTGGCTCACACCTGTCATCCCAGCACTTTGGGAGGCTGAGGTGGGAGGATCACTGGAGCCCAGGAGTTGAAGACCAACCTGGCCAACATGGTGAGACCCCCATCTCTATTTAAAAAAAAAAAAGAATTGGCCGTGCGCAGTGGCTCATGCCGGTAATCCCAACACTTTGGGAGGCCGAGGCGGGCAGATCACGAGGTCAAGAGATCGAGACCATCCTGACCAACATGGTGAAACCCCGTCTCTACTAAAAAGTACAAATATTAGCCGGGCATGGTGGTGCACACCTGTAATCCCAGCTACTCGGGAGGCTAAGGCAGGAGAATCGCTTGCACCCATGAGGCAGAGGCTGCAGTGAGCCGAGATCGCGCCACTGCACTCCAGTCTGGCAAAAGAGTGAGACTCCATGTCAAAGAAAAAAATTAAAAATGAGTGGATGTGGTGGCATGTACACGTGATCCCAACTACTCGGGAGGCTGAAGTGAGAGGGCGGCTTTAGTCTGGGAGGTTGAGGCTGCAAGGAGCATCGACTGCACCACTGCACTCCAGCCCGGACCACAGAGTGAGTGAGACCCAGTCTCAAAAAAAAAAATTCAGAAGTTTCTGTTCGTCAAAAGACAACATTAAGAGAGTGAGACAAGCTACAGACGTGGGAGGAGGATTCGAAACATGTATATCCAACAAAGGACTCGAATCCAGAATATATAAAGAACTCTACAAATCTGTAAGAAAAAGACAACTCAGTTTTTAAAAAGCACAAAAGACGCCAATAGGCACTTCACACAGAAAGGACGTCCCAACAGCCAAGAAGCATGAGCAAAGGTTGTGGCCATAATTACTCACCAGGGAAAGCGAATTAATGCCGCAGCGAGTGTGCTACACACCTACCAGAAAGACTACAACTGGAAAGGCTGATGATGCCACATGTGAACAAGGCTGCGGAGCCACTGGGACTCTCCTACACTGCTTCCTGGTGGGAACATGAACTGGTACAAGCACTACAGAAAACCCTGTGGCCCTATCTAATGATGAGCACACCCAGACCTCAGGACCCAGACACCCATTCGCAGGTAAACTCCCAAGCGGAGGGGGCACCTGTGTCCACCGAAGGACCAGGTGCAAGAACACGCACAGCAGCTTCCTGTGCACAGCCAAGAATGGAAACACCCTAGACGTCCATCAACAGGAAAAGGAGATAAACTGTGGTCTATTCATCCCATGAAATACTACATTGCAATAAAAGAATAAACTACTTACACGCTCCAAAACAGCACGTTCTAGAACGGCTCCAGCCCAGACACTGGCAAGCCAGATGCGGACGACTAGAGCCACAGGAGCTCTCCTTCCTTGCTGCTGGGAGCACAAAATGGCTCAGGTGCTTTGGAAAAGGGTTTGGCAGTTTCTTACAAAACTCAGCATACTCTCACCACACCACCCAGCAATCACTCAGAAAAACCTGCACGTGACGTTTACAGCAGCTTCACTCATAATCGCCCAAGCCCAGATTCCCTTCAGCAAGCAGGTGAAAGGATAAATCAACTGTGGCGCACCTAGGCGGTGGAATATTACTCACCACTAAAGAGAAAGAGGCCACAGGCTGTGCAGAGACCTGGAGGACAGTTAAATGCCCATGGCTGAGTGACAGGCTGCACAGAGAAAGGATGCACAGTGTGCAACTCCAGCTCTACGACCACATGACCAAGCGCCGGTGAAAAGATCAATGGTTGCTGGAGGCTGGGGAAGGAGGGATGAATGGGTGGAGCTCAGGGGATCTTTAGGACTCTGAAAGCACTCTGTATGAAACTGTAACAGTGGTTACCCGTCACTACGCATTCATCTAAACCCATAGAACACGCACCGCCCAGCGTGAGCCTGGGTGTGTGGTGGAAGCTGCGTGATCCTGAGCCCAGGTGTGCAGATACAGCCTGAATGATCCTGAGCCCGCGTGCGCAGGTGGAGGCTGCATGATCCTGAGCCCGCGTGTGCAGGTGGAGGCTGTGTGATCCTGAGCCTGCGTGTGCAGGTGGAGGCTGCATGATCCTGAGCCCGGCTGTGCGGTGAAGGCTGCGTGATCCTGAGTCCGGGTGTGCGGATACAGCCCGCGTGACCCTGAGCCCGGGTGTGCGGATATAGCCCACGTGACCCTGAGCCTGGGTGTGCAGGTGGAGGCTGCATAATCTTGAGCCCAGGTGTGCAGGTGGAGGCTGCATGACCCTGAGCCCGGGTGTGTGGATACAGCCCACGTGACCCTGAGCCCAGGTGTGCGGATACAGCCTGCGTGACCCTGAGCCCAGGTGTGTGGACAGAGCCTGCGTGACCCTGAGCCCAGGTGTGTGGACAGAGCCTGCGTGACCCTGAGCCCGGGTGTGTGGATACAGCCTGCGTGACCCTGAGCCCAGGTGTGTGGATACAGCCTGCGTGACCCTGAGCCCAGGTGTGCGGATACAGCCTGCGTGACCCTGAGCCCAGGTGTGTGGATACAGCCTGCGTGACCCTGAGCCCGGGTGTGTGGATACAGGCTGCGTGATCCTGAGCCCAGGTGTGCAGGTGGAGGCCGTGTGATCCTGAGCCCGGGTGTGTGGATACAGCCTGCGTGATCCTGAGCCCGGGTGTGTGGATACAGCCTGCGTGACCCTGAGCCCGGGTGTGTGGATACAGCCTGTGTGATCCTGAGCCCGGGTGTGTGGATACAGCCTGCGTGATCCTGAGCCCAGGTGTGCGGATACAGCCTGTGTGACCCTGAGCCCGGGTGTGTGGATACAGGCTGCGTGATCCTGAGCCCAGGTGTGAGGTGGAGGCCGTGTGATCCTGAGCCCGGGTGTGTGGATACAGCCTGCGTGACCCTGAGCCCAGGTGTGCGGATACAGCCTGCGTGACCCTGAGCCCGGGTGTGTGGACAGAGCCTGCGTGATCCTGAGCCCGGGTGTGTGGACAGAGCCTGCGTGATCCTGATGAGTCGATGTGGGGCGGCTGACTGCAGCTCGTGCACCACAGTGGAGGGGGGCACTGACGGGGTCAGGGGAAGCTGTGTGGTGGGAGGTGCTCAGAGTCTACAGGAACTCTCTGCCGATCCATTTTGCTGTGAACCTAAAATGCTCTAAAAATTACAAGTCTTTTTTTTTTTTTTAAATTCCTTTCTATATGATTCCCACTGTATGAAGCAGAAAACCAAGTGAAGCCAGTGGGCAGCAGGTGCTTTCTGAGCTGCTGCAGGCCTGACTCATGTGGATTTGTCAGGTGGTTCATGGAAGGTCAGCACATTTCATGCACTTTACTATGCGTGCTATACTAGGAAAAACAGACCAAGAGAACAGAAAAAGAATTTCCCTGAGAAACGCGTCCCAAACGAAAGGCTCATCAGGTCAATGAAGAGAGCCCCACCTAGCGGCATTTCAGAACCGTCGCTTCAGAACATCAAAGAAATCATCCCAAAAGGCCTGAGATTTTAAAAACAGAGATCAAAACACACTGGCATTCAACGTCTCTTGCTGGTGGACCCGGAGCAGATGCTCCCCACATTCCATGGGGTGCCTGTCTCAACCCCTTGGCAACCATCCCAGGGGGAAGGGGCAGGAGTTTCTCTCTCCCAGACCCTTTCTCTAAATACAGTCTCAGCGTGTCCCCAGCAAACCAAAGGAGGGGCCTGTGACCTCGCAGGGTGCACGGAGGCAAGCAGAGGAGACAGAGTCCTCGCAGAACATGACTGTCGCTGCGGGCAGGAAGGGTGGCCCGTGAGTTTATTTCCATCTTTGCAGTTTTCTAAGAAAGGCAATCAAGACTTCACCAAAACAGTAACAGTCGGAAGCTACATTCACAGATTTCCACCAAACCTGGCAGGCTGGGTGGCGGGCGGGAGTGGAGGCCGTGGGCCAAGCTTGCAGCGGGACCAGGGCTGATATGAAAACTTCAACCAAGGCGGTATGGGGAGAACAAAGGAGAATAAACAAAATTTAAACAAACATAACCCATGATAAATCAATCAATCAAAATAAAGGGTTTTTTAAAAGTAAGATAAATACAGCCAGGTGTAGTGGCTCACACCTCTAATTCAAGCACTTTGGGAGGCCAAGGCGGGTGGATCACCTGAGGTCAGGAGTTCGAGATAAGCCTGGCCAACATGGCAAAACCACGTCTCTACTAAAAATACAAAAATTAGCCGGGCGTGATGGTGGGCACTTGTAACTCCAGCTACTCGGGAGGCTGAGGCAGGAGAGTAGCTTGAACCCAGGAGGCGGAGGTTGCAGTGAGCCCAGATCGCGCCACTGCACTCCAGCCTGGGTGACAGAGCGAGACTCCATCTCAAAAAACAAACAAACAAACAAAAGGTAAGATAAATACGAAATACAAAATAAGAGGCAGGAAGAGCCCAAAGCATCAGAAATGTGCCAGTTATAATGGGCCAAAATCCCCTCTTGTGTCTCCAGAAGTATTTGAAAAATACGTTAGGATCTGCCTCACAGACATGCTCCCAGGACACTCGACAGCAAGGAGGTACGGCGGGCCCAGCCAGCCAAGGCAGAGGAGGACATCACTGCCACAGCAGGGGGCCTGACTGGCAGCAAAAGGGACGACTCCGGCGAAAAGTCAGCAGGAAACAGGACAGGGGCTGGACCAATGGCCTCCCTCAGCCCCACACCCCACCCAGGCAGGAGCGGTGCCTGGCCCGGGGCAGGCGGGTGGGAGAGCTCACTGAGTGGGCAGCAGGGCATGGCCCCTGATGCTGCAGGTACCCAGGCTGCAGCTGCAGAACCTCAGGTGGGAACCCAGGTACAAAGATCAGCATAGGGTCCCCCAGAACCACCCATCCCCAGTAAGACTCAAGAGGGGTGGGGGCCCCGCAGCTTCCCCCACACAGTGAGTGGGGTCCACGGGGCCTCCTGGGCCTGCAGGTCACAACCTTCACTGACACTCACCCCTAATTAGGGAGCATGTATGTTCCAATTTTCATTTCTTTCTTGAACCAAAGGTATTTAAAAGGCTTTTGAAAAGGTAAGATGAGCCATTTCTCTTTCTCTGTTGTTGGTTTCCAATCCTATTGCAATGCACGCGTCTGCACCGACACTACTCTTTGCAATTTGTATAGGTCTGAGGCACGACCAACTCTAGTAAAGATACCGCGAGTTTTTGGGAAAATACAGACTACATTCTCTGTGGAGAACAAAGCTCTTCACATGGAGAAAATCTTGAAGTCAGTAGAAGAAAAAAAGGAGATAGCCTAGTGGCACCACAAGCAATGGGCAGAGCTGGGCCCCAACCCAGGCAGCCTGAGGTCAGGAGGGCCCCTGGGCAGCGCAGCCCCAGCCCCCACCTGGAGGAACTGTAAACGTGTGTGCCAGGAAGCCCTGAAACAGACAAAACAAAAAACTGACAAAACTGTGGGTAGGACAGGACGGATCCAGTCACTGTGCCAGGTCTTCATGCACACTCTCGGTGGCAGACACAGAGAACCAGCCAGTGGAGAGGAAGAGGGATGTGCTGCGCTGCACCCGCTTCCTGCAGGAAACGCATTCAAGCGCCCAACACACATGCACGTCCACAAAACTGGCCTTCCACCCGGCCACGGCTCGAAGCATTTCCGAAGACTGAAATCACACAGAGGGTGCTCTCTACTGCAGAAGAATCACACCGGCAGTCAGGAAGAAAGGCGCTGACTATACTCCTCTACTAGTAAGTCCACAGCAGGACAAGGAAAAAAGCACAAGGGAAGCGTAAGGATCCATCCACTCTGCTGTGAGGGATCATCGCAAGCCCAACTACCCCTGCCAGCCTAGGTGTGTCGGTGCTGGCCACCCGTCGGCAGCAGCAGCCAGGAGCAGAGGCAGGTGCTCAAGAGCCCGGCCTCCTGGAGATGGCCCAGGAGAAAACAGCCAGGGTGACGTGCTGTCCACAAGAGATGTTCTACCTGTCCCGACCACCTTCCAGCATCCACACTAAGGCTGCAGGACATGGCTGCACCGATCACAAGAATCCCTCACGTGGTCCTCAGGTTCCTGAGAGTGTACTCAATGAAACAGTGAAGCCAAAGAGATCCTAGCACAAAGTATCCCTGCCTGGACTGACCCACGGCCAACCCACACTCAATGGTGAAGACTGGATGCTTCCCCAGGATCAAGGACAAGAGGATGTCTGTTCACACCACTGCTATTCAATGTGGTAAACAAAAAAAACAAAAACAAAAAACAGGCACTAGACTAGAAAGGAAAGATAACACGATCTTGTACCGAAAATCCTAAGTGATCCGCTAAAAAACTATTCAGCATAAAAAATGAGTTCAGCCAGGCTGCAAGATACAAGATCAATACATATCAACTGAGACTAAATTCGACAAAAGAAGTACAAAACTTATACTCTGAGAACTAATAAAATTGTTGAAACAAATTAAAGAAGACCCAAATAAATGGAAAGAAATCCTGTATTCAGGTATCAGAAGACTTTACACTGTTTAGGCGGCAGTGTTCCCCAAAATGACCAACATATTAACGCAATCCCCGTCAAAATCCCAGCTGACTTCTTGGCAGAAACTGACAAGCTGATCCTAAAATTCATATTGCCACTCAAGGGACTTCAAACAGGCAGCATAACACTTTTGAAAGAGAGCAGTTAGAGGACTCACAGTTCCTGATTTCAAAACTGACTGCGAAGCTTCAGTGTCCTGAACAGCGTGGAACGGGCACCAGGACTGTCATGCAGTCACTAAGCCAAACTGAGGATCCAGAAATGAGCTTTTAGGTTTACGGTCAATCGATTTTCAGCAAGGGCACCAAGAGGATGCCAACTGGCAAAATACAGTGTTTTCAACACATGGTCCTGAGAAAACTGGGTCTGCACGTGCAGGAGTGAAGGCAGGCCCTTACCTTACATCACATGCAAACGCTGACTCAATATGGACCAAAACCTACTGGAAAGAGAGGAAGGCGCAAAACTCCAAAAAATCATAAGCACAAATCTTCACGATTTGGACTGGATTAGGCAACATTTGTTAGTTATGATACCAAAAGCACAGCCATCAAGAGACTAAATAGGTAAACTGGATACTATCAGAATTTAAAACTTTCATGCTCCAAAGGATACCAGCGAAAAATAAAAAGACAAAAGAAAATGAAAAGAACGCATGAAATGGCTGAAAATGTCCTATAAATCACACATCCGATAAAAGACTTGTACCTAAAACACATAAAATCACACATCCGATAAACGACTTGCACCTAAAATATATAAAATCACACATCCGATAAAAGACTTGTACCTAAAACACATAAAGAACTTTTTCAACTCAATCATAAGACAAATAACCCAGCAGACATTTCTCCAGTTTGTGGTGAACTGGCACTTTGACAAAACGCAGTGAGAATGTCACTACAATATCCAACTGCTATAAATGTGTTATTTCTGCCTCCATCTCACTGAGGCCATCAAGCAATGGCTGTGGATCCTGTGGGATCCACTGGGTTCTCCCCAAACAGCCCTGGCAGAGTCTGCAGGACACCCAGGAGGGGACTCAGGGCACAATTCCTCCTGGAAAGCAGCCTGGGCTGGGCGTGCAGGGTGACGAGGAAGTGGCAGGCCATGAGGTCCATGGCTGAGTCAGTGCCCTCCACCCTAGCACCACCATCCCCATCTCTGGGACCCGCCGCACGCTCAGCAGCATCCGCGGTGGGAAATACCATTCTGCAGGGTCTGCGCTCTCGACTCCTTCCCCAGATTCACGTGGAAGCCGCCACCCAGAGTCGGGGTTTTGCCAGCACCTGGAAACACAAAAAAAGACAGATCAGCCAAAACTTGGAGATCTGCATTTACAACCCTTTCCTAACATCCACAGACACAAAGTGAGAACAAAGCGGGGGTCAGCACTCATGGGGGAAGCAGCAGGTCGGCCCCCCGCACCTCCGTCACTGAGCCAGGAACCCCAGTGGGGGAAGCATCTCTCACTCTGCCCAGCCAGCAGGGTTGAGGGTGGGCCAACTGCACTTTCCGCATTTTCTTTTTTTTTTTGAGACGGAGTCTCCCTCTGTTGCCCAGGCTGGAGTGCAGTGGTCCCATCTCCACTCACTGCAAGCTCCGCCTCCTGGGTTCACGCCATTCTCCTGCCTCAGCCTTCCAAGTAGCTGGGACTATAGGTGCCCGCCACCACGCCCGGCTGGGATTACAGGCACTTTCTGCATTTTCTAACCATGTCCCTAACACACTGCAAGTCCAGAGTGGACGCTGTCAAATGGCTGCCGGGCGAGAACACAGATGTACCTCCAAACCTCTGCAAGTGGTGCACACACAGCATGGGCTGGCCGTCCCCCTTGCCCCAGGCCAGCCCACTCAGATATCACTCCTGCATGGTGACCACATGTGAACACATCCACCTCCCTGCTGGACTGCAGGGGACGCAGGTACCATCCCATGTGCCCCAAGGCACTGCAACCAGCCAGTCTGCAGAAGGCCCCCACGCCTCAGTCCACCCACCCATGGGGAGGCTGCAGCTGAACCTGCTGGACACTCTACTCCGAAGCTCTGCCAACTGACAGCATGCCTACGACGTCCACCACATTCTGCCCTGCAGGGCTTCGGGGTTAAGACCTGGCCCTGGTACCTCTGGAAACATCAGGTGGACATTTGGATTGTTCACCAGGTTCACCAGCCCGATCGCTGCAGCCTGATCTCCCAATGAGCATGGTGGACATGTGGATTGTTCACCAGGTTCACCAACCCAAACGCTGCGGCCTGATCTTCCAACGAGAACAGTAAGGTGAGGCCCCAGGCATGCCCAAAGATGGGGAGAGCTGGAAAGTGCCCCCCGCCCCGCAGCGTCGGCCCTCAGTGGTTGGCACAGGGGCCAGTGCATTTGTGACAAAGCACAGACACAGGACTGGAGGCTGCTGCAATCGGGACGCGCAGACAACCTTGGCCACTTGGGGGAAGGCAAGTGTGTAGGGCCTGTCGGAGGACACTGGAAGGATAGGATGCAGAAGCAGAAAGCCAATCGCTGGAGCCTGGGGCCAGGCCCTCCAGGGAAACCATGAGGCAGGGACCTCAGCGTCATCCAGGGGCAGCCACCAGCACAGACAAGGCAGAACAGGCACGGCCTCTGGCTTCACAATGAATGTAACTGAATCCCAAACAAATACTAACAACACTCTTTAAAGACTCCAGTAAAATGATTCTAAAGTTCAGTTGGAAGCAAAAAGGAATTAGAGCAGCCAAGAAAAGTTTTGAAGAGAGCAAGGGGCAGCTACTGGGCCCGTCCGGAAACTCAGAGCTGAACAGGGTCAGGTGGCACTCAGCTTTTCCTGGTGGCAGCAGAGGCAAAGCCCGGGCCTCCTTCAGGCTGAGGCCCAGAGCCGGCCTCCTGGTGGGTAACGTGGCCACAGGGGTGGCCGGCAGCAGCAGCAGGGCACCAGCACTGAGCACAGGCCTCCAACAAAGGTGGTGCCGGGACGGGGGCAGTGCCTGGAGACTACCTAGGTTGTCACAACTGGGATCTATGTACTAGTTTTCTGTGGCTGCCATAAAAATTGCCACAAACCTAGTGGCTTTCAAGAAGCTGTAGAAGGTCCGGGCGCGGTGGCTCACGCTTGTAATCCCGGCACTTTGGGAGGCCGAGGTGGGTGGATCACGAGGTCAGGAGATCGAGACCATCTTGGCGAACATGGTGAAACTCTGTCTCTACTAAAAATACAAAATTAGCCAGGCGTGGTGGCGGGTGCCTGTGATCCCAGCTACTCAGGAGGCTGAGGCAGGAGAATCGCTTGAACCCAGGAGGTGGAGGTTGCAGTGAGCAGAGATGGTGCCACTGCACTCCAGCCTGGGTGACAGAGCAAGACTCCGTCTCAAAAAAATAAAAATAAAAATAAAAATAAAATAAAGTAAAAAAGAAGCTGGAGTGGTGGCCGGGCATGGTGGCTCACACCTGTGGTCCCAACACTTTGGGAGGCCGGAGCAGGAAGATCGCCCAACCCAGGAGTTCAATACCAGCCTGGGCAACACGGGGAGACCCATTTCTTTCTTTCTTTCTTTCTTTTTTTTTTTTTTGAAACAGAGTTTCGCTCTGTCACCCAGGCTGGAGTGCAGTGGCGTGATCTTGGCTCACTGCAAGCTCTGCCTCCTGGGTTCATGCCATTCTCCTGCCTCAGCCTCCCGAGTAGCTGGGACTACAGGTGCCTGCAACCACGCCCGGCTAATTTTTTGTGTTTTTAGTAGAGACGGGGTTTCACTGTGTTAGCCAGGATGGGGGGAGACCCATTTCTACAAAAAAAAACTGAAAAAAATTAGCTGGGTGTGGTGGCACCTGCTTGTGGTCCTACTACTCAGGAGGCTGAGGTTGGAGGATCACTAGAGCCCGGGAGGTCGAGGCTGCAATGAGCTGAGATCGTGCCACTGCACTCCAGCCTGGGTGACAGAGCAAGACCCTGTCTCAAAAAAAAAAAAAAAAAGAAGCTAGAACAGGCCAGGCATAGTGGCTCACATCTGTAATCACAGCACTTTGAGAGGCTGAGGCAGGAAGACTGCTTGAGCCCAGGAGTTCAAGACCAGCCTGGACAACATAGCAAGATCCCATCTCTACAAAAAAAAAATGAGCGGGGTATGGTAGGGCATGCCTGTGGTCCCAGCTACTCAGGTGGCTGAGGCAGGCAGATCGTTTGAGTCCAGAAGGTGGAGGCTGCAGTGAGCTGTGATGCACCTCTGCACTCCAGCCTGAGCAACACGGTGAGAACCTGTCTGAACAAATAATAAACTAAACAGAAGCTGGAGCAGGTCGCAGTGGTGTCTCCTTGTGGGGGCTGGAGAGGACCTGGCAGGGCCACAGTGAGGTGCCTGCTGATATGAGAATCCAGAAGAGAGGCCAGGGAGAAACGCAGGACTCAGGAGAGACCCATCCTGGAATAAGGGGGCTTTGAGCAGCACTGATGAGCCAATTCTAAATTCTGCAGAAATCTGGCCCAGGCCTCCCCAGGCTGAGCTCCAGGTGCCTGCAACTCCGACCCTCCCTCAGAGTTCTTTGTTTTGTGAGCAGTGTGTATTCTTTTTTTTTTTGAGACGGAGTCTCGCTCTATCGCCCAGGCTGGAGTGTAGTGGTGCGATCTCGGCTCACTGCAACCTCCGCCTCCCGGATTCAAGCAATTCTCCTGCTTC
Source organism: Homo sapiens (assembly GCF_000001405.40). Lineage (NCBI taxonomy): Eukaryota > Metazoa > Chordata > Mammalia > Primates > Hominidae > Homo > Homo sapiens. Next base: position 105,289,753 of record NC_000014.9, read on the forward strand.
AGCCTCCTGAGTAGCTGGAACTACAGGTGCGTGCCACCACGCCCAGCTGATTTTTGTATTTTTACTAGAGATGAGGTTTCACCACGTTGGCCAGGCTGGCCTTGAATTCCCGACCTCAAGTGATCCACCCACCTCGGCCTCCCAAAGTGCTGGGATTACAGGCGTGAGCCACCACGCCCCGCCTGTTTTTTCTAAGCGTTCGAATTAAGATCACCATTCTGTGTAGCCCCTGGCATGCTGGTCTCCAGCACATGCTCCCTCACCAACTTTCACTTTAGAAAAAGAAAAATCTCACTATATTCTAATTAGTGTATATAATGCTTTTAATAAATAACTCATATAACACTACATTAGAAAAAGGACAATGATCAAAGTATAAAAAGCCAGCTGGGTGCAGTGGCTCACGCCTATAACCCCAGCACTTTGGGAGGCCGATGCGGTTGGATCACCTGAGGTTGGGAGTTCGAGACCAGCCTAACCAACAAGGAGAAACCCCGTGTCTACTAAAAATATGAAATTACCCAGGCATGGTGGCACATGCCTGTAATCCCAGCTACTCAGGAGGCTGAAGCGGGAGAATCACTTGAACCTGGGAGGCAGAGGTTGTGGTGAGCCGAGATCGCGCCATTGCACTCCAGCCTGGGCAACAAGAGCGAAACTCCATCTCAAAAACAAATAAATAAAAAGCCCCTGAAGCCCCACCTTCCAAGAACAGGGGACGCCGTACAGCCTCCATTATAGCCACGTTTCCCTGCCTAGGTACAGTGGGCTGCAGGCGTGCTTCTGACAGAACAGGGCCACAGTGAGATGCCACGTTAAATTACAGTGATGATTTCGATTCTGGTTGTGTTTTACGCAATCTCTTCACTCCTTGACCCATACCCATCAGCTTGCACCACAGCACACTGCAAAGCTGCATGCGTCAGCAGCTCCACGCTCCACCTGCCACCTCTGCCCTCCCTCCTCCATCACTCTGTCTTGCACCCTCCAGCCTCCCATACCCTCCTCACACCCCAGGACCTCTGTTTCCTGTCCCTGTGTTGTTCTCCCTGTCCCCCAACACCACAGTCACCCTCCCTGGGGCCACGCTGCTGCACCTGCTCTGGAAGCGCCTCCTGGCTTCTGCTTGCCTCACACCCTGGTGCGTGCACACTTGCAGGCACACACACACAGGACACATGTGGACAGTGTGAAACCTCAGAACACTAACCCACAGGGAGGATGAAAGAGGAAAGTGCCACCTCTGGCTGAAACTGCCAGGATGCCCTCTACTTCTAAAAACATTTGGTATTTTCCATAGCGTGTTTCTATAACAAAAAATATGTGCTAGTTCCCGTTAGCTGGAACTGACATGTGGAAGGGGCCAGGTCTTGTGGGGCCTGGCCAAGACTGCCCCCCTGTGTACAGCAAGGGAGGACCTGCGGTTCCACCAGAGCCAGAGCAGGGCCAGAGGCCGCAGGGGCACCTCTGAGCTCCGACAAAGCCAGCAACACCCCATACCGCCGAACAGACAGAAAGGCGGGCCAGGGGCCCTCCATGTCCTGAAAGACCCAGCACAGCACTGTCCATTTCACACCAGGATTCTTCCAACATGAGAAAGCAATAACCTTTAATATTCACGTGCTCATTCAACTTAACTGGGGGCGGGCTCAGTGGCTCATGACAGTAATCTCGGCATTTTGGGAGGCCGATGTGGGTGGGTCACTTGAGGTCAGAAGTTCAAGACCAGCCTGGCCAACAGGGCGAAACCCCGTCTCTACTAAAACATACAAAAAAAAAATTAGCCAGGCATGGTGGTGTGCTCCTGTAGTCCCAGCTACTCGGGAGGCTGAGGCAGGAGAACTGCTTGAACCCAGGAGATGGAGGTTGCAGTGAGCCAAGACTCTGTCAAAAAAAAATTTTTTTTTAACTGGAGACTTTCTGTTGCTGCTGTGAAACTTCCTTTTTTTAAGAGACAGGGTCTGGCCGGGCGTGGTGGCTCACGCCTGTAATCCCAGCACCTTCGGAGGCCAAGGCGGGTGGATCACCTGAGGTCAGGAGTTTGAGACCAGCCTGGCCAACATGGCGAAACCCCGTCTCTACTAAAAACACAAAAATTAGCCGGGCATGGTGGCACATGCCTGTAATACCAGCTACTTGGGAGGCTGAGGCAGGAAAATCGCTTGAACCCGGGAGGCGGAGGCTGCAGTGAGATGAGATTGCGCCATTGCACTCCAGCCTGGGCAACAAGAGAGACACTCCATCTCAAAAAGAAAAAAAAAGAAGTCTCACTCTGTCACCCAGGCTAAAGCGCAGGGGCACCATCACGGCTCACTGCAGCCTCAACCTCTCGGACTCAAGGAATCCTCCCACCTCAGCCTCCCAAATAGGCGGGACCACAGACATGCGCCACCACGCCTAGCTAATGTTTTCTTATTTTTTGTTTTCTTTGTTTGTTTTTTTGAAGACAAGACAGAGTTTCGCTCCTGTCGCCCAGGCTGGAGTGTAATGGCACGATCTTGGCTCACTGCAACCTCCACCTCCCGGGTTCAAGCGATTCTCATGCCTCAGTCTCCCAAGTAGCTGGGATTACAGGCGCCCACCACCATGCCCAGCTAATTTTTGTATTTTGGGGTTTTTTCTTGTTTTGTTTTTTTAGTTTTTGTAGAGACAGTTTCACTATGTTGCCCACGCTGGTCTCAAACTCTTGACCTCAAGTGATCCTCCCACCTTGGTTTCCCAAAATCCTGGGATTACAAGCATGAGCTACCAAACCTGACTGGAAACTTCTTTTAAGGGGAGACACCTGTAGGAGGCCTGGCTGGCTGGGCAGTAATGGATGGAGAGGAATTCAGGGGTCCCACAGGTGAGTGCCCAAAGGAGGCTGGACCAGACCGCAGTGCATCCCTGAGAGCTGGGGACGGGGACCCGGGAACACAGAGCGTGTGCCTACTGGTGGGGCTGGATGCAGTAGCATCAGACATCTGGGAGGAGCACTGACAAACAGGGCCAAGCACGGCAGCCCACACCCCTTCCCAGGCGCAGACCCTTCCCATGCGCACACCCCTTCCCAGGCACAGACCCTTCCCAGGAGCAACCCTTTCCCAGGCCCACACCCCTTCCCCAGGCCCACATCCCCTCCCCAGGTCCAGACCCCTTCCCAAGCCCAGGCCCCTTCCCCAGGCCACTGCGGAGGAGCTGGTTTTGTAGTGATTACAATTTGGTTACGGAAAACAGGACGTGTGTCACGCTGCAGGCTAACCAGCAGCTTCCTCCCTCACCCAGATGGCAACGGGACAGAATTCACCCGTTTCCTAAGAGCAGGCACCTTCAGCCACAACTTAGGGTTCTGGGGGTCATGGAGCAGAGGCAGAAGCCTGGAGCCTTCCACCCTCAGGACTAGAGCCCCGCCAGGAGGCCAGGCGCATGCTCAGAACCCCAGGCCGCAGGGAGAGGCTGGCCGGTCACATCCTTCTCTGAGGCAGAGGGAGCTTCCCAGCAGGCGAGGGCAACTCCACCACCCATGTCCCCCTCCAGGGCCAGCGCCAGGTGACATGCAGCCATGTCACAAATTAGGTCCGGCTGCATCGTGACCCCAAACGGAAAACAGCAGCACTCACGGACACCCCAGCTTCGAAGTTCTAACTGTGAAGCCACTGAAAGTTGTGATTACGGGAAACGCTCCCCACCCCCACAAGTTCTGGTGACACTGAGGTGTGCTGCTCCTTGCACAGGACGAGGAGGGACCCCTGCAAGCAGGAGCCCAGGATGTCTGGTGTGTGGGCGCCATCACCATCACCTGCTGGCAGAGGGAAGCCTCAGGGCACACACAGTGCAGGACACTGATGTGGGCTCACAGGGAAGCCCCGCCTTGCCTCAGTGGAGCAGACGGCCTCCTCAGGGCACTGCCAACGGCCCCCAACTCCACCGTCTGCCTGGCCCCTCCAGCCACGCTGAGCCTCAGTCCTCACCCACCCTTCTCTCTGCACAGTCTCTGCTCGGGTGCCCCGGGACGCTGGAGCACCAGTGTGGTTTCCCCCGTGGGGCCTGGCTTCCAAGGTCAGGACCCTCTGGGGACTCTCCTGAGGCCTCTGGTCACCTGCCCTGATGCCTTAGTTAAATATTCCAGAGTAAACTGCGAAGCTGTATCAGGCTTAGTTCTCAATTAATAGGCAAAACACCTAGGAAAGACAGTGGCCTTGGGACTAGAAAACGACAGCTCAGAGAGAAAGCTCAGCTTTCAAGATGAAGCTGGAGGAAGGGGCGGCTGGGGCCTACTTGTGTGCCAGGGAAACTGAGAAGCCACCAAGGTTTCCAGCCCCCTGTGATCACCACTGTGACGAGGGAGGAAGGATGCCAAGTGGGCACCTAGAGAGCCTGCCTGGGAGACAGAGGGGCTGCCCAGAGCAACAGATCCCCTCTCTCCTCCCCACTCTCGGCCCAGGCACCACCTGCGCCGGTCCCCAGGGGCTAAGAACCCGCCGCCTCGCAGCACTTCCCCCAGGACCACCACAGTTGGTTGCTGGGCCTGCGCCTCCCTCCAGAGAGTGTGCCTGGGCTCAGAGGCGTCTTGGGGCCACCTGACAGCGCTGGCTCTGAGCTTGTTCTGACAGCACCCGGGTGACAGACTTCCAGCTCTGCACTGCTCCACACCACCATCCTCCCCCGGCAGGGCACAGTGAGGGCAGTGCGCTGTCACCAGGCCCGGATGCACTTAACACTGTGCCTGCCCGGGAAACCCTGCGTCTGCTGCCATGACAACTTGCTTTCATTACTGTTGTTATCATCCCAACAGACATCCAAGTCTTGGCAACTGTGACACAGCTGCAAACTCTGTGCCCAGCAGTCCTAGGAAGATACCCAGGGAGTATGAGCATGGAAGACGATGGGGAGGGAAGAGCAGGAGAGAAAACTCAATGAAGCCCAAGCCAGTTCTTAGAAAAGATCAAAAACACGGATCAACTTCTAGCAAGAGAGACAAAGGGAAAAAAAGACACAAAACACCAACATCTGAAAGGAAAAAGGAGGCCACTGTGGACCCCGCAGATATCAAAAGGATAAGGGAATGCTTCGAACAACTCTCTGGGCAAATTCAACAACTAGGTCAAGTGGACCAATTCCTCAACACAAGCGGCTAATTCACCCCAGGTGAAACACAGCATCTTAAATATAACTAGAACCTCAGTGATGAAAGAAGCCGAAACCACAGTGCAGAATCTTCTGAGAAAGAAAGCTTTGGGACCAGATGGCTACGCTGGTGAATTCTACCAAACATTTCAGAAAGAAAGAACACCAACTCTACATAATGTCTTCCAGAAAATAGAAGAGGAAACGTTTCCCAACCCATTCCATAAGGAGCAGAACCCTGATACCCAAGACAAGGACGTTACAGGAAAAACTACAGGCCAATATCCCACGCAAGCATCAGCAGGAACCCTCAACAGAACATCCGGCGCTGAGCAAAGCAGCTCATGCCGCTAATCCCAGCACTCTGGGAGGCCAAGGTGGGAGGATGCCTTGAGGTCAGAAGTTCGAGACCAGCCTGAGCAGCAAAGCAAGACCACATCTCTACAAAAAAAAAAAAAAAAAAAAAAAAATTGGCGTTGGCTCACACCTGTCATCCTAGAACTTTGAGAGGCCAAGACGGGAGAATTACTTGAGCCCAGGAGTTCCAGACGAGCCTGGTCAACATGGCAAAACCCCATCTCTACAAGAAAAATACAAAAATTAGCTGGGTATAGTAGGGCGCACCTGTAGTACCAGCAACTCAGGAGGCTGAGCTGGGAGGGTCACTGGAGCCCAGGGGGTTACGACTGCAGTAAGCCATGACCACTGCACTCCAGCCAGGGTGACTGAGCAAGACCCTAGACCCTGTCTCCCCAACCAAAAAAAAATTTTTTTAATTAGCTGGGCATGGTAGTGCATGCCCGTAGTCCTAGCTACTCTGGAGTCTCAGGTGGAAGGATCTCTTGAACCCAGAAGTTCCAGGCTGCAGTGACCTGTGATCACACCACTGCACTCCAGTCTGGGCAACAGTGAGACTTTGTCCCAGAAAAAAAAAAAAAAGCTGGGTGCGGTGGCTCACGCCTGTAATCCCAGAACTTTCAGGGGCCAAGGCAGGTGTATCACTTGAGATTAGAAGTTCAAGACCAGCCTCACCAACATGGTGAAACCCCATCTCTACTACAAATACAAAAACCAGCCGGGTATGGTAGTGGGCTCCTATGTAATCCCAGCTACTCAGGAGGCTGAGGCAGGAGAATCGCTTGAACCCAGGAGGGGGAGGTTGCAGTGAGCCCAGATTGCGCCACTGCACTCCAGCCTGGGCAACAGAGCGACACTCTATCTCAAAAAAAAAAAAAAAAAAAAAACTCAAGGAGTGTATTAAAAACTCTTAGGGGCCAGGTGTGGTGGCTCACACCTGTAATCCCAGCACTTTGGGAGGCCAAGGCGGGTGGATCGCCTGGCCAACATGGCAAAACCCCATCTCTACTAAAAATACAAAAACTGCGGCCGGGTGCAACAGCTCACACCTGTAATCCCAGGACTTTGGGAGGCCGAGGTGGGCGGATCACGAGGTCAGGAGATTGAGACCATCCATGTAACCCCGCCTCTGCTAAAAATACAAAAAATTAGCCGGGCGTGGTGCTGGGCGCCTGTAATCCCAGCTACTTGGGAGGCTCAGGCAGGAGAATGGCATGAACCTGGGAGGCAGAGCTTACAGTGAGCCGAGATTGTGCCACTGGACTCCAGCCTGGGTGACAGAGCAAGACGCCGTCTCAAAAAAAAAAACAAAAAACTTAGCTGGGTGCGGTGGCGGGTGCCTGTGATCCCAGCTACTTGGGAGGCTGAGGCAGGAGAATCTCTTGAACCTGGGAGGCGGAGATTGCAGTGAGCCAAGATGGTGCCACTGCACTCCAGCCTGGGCAACAAGAGCAAGACACCAGCTCAAAAAAAAAGAAAAAAAAAAAAAAACCTCTTAGAACAAGTAAGTTTAGCAAAGCCATAGGAAACAGGACAACACACAGAAATCAACCATATTTATATAAACAAGCAATGAAGAGTTGAAAACTAAATTAAAAAAATTCCACTTATAATAACTCCTAATAGAGCTTAGGTACACATCTAAAAAATGTCCAGAGGGCCAGGCACGGCAGCTCATGCCTATAATTCCAGCACTTTGAGAGGCTGAAGTGGGGGGGGATCACTTGAGGTCAGGAGTTCGAGACCAGCCTGGCCAACATGGTGAAACCCTGTCTCTACTAAAAATACAAAAATTAGCCAGGCGTGGTGGTGGGCTCCTGTAATCACAGCTACTTGGGAGGCTGAGGCACGAGAATCGCTTGAACCCAAGAGGCAGAGGTTGCAGTGAGCCGAGGTTGCACCACTGCACTCCAGCCTGAGTGACAGAGCGAGACTCCATCTCAAAAAAAAAGTCCAGAAGCTGTATGCTGAAAACTACCCAACACTGACAGACTATATCAAAGAAAATCTAAATGAATGCAAACATACACTGTGTTCCATGGACTACAAGATTCAACATAGAAAAAATGTCAGCTGGGCACAGTGGCTCCCACCTGTAATCCCAGCACTTTGGGAGGCCGAAGAGGGCGGATCACGAGGTCAGGAGTTCGAGACCAGCCTGGCCAATGTGGTGAAACCCCGTCTCTACTAAAAAATATACAAAAATTAGCTGGGTGTGGTGGCGTGTGCCTGCAGTCCCAGCTACTCAGAAGGCTGAGGCAGCAGAATCACTTGAACTCGGGAGGCGGAGGGTGCAGTGAGCTCAGATCGCGCCACTGCACTTCAGCGTGGGTGACAGGGTGAGACTCTGTCTCAAAAAAAGAGAAAGAAAGAAAAAATGTCAGCTCTCCCTAAATATATCAAGAGGTTTAATGCAATTCCAATGAAAACCCCACCAGGACTTTTGTACAGGTTGAACATCCCAAATCCAAAAATCTGAGATTATAAATGCTCCAAAACGGCCCGGTGCAGTGGCTCACGCTGGTAAACCCAGCACTTTGGGAGGCTGAGGCAGGTGGATCACGAGGTCAGGAGATCGAAACCATCCCGGCTAACACGGTGAAACCCCGTCTCTACTAAAAATACAAAAAATTAGCCGGGCGTGGTGGCGGTCGCCTGTAGTCCCAGCTACTTGGGAGGCTGAGGCAGGAGAATGGCGTGAAGCCAGGAGGCGGAGCTTGCAGTGAGCCGAGATAGTGCCACTGCACTCCAGCATGGGCAGCAAAGCGAGACTCCGTCTCAAGAAAAAAATAAAATAAAAAATAAATGCTCCAAAACATGAAACTTTTTGAGTATCAACACGATGCTCAAAGGAAATGCTCACTGGAGCATCTCAGATTTCAGATTTTTCGATTAGGGATGCTTAACCAGTAATTATAATGCAGATATTCCAAAATCAGAAAACTCTGGTATCCAAAACACTTCTGGTCCCAAGCATTTCAGGTAAGAATATGTGACCTGCAGAGATGCACAAACTTACTCTAAAATTAAAAAGAGAAAGGGAAATTAATAGCCACAACAACTTTGAAAAGGAAGAACAAAGGTTGAGGGACTCACAATATCTGATTTCAGGACAATATAACAGGTATAGTAAAAAAGCGTGTGATGCTGACAAAGGAAAACGGCACCTGATCAACAGGGCAGGACACAAGGCCCAGAGACAGACCTGCACGGACGGGGCCCAGTGAGCACAGCCGAGGGAGCAAAGGCCTTCAGTCTTTCAACAAACGGTGTTGAAACAAGGGGACCTCCAGATAAACAATGAGCCTCAGCCTACAAAGCACACCTTATACAAAACATAGATGGACCACAGATTTAGGCCAGGTGCGGTGGCTCGCGCCTGTAATCCCAGCACTTTGGGAGGCTGAGGCAGGCGGATCACTTGAGGTCAGGTGTTCAAGACCAGCCTGACGAACAGGGTGAAACCCTGTCTCTACTAAAAATACAAAAATTAGCCAAGTGAGGTGGCGCACGCCTGTAATCCCAGGTACTTGGGAGGCTGAGGCACGAGAATCACTTGAACCTGGGAGGCAGAGGTTGCAGTGAAACGAGATTGTGCCACTGCACTCCAGCCTGGGCCACAGAGCAAGATTCTGTCTCAAAAAAAAAAAAAAAGTTAAAACTTCTGCTTTGAGGCCGTGCGCAGTGGCTCACGCCTGTAATCCCAGCACTTTGGGAGGCCGAGGTAGGCGGATCACGAGGTCAGGAGATCGAGACCATCCTGGCTATCACAGTGAAACCCCGTCTCCACTAAAAAATACAAAAAAAATTAGCCGGGCATGGTAGTGGGCTCCTGTAGTCCCAGCTACTCGGGAGGCTGAGGCAGGAGAATGGCGTGAGCCTGGGAGGCAGAGCTTGCAGTGAGCCGAGATCGAGCCACTGCACTCCAGCCTGGGCAACAGAGCAAGACTCCATCTCAAAAGAAAAAAAACTTCTGCTTTGAAAATCACATATACAACAAAGGGCTTGTAACTACAATCCACAAAGAACTCCCAAAACTCAACAATAAGAAAACAACCCAAATAAAAAATGAGAGTCAGGGTGTGGTGGCTCACGCTGTAATCCCAGCAATTCGGGAGGCCAAGGCTGGAGTATCACTTGAGCCCAGGAGTTTGAGACCAGCCTGGGCAACATAGAGACCTTGTCTCTACTAAAAATAAAATAAAATAAATGATCACAGCATGGTGGCATGCACCTGTAGTCTCAGCTACTCAGGAGGTTGAGGCAGGAGAATTGCCTGAGCCTAGGAGTTCAAGGCTGCAGAGAGCCATGACTGGGCCATTGCACACCAGCCTGGGCCACAGAGTGAGATCCTGTCTCGAGATAAATAAAAAAATAAGACTTGAGCACACATTTCAACAAAGAGGATTCGGGCATGGCAAATAAGCACCCTAATAAGGTTGAACATCACTAGCCAGTAGAGAAATACAGAATACCACTATGATGAGATGCCACACACCTGTTAGAACAACCGAAATAAAAACATCGACAACACCAAGTGCTGGTGAAGATGTGGGGCAACTGGTGAGAATGCATAATGGCACAGCCACATCACAAAACAGTTCATGACAGTTTCCCATAGAGTTACACATACAGCTAAGTTCCCCAGAGAAATGAAAACGTATGTTCACACAGAGAGCTGCAAATGAATCCTTTTAGCAGCTCTATTCACAACCACCTGAAACTGGCCACAGTCCAGCTCCTTCCACAGGCTGGGGTCCATCCCCAGCCCGCAATACTGCCCATCACTGAAACGTCCCCTCCGAGGCCTGCAGCAGCCTGAGTGGCCCTAGGGCATCCGCCCGGTAACCACCAAGGCCAAGGGCAGCAGCAATCGGATTCTAAGTACCAGACATTGCTGAAAACAAAACTGCAGGCACAGAGAGTGACAGTGAGGGGCAGCTTGAGGGGCCTTCTGGGCTCCCCAGGCTCTCTTCAACCCTCCCTGTGCTGGCTGCCCTGGCCCACGCGTGTGTCGAGGAAGTCCACGCACGCCACGGGGGTCCACAGGCGCGCGAAGAAGGTCTACATTCTCGCCAAGGGGATCCACACTCGCGCCCAGACGGCGCAGAACCGCGCGCCCCGACAGAGCGTGCGGTACCGAGGCGCTGGTCCCGGCCGCGCCGTCACCGCCTCCAGCCCGCCTAAGCCGCACCGAGAAATCCGCGCAGCGCCAGCCCGCGGGACTCACCGTCCAGGGACACGAACTGGCCCACGGCCGAGGAGCCGCCGCCGCTGCTCTCCACGAACTGCACCTCGGACACGATGATGTTGTCCTCCAGCACTGAGCCGCAGGCGGTGCACACCGCGTCCCCGCGCGCCGCGTCCAGCTCGATGTCCGTGCCGCCGCAACCGCGGCACACGCGGCCCGTCATGCCGGCGACCGCGCGGGCAGCGCCCGGAGCCTCCCAAGACTCTCAAGCCACCCGAGCCTCCGGAGCAGCCCGCGCCGCCCGCCCAGGCCCAGCCGCCCAGGCCTCGCCGCTCTCGCGAGGCCCCGCTCCAGCCGATTCGCAGCCGCAGATTCGCCGCGCGCGCCCGGGCCGCGCCGCCCGCAACGGCCGCGCCCGCGGGATGGGACAGGCACCGGGACCACGGCGGGGACGCGAGGACTGGAGCCGCGACCTCCCCACTGCGAGCGAGCTGGCCTCCCTTGCGGCGCGCCGGCGTCGGAGGGGCGACCTGCGGGGGCTGGGCTTCGGCGGAACCCGAGCGGGGCCTACCGGTGAGCGCAGCCGAGGACTGGCGCTTGGGGGCGGGGCCACGGCGGTGAGCGCAGCCCGGGACTGGAGTTTGGGGCGGGGCCTCGTCGGTGGGCGACACCGGGGACTAGAGCTAAGGGTGGGGCCTCGCGGTGAGTGCAGCCGGGGACGGGACCCAAGGCTGGCGACGGGACCCAAGGCTGGCGACGCGACCTAAGGCAGTGGGCGGGCCCTTGGCGATGAACGCAGTCGGGGACTAAAGCTGGACGCGGGGCAGAGGAGGGTCCTCCTCGGATAGTGAGCGCGGTCTCCAGCGGCGAGCGAGGCCTGGGGTGAGGACTCAGCCGGATGCGGGGCTGAGGGTGGGGGGCGGGGCCTCCCGTGGAGAGACGGCCTGCGAAGGGAACTGGAGCTGTGGGCGGGGGAAGGGGGCGGAGCCTGGGTCTGGACCCGAACTGTGGGCGGGGCTTGAGGCGAGGGGGCCGAGCGTGGTGGGCGGGGCCTTGGCTCCTGAGGGCGACCTGGGACCCAACCCCGGGCTCTGGGAGTGGTGGGCGGGGCCAGGGCAGCTGCGCTGGGGGGCCTGGCCGCAGAGGTGGAGACACCCGCCAGGGGCCACCCTGCCCCGCCCTCCGCATTTGCGGCGTCCGCCGCTCCGCTCGCCCAGGTTCCAGAGCCTCCCCGTGCGCCCCGCTATTCTCCGTTTTCTGTTCCCCTAAAATTCCCACTTTCTAGCAGTCATTCGTGGCCACCTGTGGTTACCCGTGAGTCACCTCGCTGTGCCCCCTGCCCAGAGCGGGAACCCTGGCTGCGCACGCCCTCAAATATCTGCAGGTGCTGTTCACAATCGCCATAGGGCCGGTGACATACCCAGGAATGAGCCTAAAAAGAAATGCGTAACCAGGCGTAGTGGCTCACGCTTGTAATCCCAGCACTTTGGGAGGCCAAGGCAGGCGGATCACGTAAGGTGAGGAGTTCGAGACCAGCCTGGCCAACATGGCGAAACCCCGTCTCCACTAAAAATACAAAAAAATTAGCCAGGCTTGGTGGTGGGCGCCTGTAATCCCAGCTACTCGCGAGTCTGAGACAGGAGAACCACTTGAACCTGAGAGGTGGAGGTTGCAGTGAGCTGAGATCCCGCCATTGCACTCCAGCCTGGGTGACGGGTGACAAGAGTGAAACTCTGTCTCAAAAAAAAAAAAGAGAAAAAAGGAAATGCGGAAGACCCCACCCTCTTTTTTTTCTTTCTTTTTTTTTTTTTTTTGAGACGGAGTCTCTGCTCTGTTGCCCAGGCTGGAGTGCAGTGGTGAGATATCGGCTCACTGCAACCTCTGCCTCCTGGGTTTAAGCGATTCTCCTCTCTCAGCCTCCCGAGTAGCTGGGATTACAGGTATGCACCACCACACCTGGCTAATTTTGTATTTTTAGTAGAGACGGGGTTTCTCCATGTTGGTCAGGCCAGTCTTGAACTCCCGACCTCAGGTGATCCGCCCACTTCAGCCTCCCAAAGTGCTGGGATTACAGGCATGAGCCACCGTGCATGGCCCTATTTCATTAATTTCTGCTCTCATTTTTGTTAGATCCTTCTTTCCACTTAATTTGGTTCAATGTGTTCCCTTTTTCTAGTTTCTTCATTTTTTAAAAATTGAGATAGTGTCTCATTCTGTCACCCAAGGTGGAGTGCAGTAGCATAATCAAGCCTCACTGCAGACTCTACCTCCTGGGCTCAGGTGATCCTCCCACCTCAGCCTCCCGAGTAGCTGGAACTACAGGCATGTGCCACCACACCCAGATAATATTTTTTGTAGAGATGGGTTTTTGCCTCATTTGCCCAGGCTGGTCTGGAACTCCTGGGCTCAAGTGAGCCACCCGCCTTGTCTTCCCAAAGTGCTGGGATTACAGGCATGAGCCACTGCTCCCCGCCCTGTCCTCCCAAAGTGCTGGGATTACAGGCATGAGCCACTGCTCCCCGCCCTTTCTCTAGTTCTTTTTTTTTTTTGAGATAGAGAACACCCAGGCTGGAGTTCAGTGGTGCCATCTCAGCTCACTGCAACTTCCACCTCCCAGGTTCAAGTGATTCTGTCACTTCAGCCTCCCAAGTAGCTGGAATTACAGGCATGTGCCACCACGCCCAGCTAATTTTTGTATTTTTAGTAGAGATGGGGTTTCACCATGTTGGCTAGGCTGGTCCCAAACTCCTGACCTCAAGTGATCCACCTGTCTTGGTCTCCCAAAGTGTTGAGATTCTACACGTGAGCCAATGCACCCGGCCCCTTTTTCTAGTTTTTGTTTTGTTTTGTTTTTTGAGGTGGAGTCTCGCTCTGTCACCCAGGCTGGAATGCAGTGGTGCGATCTTGGCTCACTGTAACCTCCACCTCCCGGGTTCATGCCATTCTCCTGCCTCAGCCTCCCAAGTAGCTGGGACTACAGGTGCCCACCACCATGCCTGGCTAATTTTTTGTATTTTTAGTAGAGACAGGGTTTCACTGTGTTAGCCAGGATGGTCTTGATCTCCTGACCTCGTGATCCACCTGTCTCGCCCTCCCAAAGTGCTGGGACTATGGGCGTGAGCCATCGCGCCTGGCCTTTTCCTAGTTTTTTAAGGTGAAAGATGAAATCATTGATTTAAGATCTCTTTTCCTTTATAAATAGGCATTTTATTGCTATAATTCTCCCTGTAATTACCACTTTAGCTGAATCCTGCACATTTCAATGTGCTGTGTTTTCATTTTCATTCAGCTCAAGATTGTCTCCACTCTTAATTTCCTCCCGGATCCAAGGGTTATTAGGAAGTGTATTGTTTTGTTTCTAAATGTTGGGGATTTTTCAAATATGTATTATTGATCTCTATGCAAAATGCTCTCTGTCCATGATGACATTTCATCCTTATGGCAACACTAGCTTGCAGACACTGTTGTCTCCATTTTATGGAGGGAGCCCTTGAGGATGTGAGGGGTGACAGCCCCAAATCTCATAGCCAGTAGGTAACAAAGCCAGAATCCAATCTGAGGCCATGTGGCCACTGGATCCTTGCTCTCACCTGACAGACTAGAGGGGTTATTTCGTGTGCTCCCTCACCAAAGCCTGTGAGGTGCCTGCAGGTGCAAGGGGCAGCATGCCTCCCAGGCCACAGCGGTGCAGGACAGTCAGGCAGTACAGGACAGTCAGGCTGTACAGGACAGGATTGGCCAGAGGAGCAGAGGGTGGGGAAGACCACACCCACAACGGTAAGAGGTTTAAAGGGTGTGGTTTCAGCCAGGCTCGGTGGCTCAGGACTGTAATCCCAGCACTTTGGGAGGCTGAGGAGGGCAGATCACGAGGTCAAGAGATCAAGACCGTCCTGGCCAACATGGTGAAACCCATCTTTCCAAAAAATACAAAAATTAGCAGGTGTGATGGTGGGCGCCTGTAGTTCCAGCTACTCGGGAGGCTGAGGCAGGAGAATTGCTTGAACCTGGGAGGCGGGAGTTGTGGTGAGGCGAGATGGCGTCATTGCACTTCAGCCTGGACGACAAGAGTGAAACTCCATCTCACAATAAATAAAATAAAATAAAATAAAATATAAAAAAGGGTGAGGCTCTACTGGGCAATGGCCCAAGGTGCGTGCTGCCAGAACTAAGCCTTTGCTCAGATGGGCTGCAGAGGAGGGGTGCTATGGTCTGAATGTGCATTGTATCAGTCTGTTTTCACACTGCTGATAAAGACATACGTGAGACTGGGCGATTAACAAACAAAAGAGGTTTATTGGACCTGTAGTTCCACGTGGCTGCAGAGGCCTCACAATCATGGAGGAAGGCAAGGAGGAGCAAGTCACGTCTTACGTGGATGGCAGCAGGGAGAGAGAGAGCTTCTGCAGGGAAACTCCCTCTTATAAAACCGTCAGATCTCGTGAGACTTATTCGCAATCACAAGAACAGCACGGGAAAGACCTGCCCCCATGATTCAATTCCCTCCCACCAGGTCCCTCCACAATATGTGGGAATTCAAGATGAGATCTGGGTGGGTACACAGAGCCAAATCATATCATGTGTGTTCCCCCAAAGTCCATATGTTGACGTCCTTGCCCCAAGGCGATGGTTTTAGAGAGGTGGGGCCTTTGGGAGATGAGGTCATGAGGGCTGCTTCCCTCATGAGCGGGATTAATGCCCTCAGAAAAGTGGCTGGCTGGGCACAGTGGCTCACATCTGTGATCTCAGCACTTTGGGAGGCTGAGGAGGGAGGATTGCTTGAGTCCAGGAGTTTGAGACCAGCCTAAGCAACATGGCAAAACCCTGACTCTACAAAAACTACAAAAACTTAGCCGGTTGTGGTAGCATGTGTCTGTAGTCCCAGCTACTTGGGAGGCTGAGGTAGGAGGATTGCTTGAGCCCAGAAAGTTGAGGCTGCAGTGAGCTGAGATCACACCACTCCACTCCAGCCTGGGCGACAGATTGAGAACCTGTCTCAAAGAAAAAAGAAACAAGAAAAAAGAAAAAACGTGGCTGGAGGGAGCTTGTCTGCTGCTTCCCCCATGTGAGGATGCAGGAAGAGGGCACTGTCTATGAACCAGGAAGTGGCCCTCACCAGACACGGCATCTGCCAGCACCGTCCTGTGAAATGAATAGTGGTTTATAAGCCACTTGGACTGTGGTGGTTTGCCATTGCAGTGTGAACCAACTGAGGCAGGGAGTAACGCTCCCCACGTGATGTGAAGGCATAAAGAATGGAGCCAGGTTAGAGGGAGAATGCGGAGAACTGCCCTGGGGACCGGTTAGGTGCCCCATGCTGCAAGCGCCCCAGGAAGCTTGGAAACATTTAGGACTGACTGACAAGCTCAAAGAGTCAAGCAAGGGCGGCCAAGGGGCACCAGTGCCCTCAGAGCACCCACACTGGGCACCCAGCACCAGCTTCCTGTGCCCAGGGTCCTCTGTACTCCTCATTCAGCCCTGCAAGGCAGGACCCTCACTCGCACCGCGCCAAAGAGGACGCTGGAAACGTGCAGTGATCTCCGCTCTGGCTGTAAACAGGGAGAGGCTGTGGGCTTGCCCCTAGACCTGACTCCAGCACACAGCAGCAGAGCGGGGCCCAGGCTGGGGGTGTGGGGCAGGAACATTCCTTCATGGGGGCCCCAGAGAGCTGGAAAGTAATGTAGGTGTTGCACTGAAATGAGAGAATTGCTTTAATCTGAACTGAACGTGCTCGTAACACTTAGACCAGGAAGGATTTCCTTTTCTCAGGGCCTGAGAAAAATGACCTGACCAGCAGGGTTAGAGTTTTGAAGGACACGCCTAGGCACCTGCAAACTTCCCCTCCTGGAGGCTTTCTTCATTCATGGTGTCTTTTGTTTTTGGGTTTGTTTTGTTTTGTTTTGTTTTGTTTTGTTTTTGAGACACAGTCTTGCTCTGTCCCCCAGGCTGGAGTGCAGCGGCGCCATCTCGACTCAGTGCAACCTCTGCCTCCCAGGTTCAAGCGATTCTCCTGCCTCAGCCTCCCGATTAGCTGGGATTACAGGTGCATGCCACCATGCCCGGCTAATTTTTTGTATTTTTAGTAGAGATGGGGTTTCACCATGTTGGCCAGGATGGCCTCGATCTCCTGACCTCGTGATCTGCCCACCTCAACCTCCCAAAGTGCTGGGATTATAGGCATGAGCCACCACACCTGGCCTGTTTTTTGGGGGTTTTTTTTGAGACTGAGTCTCGCTGTGTCGCCCAGGCTGTAGTGCAATGGCACGATCTTGATGTACCGCAATCTCTACCTCCCGGGTTCAAGCAATTCTCCTGCCTCAGCCTCCCAAGTAGCTAGGATTACAGGCACCTGCCACTGCGCCCAGCTAATTTTTGTATTTTTAGTAGAGTCAGGGTTCCATCATGTTGGCCAGGCTCGTCTTGAATTCCTGACCTCAAATGATCCATCTGCCTTGGCCTCCCAAAGTGCTGGGATTACAGGCGTGAGCCACCGTGCCAAGCCCCATCGTGTTCTCATCTGTGGTGCTTTGACATCTTGGGGTCTCGTGGACCTAGAGAGGGACTCCCCTCCCAGGGTTAGCTAATTCCTAGAGACAGCTGACCACTTGCCTCTGAGTATGCCTTATTTACTTTATTTTTTCTTTTTTTCTTTTTTTTTTGAGGCAGGGTCTCACTCTGTCACCCAGGCTGGAGTGCAGTGGTATGATCATAGCTCACTGTCGTCTCAAACTGCTGGGCTCAAGAGATCCTTTGGCCCCAGCCTCCCAAAGTACTGAGATCCCAGGCTTGAGCCACCGTGCAGGCTGAGCATACCTTTGATATGCAGAGCAACCATCATGAGTCCCACCTGCCTCCTTTCATCAGGCTCCTGCATTCCTGAACACTAGCCCCCTGCCCTAAATCACCCCAAGGCCAGGTACCAGCTAGCTAGATACCACCCCCAAGCCCAGAGCCCACTGAAATGACCCAGTTCTAATTCTGCTCAGCTTGCCTCCTCTGCCTTGCCTGGAAAATGGCAATAAAGGCTCTTGCCCACCCTTTCCCTTCACCCCCTCCCTGTCCTGACTGGCCCTGGGTGCTTCCCCACGTGCCCCTCCTCCTGGGAACTGTGAGTAATAAACTCCTCTTTCAAAGGCGGTTGTCTCTGTGTCTGTCATCTTATCACATTTGATCAAAATAACTCCTGGGTACTCAATAGCCCTGTCCCCCCATGCAGCAGTCAGCAGGGGAAATGAGAAAGCAAGCTTCTATGGCCTTCTCACCTTCTCACCTGCTGCCTGGCCTTGGGCAAGTGCTTCAATCTCTCTAGGTTTCTACTTCCTCATCTGCATAACAGGGATAAGAATAGCCCACCCTAGCACTGCGGAGTATGATGGAGGACATGTGTCTGGTAGACAGACTGCTCAGAAGGCAAGTCCCTGTTCCTGTCTGTTCTCCGCAACTCGAGTGAGACTTGGTGAGGCTCCAGTCCACCTTCCACCACAGAAGTCAAGGGCCAGGCCAGGACAGTGGCTCACGCCTGTCATCCCAGCACTTTGGGAGGCAGAGGTGGGAGGATAGCTTGAGCCCAGGAGTTCGAGACCAGCCTGGGCAACAAAGTGAGATCCCTGTCTCTACAAAAAATTTAAAAATTAGCTGTGCGTGGTGGTGCGTGCCTCTAGTTCAGCTACTTGGGAGGCTGAGGCAGGAGAATCGCTTGAACCCAGGTGACTGAGGCTGCAGTGAGTTATGATCACACCACAGCACTCCAGCCTGGACCATAGAGTGAGACTCTGTCCCCCCCAAAAAAACAATTAGGCCGGGCACAGTGGCTCACACCTGTTATCCCAGCACTTTGGGAGGCTGAGGTGAGAGGATTGATTGAGCCCAGGTGTTTGAGACCAGCCTGGGAAATATGGCAAAACAGCATCTCTAACAAAAATACAAAAATTAGCCAGGTGTGGTGGTACATGCCTGTGGTCCCAGCTACTCGGGAGGCTGAAGAGGGAGGATTGCCTGAGCCCAGGAGACAGAAGTTGCAGTGAGCTGAGATGGCACCATTGTACTCCAGCCTGGGCACGACAGAGGCAGATTCTGTCTTTTTTTTTTTTTTTTTTTGAGATGGAGTCTTGCTCTGTCGTCCGGGCTGGAGTGCAGTGGTGCAATCTTGGCTCACTGCAACCTCCGCCTCCTGGGTTCAAGTGATTCTCCTGCCTCAGCCTTCTGAGTAGCTGGGATTACAGGTATGAGCCACTGTGCCCAGCTAAGTTTTGCAGTTTTAGTAGAGACAGGGTTTCACCATGTTGGCCAGGCTGGTCTGGAACTCCTGACTTCATGATCCGCCTGCCTCAGCCCCCCAAAGTGCTGGGATTACAGGCATGAGCCACTGTGCCCAGCCATGACTTTGTCTCTAAATAAATAAATAATTTTTTAAAACCCTTAGGGACCCAGCACAGTGGTTCACACTTGTAATCCCAGCACTTTGAGAGGCTGAGGCAGGAGGATGGTTTGAGTCCAGGAGATCTGGCCTACAGTGAGCCATGATGGCACCACTGCACTCCAGCCTGGTTGACAGAGCAAGACCCTGTCAAGAAAACAAAAGAAAAAAAAAGAAAAAGACAAACAAAACCTAACAAAACCAGAAATCCATCCTGCACGAAGAGCACTGAGGTTGAGTGTTGGTTGACACGTGTTGCGGTAATTGCTGTTCTGATGTCTGTGAATGTCCTTGGCTGATTTCTGTATTAGGGCCTGGGTGTTTTCCTTTCTTTTCTAATATTTAAGTTATGTCCTGGCTTATTGTGATGATATTCTATTGTGGGAAAGAAAGAAGTGTTAAAATTTATGCATCAAGGTCCCTCTTAATCTTGGGGCTCAGGATAACCACAGTCAAGAGGGGAGAGTTTTATTCCTGAATCCAGGTCATGCTGTGTTCAACTTTACACCCTGATTTGTCACACAATCACATATCTGAGAATTTCCCCATGTTGCTAAAACTGAGGCAGCGTTCCGTTTTGCTGGTTATTCCACATCCCATGGGGTGGATGTGCCAGGGCAAGTTTTGTCATTTCCCCTGGACTGGACATTCCTTTCTGTAGGTGTTGCTGTTTGAAATATCTCACACACCTGGACCTGTGTCCCTGTTGACATTTCCAGTGTCACCTGCAGGATGCCATGGGATACCCATGAGCCCAGGCAAATCTCCCAAGACGCTGCCAAGCCACTCTGCAGAGCTGCTCTGGGTCCTGCCCCAGGTGCTGTGTGAGGGAGCTGCGCTGCCTGCGCCCAACCCAGGAGGGGAGCAGCGTGCAGGACACCGAGGATGTCATCACGACCTTAGGTCTGTATTAGGTCTAGATTAGCCTGCATTAAGGAGAAGGTGGTGATGTGTGTCTTTTTTTTTTTTTTTTTTTTTTTTTTTTAGACGGAGTCTCACTCTCTTGCCCAGGCAGGAGTGCAGTGGCACAATCTCGGCTCACTGCAAGCTCCGCCTCCTGGATTCAAGCAATTCTCCTGTCTCAGCCTCCCGACTAGCTGGGACTACAGGCGCCCGCCACCACACCCGACTAATTTTTGTATTTTTAGTAGAGACGGGGTTTCAGTGTATTGGTCAGGCTAGTTTTGAACTCCTGACCTGGAGATCCACCCGCCTCGGCCTCCCAAAGTGCTGGGATTACAGGTATGAGCCACCGCACCCAGCCATGTGCATCTTTTTATAATTTACAATTCGTGATAGTAGTGACAACTGTCTCACTTATTCTTTTGTGAATCTTTTGTAGCTTCTCTAACCATTTTCCACTGGGAATTTTTTAGTGGTCTTATGGACTTGTATGATTTCCTTTGATATTAAGAATGTTACCCTAGTGAGCCAGGCACAGTGGCTCACGCCTGTAATCCCAGCACTTTGGGAGGTCGAGGCGGGCGGATCATGAGGTCAGGAGATCAAGACCATCCTGGCTAACACGGTGAAACCCCGTCTCTAATAAAAATACAAAAAATTAGCCAGGCGTGGTGGCAGGCGCCTGTAGTCCCCCCTACTCAGGAGGCTGAGGCAGGAGAATGGCATGAACCCGGGAGGCAGAGCTTGCAGTGAGCTGAGATGGCACCACTGCACTCCAGCCTGGGCGACAGACAGAGCGAGACTCTGTCTCAAAAAAAAAAAAAAAAAAAAAAGAATGTTACCCTAGTGAAACATTCAGTATTCTTACAAAGATCATCCTCAATAGTTTGTTGCGTTGGGTGAGGGTTCCCTTTGCACGTTTGGTTTTTTCAGGACGGGGCGCAGCCCCAGCCAGATGGCGCCCGGCTCTCCAGCCAGCGGCAGCTCACCCTGCTGTGGTTTGATTTTCCCTACACAATTAATACATGTTCATCATGGAGAAAATAGGAGATAAAGATAAGCAAAAAGGAGAAACCAAATCAATGGAATCCCCATCACACAGAGATACTTTCTTAACACTTTGGATTAATTTGTATCCTATCAATATTTTTCTATACCTGAAAATAGGTGTTTTATATGTATAATCACTAACATGTAAATACATACTGCACATGGACATGCATTTTCACATACATTTTTGTTTTCTTGAGACAGAGTTTCACTCTTGTCACCCAGGCTGGAGTGCAGTGGCACAATCTTGGCTCAATGGAACCTCTGCCTGCTGGGTTCAAGCGATTCTCCTGCCTCAGCCTCCCGAGTAGCTGGGATTACAGGCGCGCACCATCATGCCCCACTAATTTTTTGTATTTTTAGTAGAGATGGGGTTTCACTATGTTGGCCAGGATGGTCACAAACTCCTGACCTCAGGTGATCCACCCACTTCGGCCTCCCAAAGTGCTAAGATTACAGGCATGAGCCACTGTGCCCGGCCTTTTTATTTTTATTTTTTGAGATGGAGCCTGGCTCTGTCCCCCAGACTGGAGTGCAGTGGTGTGATCCTGGTTCACTGCAACCTCCACCTCCTGGGTTCAAGTGATTCTCCCACCTCAGCTTCCCAAGTCACTGGGATCACAGATGCGCACCACCATGCCCAGGTACGTTTTTGTATTTTTGTTAGAGATGGGACTTTGCCATATTGCCCAAGCTGGTCTTGAACTCCTGAGGTCACGGGATCTGTGCGCTTTGGCCTCCCAAAGTGCTGGGATTACAGGTGTGAGCCCCTGCGACTGGCCTGTTTTTAGCTACTTTTAACTCACTATTTCTGCCAGCTGTAGAATATTCTATCAGGTTCTATCATGGCTCACCTAACCCTGTTCTACTCTACAACCCCGGGGTTGATTCCAGGCCTCACTCTCAGCAGTTGAGCTGCTCTAAGGGTGACCGTGGGAACTGTCCACAGGTGCGGCTGCGGGTGCAGCGATCTCAGCGGTCTTAGAGCTCTTGGCCATCCCCCACATGGCTTCCCAGAAAATGCCTCCAGGAGGAGGGCCCTGCTGTACCTTTTTTGTGACCATTCCTCCTCAGCCTCAGTCATGGCCATGTGCTCCAACCATGGGAGTGGATGCGGCAGGGCCTGTCTAGGGGTTCGGCAGTTCTGTCCCTCTGCCATAGCATGGGCTGGGCAGGGACCTGGCCACGTGGGGCTGCTTCCTCAGCCCAGCTCCTGGCAGGAGAAGGAGTAGGGGCGCTGTGGGCTGGAGCCGCCAACTGACCAGTGCTGGCCCTGGAGGAGGCCCCTCCCCCACTCCCCGACTTCAGCAGGGCCTGCTGTGTGTCTGTGTCATCTTAGCCCAGGCTGAGGAGATGAATGCGTTTCCAAGCAGCCCATGGTCCTGGCGCCCGACTGGAAAAGCCTGAGCCTTCACCCTAGGTGGAGGGACCTAGCGAAGCCAGGCGGACAGAGGAAAGGCCTCGGCCCATCCTGTCCCATGACTGGGGGTTGGGGCTTCGTCTTTTTAATACCAATGGAATCCTAGCCAAGCATTCAGAACCTTGAAGCTTTAACTTCTTAAATAATAATAACTCCCACAACCTCCGGGGACCCCGGGCAGCACGTGGTAGGACCAGCTTTCAGGTTGTCCTCCTGAGACCCCAGGGCTCTGAAGGATCCTCTTCTTGGACCTCCTCCCCAACCGTGCCCAGCCACCCCAGTCATCCGAGAGGTTTGTCTCAAACCAAGTTCCTGCTTTAAAGAAAACGCTACCAGAGAAAGCACCTGTGCTCCAAACACGGGGGTGAGGGCTCACACCATGCCAGGGTCATAGCATGGGGAGGGATGCCTCCCAGCCTTCAGGGGATCTCCTCCTGTGACCCACAGCCCTCAAGAGAAGGACCAGCACAGCATCATTTTCCGACAGAGGAGGGCAGTGCAAATAACAAGTTCTGGCTAAAAAGTTACTCTGATCACCCAAGGGACATCTGTGCACTTGGAAAATACAGAAGACCACAGTCCCATCACCACCATCCCACCTTAAAAACAAACATAAACGTGGTCGCAGGCGTGACACATGGTGTGTTTCGTGTCCCTGCTTTCCTGCCTGGCAGAAGCATTGATGTAGACCCACCATACGGGTTCTTCGGGCCACTCTGGTACAGACTGTGTGGGTCATATCCCGACCCCTGGCAGCTGCATAACCTCACAGGCCGCCATCTCCTCTTTTGTCACTTGGGATGGGACAGAACTGTCA
This sequence comes from Homo sapiens, assembly GCF_000001405.40. NCBI lineage: Eukaryota > Metazoa > Chordata > Mammalia > Primates > Hominidae > Homo > Homo sapiens. The sequence goes on from NC_000014.9 coordinate 105,313,010, forward strand.
CGTCCCTTAAGGGCTCACAACGGTGCCTGGCACAGAGGAGGGGCACCGCTCAATGGTGGCAGCTGGTGCCAAGCCCTGCTGTGCACGGCTTAGTCACCCCGCATCTCCTCACTTGACCCCCAGTTGTAGTCCCTGCCTGGGTTAGACGCTGGCATACACAGGCACCATGTGTCAGGCGGCCCATCCGTCTGACTGCAACTGCACGCTCGCCAGGTCCAGCAGCGCCGTACGCTCAGTTCTGGGGTCAATGGGTGCCTGTCTCCTGCCCTCCCATCACAGACAGCCTGTCCTCCTGGGGTATGGCTACCCCCTCTCTGGACATAGTCACTTCTCCCCCTACCCTGTCTCAAAGGTATGAGATCCACCGGCCCTCTGCCCGCCGAGCAGCTGGCCAAGGTCAGACAGACCCTCATGGCTCTCAGTGTACCACCTTAGAGGAGCCAGGGGCGCGTGGGAAACACAGAGTCCCTTGTTCTCTCCGAAGTGGGACCCTGACTTTAAGCAGTCGCAGCTGTTTGCAGTTCTAGATACAGGAGTTACAGCTGGAGGCTGAGCTCTCTCAACGGAGGAAGCAGCGGCATGAGGGCCTTTGCAGAAGGAGCTGACGGGGCACTGGGGTGGCAAGCCCCGTGGGCCAGGAAAGAAACCAGCTCCAGGTCAATTTGCTCGGGCTGGATTTGTTTCAGTAAAACTACTTGTAGACAAGACACAGGGCGAAGAGAAAAGCAACTGTAAACTAACTGTGAAACAAGGAAACAGAAGAGAGGCCAGAAAACCGTTTCCTAAATCTCGGCTTGGCATCTGGTGCTGGACCACAGCCGCTGCCAAACAGATGGGGGAAGCACCCTCCCTGAGCCCCAGAGCCTACACGTCGGGCCCCAGCGGCTCTAGCCATTGCCTCCTCTTTGCTTGGGTCCCCAAGTTCACTGTTAACCCCAGGGCCAGGAGCCAGCCTTGGCCCCAGACATTTGTTCTCCATTGTCCTGAGCACAACGCTGAAAAGCGGCGCTGAATAAGGATGCTGGGACGCAAAGAGGGCGCCCGGGGTCATCTGGAGCCCTGGAGGCTAAGCTCGGCAGCCTGGCGCCCCGAGTGGCTTCGAGTCCCCGCGACCGCCGCCAGGCCCGGCCACCTCCTTGCCACCTCCCTGCGTCCCGGGGAACCCACGCAGGGGGGCGCGAGGGAGGGGCTCGGGGACGGGCGGGGCCCGCACAGCCGGGCCAACCCAGCGGGGGTCGGCAGGAGACAAGGGGCGGCGAGGGCAGGGGGGCGGGGAGACTCGGGGCATGGCGGGGTGGAGGCGGGAAAGTGTCGAGGCCGGGGAATCCGCGCGTGGGGAGGTGGGCATCGCCAGGGCGACGATGAGCTTTCCTTAGGGGGCGGCGCCTGAAGCTGGCCGGGACCCGGTGGACCCCCACGACTCTCCCGGCCCTTGCCCGCGGCTCCCGGGGGGCGGGGCGGGGCGCCCCGGGCGGGGTCTGTGCGCAGGCGCGTGAGTGCGCGCTCTCGCGCACCGGCGGGCGGGGACGCCCCGTGAGGCGCCGCCGGAGGAAGCGCGCGCGCACCTCACTTCCGGCGCGCGCTGCGCCGGCGGCGATTGGACCCGAGGCGGCGAGCTGGCGCCCCGCCCAGCCAATCGGCGGCGCCGGCGCGGGTCGGAGGGCGCCGGGCGCGCGCGGGGCGGCCGGGGGCGCGCGGGGCGCGGGCGGGGCGCCGGGCGGGGCGGGGCGGAGCGGCCGCAGCTCGTCGCCGCCCGCGGGCCTGTCCGACGCCGGGGCCCGGCCCGTCCCCTCCGCCGCCCGGCAGCCATGTGACCGCGCCGCCGCCCTCCGCGCGCCCGGCCCGCCCGCCGCGCGTCCGCGGCCCGGCCGCAGCCCCAGGCCGCCGAGGGAGCGGCGGGGCCGGCGCCATGGCCGAGCGAGGCCGCCTCGGCCTCCCCGGCGCGCCCGGCGCGCTCAACACGCCCGTGCCCATGAACCTGTTCGCCACCTGGGAGGTGGACGGCTCCAGCCCCAGCTGCGTGCCCAGGTACGCGCCGCCCGCCGCGCTTTGTTCCCGCCGGGCACCTGCTGGGGGTGTCCTGGCCGCGGCCTCTGCGCGCCCCATCCCCGGCCCGGGTCCCCCAGCGGAGCCCAGGTCGCCCCCCGCGCCCCCGCCCGCCGGTTCGACGCGTGCAGCCGCCGCCCCCCCGCAGCTCCGGCAAGCGCGGCCCCAGCCCCCCAGGTCCCGAGCACCGGGGGCCGCGCTCAGCTTCCGAGGACCCGGTGCTGCTCAGACCCGGCGGGACCTTGGGGCTCCCGGGCGGCGCTCACCTGGCTCGCCGCAACCGCACCTGCACACCTGCCTCAATGCGGTGCCGGCCGGGGTGACGAGGGTGCTTCCTCTCTCGGGTACCACACGCTTCCTTTCGCGTTCGGCGACACTGTCAGACCTCGGCCTGGGAGCGACCCCCGGCGCACGGGGCGCGCAGGACTCGGTTGTATCCTCCGTCCAGCGCGCGGTGGAGATGCCCTGTCCTGCGGGGCGGGGTCGTCCTCGCGGGTACCTGGTTGGCGCTGTCTCTCATTTAGAGGCGTCGCCAAGCCAGTACTGCTATTTGCGCCTCCCAGTTGATCTTGCCATTGCGGAAGACTGGCTGTTCTGCACTTGGTAGGGGGGCGCCCGGTCGCCCAGCGGTAACGATTGGACAGGGTTTACCCTCCGGCCATAGCCCAGCCTTCCTTGGACTTGCAGCTTCCCTGAGTCTCCTGCTCAGTTTGAAACTTTTGTAATTTCTTCGTGACTTGGTAGTTCCTGCTCAGGAAGCTCCCAGGCTAAGGAGGAGAGAGACACGCTCTCCGGAAAAGTTCTGGTTCTAGAATAGACAGCAGGCGAGAAGAGGAGGCGGTTGGGGGTAGTGAGAGTTCTCCCTGGGGAGATGGGAGGGTGAGCGGACCTTCCAGGCACTGGAAGTGGCCAGTATGCCTGGAGGGGACCCCACGTGGCATTGAGTTGTTCCACCCCTAGTCAGCTGCAGGTGGGCCTCTCCGTGCTTTCCTGTGGCTCCCACAGCCTGCATCTCTGAGCGTGGTGTTGGAGTTGCAGAGCCGCTGGACAGTGGGGCTTGCCCTCCTGGAGCGCAGGGTTGGGACCTCGGGGCTTTGGTTTTGCTGAGTGGACAGGAAGGATGCCCACCCGGCACGACTCTTGCACCTGGCGGGGCCTCCCGAAGGACCCAGTGTCCATATGAGACCTAAGGGTCAGCATTTGCCCAAGGTCTGGGGCCGAGCACTGCAGATGTGCCTGCTTGCCTCTCTTCTGGGAAGTCTCTGGGGCCTCAAAGCCAAAGCCAGGAGCATCTCCCCAGGCCTGGCTGCTTCTCCATTCCAGGTCTTGGCGATTGCCCCAATGTCAGGTCCCACAGCCCCACAGCCCTTCTCCTGTCTGCCCCTCTGAGTCACTGCCTCACCCACAGCCCCAGAACCTTCATGCGGGCTGTTGGCGCTCCCCTGCTCCAGCACTGCAGCACATAGCCTGCCCTTGCTGAACCTCTGCAGCAGCTTCCTGGGGCCCTCCGAATGAGCAGCAAAGTCTTTAACCCAAGGGAGGTGGGGGCGTGTGGCAGGAGGGGCCGGGGGCCTTATCAGCCCCCCTGTGGAGCTGTGCTCTATTCTCCAGGGGTCTAGAAAGCCCACTCTGGTGTCTGTGGGGAGGGTATGGGTAGGGCGGGTTTCGAGAAGCCTGGTTAGGACAGGCGGGGGTAGATGGGGGCACCTGGGCTGGGTAGCACTAAGTGCTGGGGGGGGTCCCGAGCTCTGGCCTGGACAGGGTTGGGAGGAAGGGTAGGCAGGAGGACAGGATTTGTTCTGTTGGTGTGGAGTTAATGGGCGGAGGAGTTAATGGGCGGAGGGGCGAGTGGCGCAGCTGACCAGGTGGGCAGATGCAGTTTGTTCGTAGGACATGCTCAGCCTCATAATGAGCTCCTGCCCTTACCTGTCCTGGAACAGGGCCCCTCATAGGCGGGCTTGCCCCTAGCTTTGCTTTGTGCTTGTGCCGCCTGTCCGTGCATCCTCGGACAGTCTGCTACTTAGTTTTGCTTTGTTCCTCCTGAGTTCTTCTGTACTCCTCACTTTTGCCCAGCCATGAAGCTTCTGGGCTGCGTGTGTGCTGATGCCTTTCGGCGTGTTCACTGCTGCGTACTATTCACTGGCGTGACAGTACCTCGGCTTTGCTTCTGTCAAGGGACCTTGGCTTGTTTCCAGTTTTTTGGTTAATTACAAGCCCCGTGCTGCTGTGGACATCGTGTGCCAGTCTTCTGCGTGTGTCTTTCTGGATGGGCAGGGCCTGTCTTAAGCATGTACCGCCAGCTACCAGGATTTATGGTGGGGGTGTGCACGCACTCAGCGTTACTGCTGGGCAGTTTTCCAGAGTGGTTGTGCCTGCTCCGGCCCCCACTGACAGGGACGAGAGTCCCCACTGCTCCACATTTGTGCCAACACTCATTTGACTTAATTTTTGCCAGTCTGGTGGGTGTGAAGTGGTATCGTGGTTTTAACTTGAATTTCTCTGATTACTAATTTAGGCCATTTGTACTTCCTTGTCAGTGAAATTCCTGTTCCTTTGCCAGTTTTTTTTTCTCTTTTTTTCTGCTTGAGTTTCAGCAGTTTCTTTAGAGATAGTCATCCTTTCTCGGCTGTGTTGAGGATGTCCCCGTCCAGTTATGAGCGAGTCTTTGCTCTCTGAGCAGCCTCTGGGTGCACTCCCCGTGTCAGCCTGGTGGAGTGTGCACATTGACTGTTTGCCAGGCTGGGGTGCTGGTCTCGTTTCGGTTCTCCTTCTGGGAGGCAGCCGGAGAAGTCTGCCCCCGGGAGCTTGAACTGGGCATGCTGGGCTGTTGTTGGGGAGGCCTGTGCTCCGGGTTTCCTTGCGACGCTTTTGGCTCAGCACTGTTACACACGGTGCTCCTAGGTGGTCCACGGGGTATGCGTCAGTGCCTGTCTGTGGCCTCTGCCTCCTGGGTTCCCAGAGTGTCCTCCTGGTGCCCATGTCCCTGAGCGCCCCCACCTGCTCTTCAGCAAGGGCTGGGCTGCTTTGTACCTTGCCCTTCCCACTTGATTGTTTTTTCGGTTGATGTTTATTAATTTGTTTTTATTTATGTATTTTGTTGTTGTTGTTGCAGAGACAGGGTCTCCCTATGTTGCCCAGACTGGTCTTGAACTCCTGGGCTCAAGTGATCCTCTCACCTCGGCCTCCCGAAGTGCTGAGATTACAGGTATGAGCCCCTGGGCCTGGCCATCTGTTTGGTTTTTAGAGACAGAGCCTCACTTTGTGGCCCAGACTGGGGTGCAGTGGCTTGATCATGGCTCATTGTAACCCCTAAAACCTGGGCTCAAGCAGTCCTCCCACATCAGCTTCCTGAGCAGCTGGGACTACAGGTGTACACCACCATGTCTGTCTAATTTTTTTGTTTTGTTTTGTTTTTTTGAGACAGAGTCTCACTCTGTCACCAGGCTGGAGTGCAGTGGTGCAATCTCGGCTCACTGCAACCTCCGCCTCCCTGTTTCGATTTTCCTGCCTCAGCCTCCCAAGTAGCTAGGACTACAGGCGCCTGCCAGCATGCCCGGCTAATTTTTGTATTTTTATTTTATTTATTTATTTATTTATTTTTATTTTATTTTATTTTATTTTGAGATGGAGTCTCGCTCTGTCACCCAGGCTGGAGTGCAGTGGTGCTGTCTCGGCTCACTGCAAGCTCCGCCTCCTGGGTTCACACCATTCTCCTGCCTCAGCCTCCCGAGTAGCTGGGACTACAGGCGCCCGCCACCACGCCCGGCTAATTTTTTTTATATTTTTAGTAGAGATGGGGTTTCACCGTGTTAGCCAGGATGGTCTCAATTTTCTGACCTCGTGATCCGCCCGCCTCAGCCTCCCAAAGTGTTGGGATTACAGGCGTGAGCCACCACGCCCTGCCTATTTTATTTTTTTGAGAAGCTCTGTCGCCCAGGCTGGAGTGCAGTGGCACGATCTCAGCTCACTACAACCTCCACTTCCCGGGTTCAAGCAATTCTCCTGCCTCAGCCTCCTGAGTAGTTGGGACTACAGGCGTGCACCACCACGCCCAGCTAATTTCTGTATTTTTAGTAGAGACAGGGTTTCACCATGTTGGCCAGGATGGTCTCGATCTCTTGACCTCGTGATCCGCCCGCCTTGGCCTCTGAAAGTGCTGGGATTACAGGCGTGAGCCACCACGCCCAGCCAGAATTATCTTTTTAAGTTTCACACAAAGCCACATTTGGTTTATAATTGGAAGTTCTTTAACTCTGTAGAGCAGGTTGGGGAGAATTGACGTTTGTGTGGTACTGAGTCTTCTCATTCATGATCAAGCTATTTACTTAGGTCTTGAATGTATTTTGAGAGTTTTACAAGATTCTGCTGTCATGCATATCCTTTGTTACATTTATTCCTAGATGCTTGTATTTTAGAAGTCATAGTAAAAGTCAGCTTTTTATTATGTTTGTTGCTAACATATAGAAATTCAGTTGATTTTTCAAAGAAATCAGTGATTTTACTATTTTTAACCTAGTAACTTATCTATAGATTATTTTGTATTTTCAAAATGTATGTTTTGTCTTTTGCAAAAGACAAAGTTGTTTCTTTTCAATCCTCATACTTTTCTTTCTTTCTCTTGCCTGACTGTGCCAGTTGTCATAGTACAGTGTTGAATATGGTTGGTTGCGTGGATTACCCGTGTTCTGTCTTGACCTTAAGGAAGGTTTCCAGTGTTTTACCTTTAAGGACGATGTTTGCTGCAACTTTTTGTGGATAGCCTTTATGCACTTAAAAAGTCTCATCCTATTCATGACTTGCAAAGGCTTTTTAAAGAAATCATTATGAGTGGATGTTGAATATAATCAAGTACTTTCATTAAGAGGATTATATAATTTTTATCTTTTCATTACTATTGTGGTAAATTACATAAATTGATTTTATTTCTTTTCTTTTCTTTTTGAGACAGAGTCTCGCTCTGTTACCAGGCTGGAGTGCAGTGGCGTGATCTCAGCTCACTGCAACCTCTGCCTCCCAGGTTCAAGCAATTCCCCTGCCTCAGCCTCCCAAGTAGCTGGGACTACAGGTGTGCACCACCACGCCCAGCGAATTTTTGTATTTTTAGTAGAGACGGGGTTTCACCGTGTTGGCCAGGAGGGTCTCGATCTCCTGACCTTGTTATCCGTCCACCTCAGCCTCCCAAAGTGCTGGGATTACAGGCGTGAGCCACCATGCCTGGCCGTAAATTGATTTTCTAACATTAACCTATTCCTGGAAAAATACTAGTTTAAGCATGTTGTATTACCCTTTTTAAAAATTGGTGGATATATATTTATTTATGTATTTATTTTTTGAGACAGGGTCTTGCTCTTTTGCCTAGGCTGGAGTGCAGTGGTGTGACCATGGCTCAAGCAATCCTCCTGCCTCAGCCTCCTGAGTAGCTGAGACTACAGGTGCATGCCACTGGCCTGGCTAATTTTAAATTTTTTGTAGAGATGGGGTCTCACTATGTTGCTCAGGCTGGTCTCCAACTCCTGGCCTCAAGTGATCCTCTCACCTTGGCCTCTCAAAGAGCTGGGACTCCAGGTGTGAGCCTCCCTACCTGCCCACATTGGTGGGTTTAGATGATAGTATCTTGTTTAGGACTTCTGCATGTGTGTCTGGGGTCTATGTGCTTCCTTTCTTCTGTAGTCCTTAGCAGATTTTGGCGCTAAGATTTCCTTGTGAAATGAAATGAGTACTGCCTCTTTTGCTGTATCGTGGTATAGCTTATGTAAAATTGGAATCATTTCTTCCTTGAATGTTTGGGATAATTCACTTATAAAATAACCTGACTGGCCGGGCCTGGTGGTTCACACCTGTAATCCCAGCACTTTGGGAGGCTGAGGTGGGTGGATTACCGGAGGTTAGGAGTTCGAGACCAGCCTGGGCAACGTAGTGAAATCCCATCTCTACTAAACATACAAAAATTAGCCAGGCGTGGTGGCACGCACCTGTAATTCCAGCTACTCAGGAGGCTGAAGCAGGAGAATCACTTGAACTTGGGAGGCGGAGGTTGCAGTGAGCCCAGATGGCGCCACTGCAAAAACATTTTTTTTTGAACCTGCTTTCTGGGTCAGTGTGTCAATTTTAATGCACGTTCTGTTTATACTTAAAAGGAATGTGTGTTTGGCAGTTGATGGTGCAGTGTTTGTCTATTAGATCAAGCTTGGTTTACTGTGGTCTTCAAGTCCGTTCCCTTTTTTTGTCTACTAGAAATGTATGTTAAAATCTTATAATCTGAGAATAGATTGGTCCGGGTTTTCTAACAGTTCTGTCAGTTTCTGTTTGATACTTTTTTTTTTTCCAGACAGGATCTCACTCTGTCACCTAGGCTGGAGTGTAGTGGGACGATCACAGCTCACTGTAGCCTTGAACTCCCAGGCTTAATCGATCCTCCCACCTCAGCTTCCCGAGTAGCTGGGACTACAGGTGTGCACCACCACACCTGGCTAAATTTTGTATTTTTTGTAGAGACTGGGTTTTTCCATGTTGCTCGGGCTGATCTTGAATTCTTGGGCTCAAGCAGTCTACCTGCCTCAGCCTCCCAAAGTGCTGGGATTATAGGCATGAACCACTAACGCCCCGTCACTTAATATATTTTTGAGGCTATGTTATTAGGTACATACATGTTTAGAATTGTAATTCTAGGTATTTTGAACTTTTCTCATTGTATGACTGCTTTTATATCTAGTAATGCTTTTTGTCTTTAGTATTGACTTTGATGCAAGCATTCTTTTGGATAATTTTTGCCTGTTAGCTATTTTTCTATCCTTTTTAAAAACCTTTGTATATCCTTACATATTAGATGTGTCTTTGGTTATTCAGCATGTATCTAGATTTCATTTTCATTCACTCTGACCTTTTCTGACTTTTTTTTTTTTGAGACAGAGTCTCGCTGTGTCGCCAGGCTGGAGTACAGTCGTGCAATCTTGGCTCACTGCAACCTCTCCTCCCGGGTTCAAGCGATTCTCCTGCCTCAGCCTCCCGAGTAGCTGGGACTACAGGCGCCTGCCACCACGCCCAGTTAATTTTTGTATTTTTAGTAGAGACGGGGTTTCACCATGTTGGCCAGGCTGGTCTCGAACTCTCGACCTCGTGATCCGCCCGCCTTGGCCTCCCAAAGTGCTGGGATTACAGGCTGAGCCTCTGTGCCCGGCCTTTTTTTATTTTTATTTTTTATTTTTTGAGACGGAGTCTCTCTCTTTTGAGATGGAGTCTTGCTCTGTTGCCCAGGGTGGAATGCAGTGGCGCAATCTTGGCTCACTGCAACCTCCACCTCCCAGGTCAAGTGATTCTTGTGCCTCAGCCTCCCGAGTAGCTGGAACTACAGGTGCGCGCCACCGCACCCGGCTCATTTTTTTGTATTTTTAGTAGAGACGGGGTTTCACCATGTTGGCCAGACTGGTCTCGAACTCCTGACCTCAAATGATCTGCCCGCCTCGGCCTCCCAAAGTGCTGGGATTACAGGCATAAGCCACCACGCCCAGCCTACCCTGTACATTTTAATGTGCATAGTTAATTGTATCTTTACTCTCCTGCTGAACTATGCAGGGACCTTAGCCCACTTTATTCTAATCCAACCCTTTCATGTTTATATTTATATGATTTTGTTACTGTGTATCTTAATTGTTTTCTTGTGAAGCCCACAAGATGTTGTTACTGCTTTATACTGTGATATTTGATGAGCTTCAAAACTCACCACTTCCTTTGTTGCTCATTCTTCTTGCATGTCAGGAATCATTTTCCTTCTTCTGTTGAATATTTGTTCTTAGGATTTCCTTTAGTGAGGATCTGCTGATAACTACCTTCTCTTTCTGTTTGTCTGAAGATGTTTTAGTTTACCCTCACCCTGAGCAGGGCGTGTGCTGGTTGTACGATGCTGGGGTGGTGTGTGCTCCTCCCACAGGTCCAGGCAGGGCGTCCCTGGCTTTGACTTCCAGCTTTGCTGTAAGAGGTCAGCGGCCGTGACAGGCTGGAGGGAGACGTCTGGGTGGCTTTGTGGTCATGTCATCGTTGCCAACGGTCGTCTCATGGTGGGTCCTGGTGTGGGTTCTCTTGTGATTGCCTGAGTCGGGGTTACTAGACTTGCTGACTTTGTGGATCGATGATTTTCATGAGTCCCGGGAAGCTCTCAGCCACTTTTTCTTCTGCTGTTGGTTCTGCGCTATTCTCTCTCTCACCTCTGGAGCAACAATTGGACGTGTTGCTCTTCCTGCCGGATCCTCCACATCCATAGATGCACTGGGTGGTGTCAGTGGGCGGCGGCTGGCTGGGGCAGTAGCCTGTCTCCAGCCCTTCCCCCTGCCTCTGTCCACGTGCAGGGGCGTCTCCTCAGGACGCATGTTGCCTACTGACCGCTGCCAGCCTGCACGAGACTCTCACGGCGGGACCCTGTCTGCCTTGCTCGGTGCTGCCCAGAGCCTGCACAGTGTAGCTCCTTGGCGGACGTTCCTGTAATGGAACCAGGATGTCATGCCAAGGAGTGTGGTTTCATTTTGAGTGGTGGGGAAGTCGCTGGACTATTTCAAGTGTGTGTATTTGGGAGAGCAGTGCTGCTGGAGTGGTGGACCACACTGGAGGTGGAGATTGCCTCAGGGTGTGCAGGTGGAGATGGGTGGGAGGTGTCGTGCAGGGCTTGGGACAGGGCTTTCGGAGGTGGTCTGCAGTGATCCAGGGAAGATGGGCTGCTCTGAGGGAGGGGCTGAGGAAGCTGACCTGGGCAGCCAGTGGCCTGTAGGCTGGGCAGCACTCGAGCTGGGGCCAAGGGGCAGCAGGACGGTGCCCGTAGCCCTGGAGGCCTTGGGGATTCGGAGGACCTGGCCCATCGCCGTGGCCTGCACGGTGCGTGCACACCGCTCTGTCCGCGCAGGCTGTGCCCTGCTTTCAAGATGCCTGGAAACCTCTGGCAGCTCTGTCCTGCTGTCAACACTGGAGTCACATGTCAGTGGGTCTCCTGCTGGGGACTGGCTTTTGTGCAGGAGATGGAGGGCAGGGGGCTACAGTGCCCTTGGACTAAAGGATGCTTTCCTTGGATCTGGGCACTAGAACCAGCCCTTTCCCTCTCTCTGCCCAGCATTCTCAGCATGCGTCTCAGGAAGGTTTGATGGAGTGGGCAGCTGCGGTGCTGTGGCGGGGTCGGGGGGCTGCTGCAGAGAGCGGGTCTGCGGTCAGTCACAGTGACGGGGGTCTCTTTGGACCCTGTGACTTGTGTGTGGTGGTGGCAGGCAGTGGCGTTGCCGAGACAGGGTGCTCAGGTGCAGGTGGGAAGGGGTGGCAGGATGGAGGTTGTACAGTGCTTTCCCCAGGACCAGGGGGCAGGGTGTGGCGTGCTTATTCCTGCCTGGCCGTGGAGGGTCTCTGTAGGACAGGCTCCCGCTGAGGGCAGCCCTGAGGCCTGTGAGCTGCTGGCCCCGCAGGGTGGCTGGGCCTGGCTGGCTCAGCAGCTGCTCTGAGAGGCAGCCCTAAAAATAGCCGAGCGCTGAGAGGCCGTCCCTTTCTGCTCCGCAGGCGCGCGCCGATGTGTGCTCAGCTCAGGCCGACTTAGCAGGGTTGTGAGAGTGATGAGAGCGTGGCTGCTGGTCATGGTGCTGGGGTCGTCAGCAGCTCCTCGAGGGCTCCGGCCTGTGGAGGCCGGTGGCGCCCCGTCTCACCCCACGGATGGGGGGCAGGCTCTCCAGGAGCCCCAGGGAGCACTGGCTACTGCTGGGCTGCTCTCAGGCCCGGGACATTCATGGCCGTAGCCCCAGGTCCTCTGCATGGTCAGGGGCCATGCTGGGTCCCCTGGGGTGCAGATGCCGCTCAACAGAGGAGTCAGGACCCAAAAGGGGCAGAAATGGGCAAGGGAAGACACTGGGGAAGGGGTGGGTCTGCCCTTCCTGCTGGGGGTGCACACGGGCCTGGGGCTGAGCAACCCGCTCTGGGCCTGGCTGTTCCGCTCCACTGCCCCAACCAGCCTTTCCTCAGCACCCCCTGGCCAAGCTGTGGGCACCCCCTGCCCCCGGACACAGGCAGCACCTGGCCAAGTGCAGAGACACTCCAGCTGGCTCTTCGCCTGTGTCCCAGCCCTGAGGGCACCGTCGTAGGGTGGTGGGACGGGGGGGGGCTCGGACACAGTGGTTGTGGAGGGGTCAGTGCTGTGGCTCGGGGTGGGGTGGGGCTGGGGGAGGGTTTGCTTCAGGGTAGCGGCTCTCTTCAGGGGTTCAGCAAGGAGACAGATGGGTTCTAATGACCCCTGAGTCCTGAGACAAGGTGGGGTGAGCTGGAGCAGGGGAGGGGACTTGGAAGGGCCTTCAGTCCCCATGCAGCCCTTGCACAACCTTTCGGGCCAACATCCTGGGCCTTGCTTGGCAGAGGAGTTTGGGATCCACGGGCTTGAGGCCCAGGTGGTCAGCTCGCTCGGTGCAATGCTGTGTCTCGCATTTCTGTCTCTCGACTGCCCCATCCAGCCCGTGTCCTAAGAGCAGCTGGCAGCAGCCGCCACGCACAGGCAGCTCAGCTCAGCAGCCCCAGGAGCCAGGTGTGTCTTGAGCTGGGCAGCAAAGTGGCCATGCAGTCCAGCCTCCCTTCAGCCTTCCCCAGGATGCCTTTCATCTTGGGGAGATGGCCATTGTGGGGGTGACCAGCACTGTCCCTTCCCTGGCAGGCCAGGATGTGGATCCACAGCGAGGCAGACCTGCAGATGCACATCCCTCTTCTCAAATGCTGTTCTTGTTCTGGTGAGCACGGGGAACGGCACCAAGCCAATGCTGATGGGAAGGGCCCTGACCTTGGGCTGCTGTCCTGCGAGCTTGGCCCCTCTGCTGGGCCCCTCCTCCATGCCTTTGTTTACTCTCCAACCTTCTGGGAGTCCCACATCTGCATCAGGACAGAGGTGACCAGGGACCAGTTGACAGCTAGGATGCCACCAGCATCTTTTGTTTAATTTGAGTCTCATTTCCCAGTGTAATTCTGTAGCTGACCTTGCAGGAGGCATTGACAATATTTCTTTATTGTATGGCCCCAGCCAGGACTTCCCTCTTTTTAGATGCAAAATAATTGGGCAAGACTTTTCATGGGCATTGCATGCTGGGCTCGTGCAGGTGTCTCCAGGGCCGCCTCGAGACCAGCGCCCGCCTCCCTGGTCCTGGATACAGGTGGGGCGGGGGCTCCCCCGCAGCAGTGGAGTTGAGACCCGCACCTGCTTCCTGGTCCTGGACACGGGTGGGGCGGGGGCTCCGCAGCAGCAGTGGAGTTGAGGCTTCCGTATGAGCTCGCTCCTGGTCAGTTTGAGGGTGGACATACCAGACATCCTGCATCTTCCCAGTCGCCCCAGGAGCGCCTCAGGAGGGTGAGTGGCAGGAGGCCGATGCCCTGCTAGCAGGCAGTCCCTCGGGGCCAGGCCTTCCTGGTGCGGTGCTGAATTGGGCTGTTCGTTCCTCTGAGCACCAAGGAGAGGGATGGCGGCTCAGGCTTCAGGCAGTGCCCGCCGGTGCCTCTAGAAGGTGCTCCGTGGTGGGGCCCGGGAGGGTGGCCCTTCCACATTCTCGGGCTGCCTGTGTGCCACCCAAGTGTCAGGTCATGAGGCCCCTCGGTCTGGCCTAGGGCTCTCCTTCCTCCCCCACCTCAAGCCTGGGGTGTGGCCTAGCCAGGGAGGGGAGCGGGAGCTCTGGCCGTGAAGACCCACCCTGAGGTCTGGGCTCTCCTGGCCTGAGCGTGCTTTCTGCTATGAGCTCCACGTTCACCCTGCGGCCAGGACTCTACTGTTCCTCCTGGTGGGAGCTGCTGTGGTGCCCTGGGTGGCCTCCAGTCACCGCCAGCCTGCCCCTTGCAGTCAGTCCTGCTGTTCCTTCGGCTCCTGCAGTTTCCAGCTTGGCCCTGGACTTCCTGTTTTTCCCACCTAGCTGGACGTAAAGGTTGTCGCGCCTTGGAAAGTTAAGTCACTACACCCGAATCGACGCACTCTTGGCTCGCCTGGCTATGGCTTCAGCTGGAAACGGAGCTGAGCGTGGCTTATGTTTATAAATACAGCACCTATCAGGTCCAGCGTCGCTGTCTCCTGCGGGAGGTGTCAGCTTTGGGCGTGAAGAACAGCTGCAAGGCCACAGGGCCAAGGGGTATCTCACCAGCTGGGAGGCCGGCGTGCCTGACCTGGCCACACAGAGCGAGCCTCAGAAGCGAGGGGGAAGGAGGGCAGGCCTTGGGGAGGGGTCCAGGAAGGTCGAGAGGCTGCAGTGGTGGTAGCCTGAGGGGATGTGCGCGGCCAGGTCAGTGCCTGCCGCTACTGCCTGCTGCGCTGACTGCCTGAGCACTGGGGATCGTGGGCCTGAGGGGCGGGGACCTTGGCTCCCGTGGATAGCTCCTGCACCATCCTCTTGCTTCTCAGACCCTCGGCAAGTGGTGACAGGGGGCTGGGGTGGAGTTGTTCTCCTGCCGTGGTCCTGTCAAATGGTGCTGGGGGCGGGGCCAGGAATCACAGCAGGTGTCTGCCGCTAGCGCTCGGAGCCTGTGCTGGGGGCAGGGTGGTGCATCTCATGCCTCTGCCGCTTGCTCACTGTACTTGCCTGGGGAGGATGTGGCAGGGGCAGAGGACAGCTGGCCAGGCTCTTGGACTGCACCTGACTCTGGTGGGCTATCGAAGGTTTTGGAGGTTTCTTTAATTAGCAACATGATATCCAGAGATTGCGACTGTGGCTCGAGCGGTTCCCTGCCAGGGAGCAGGACCATTGACAGCCGAGCCTTGACTCACCGGCCCAGGCCACCCGAGGGGCCATTGACAACTGAGCCTTGGCTCACCGGCCCAGGCCACCCGATGGACCATTGACAGCCGAGCCTTGGCTCACCGGCCCAGGCCACCCGAGGGGCCATTGACAACTGAGCCTTGGCTCACCGGCCCAGGCCACCCGAGGGGCCATTGACAGCCGAGCCTTGGCTCACCGGCCCAGGCCACCCGAGGTTTCACTGCGGATTCTATCAGAACAGTGCCTCCCCCCAGGATTCGTCAACCTTCAGTGGACCAGGCCCTGCAGTGGTTCCAGTTATTCCCTGGGAAAATTTCCAGCACTGATTAGGGGGTGACTCTTGGTCAGAGGTTGAGTGTTTCCCTAGGTGTGGAGGTGCACGGAGAAGAGAGGGGTGCAGTTCTTAAAGGACACATGGCTTATGCCACACCCCCTGCCCCAACCCCCGGAGTGGCCAGCTTTCCTTTGACTGGGGAGGAGGCAGCTGTCCAGGGTTGTCCTCACCTCTCCTCCTGGAGAATGTGGTCCCTTCAGAAAGGGGACCCAGTAGTGGGTGACCTGGTGCAAACCACCCACTGCCTCCTCTGGGCCTTCCTGGGGCTCTTCGGCTCTCAGGAGAGGAGGGAGCTCAGGCTGTGGCTGCTCTGTGAGTTGGACACGGACGCTCCAGCCGCTGGGCCCAGCAGTGTGAATGGCCATAGAGAACAGGGGCCCAGAGGCTGCTCTCGAGGACACTGGCAGCAGTTGTGCTCTGGGCTCGCCATCCTTGAAGCTGGAATATTCCACAAGTGCCACGCACTTGCTGGAGGTACTGCCTGGGGGTAGACTGTGGCCAGGCCCTCCCAGCAGCCCGAGTCTTGGCGCGTGGGCTGGACTCCCACACTCAGCACCTTTCTGCTGACCTGAACACCCAGGGCACAGTGGCAGCGGCGTCATTAGGATTTCCAACTAGCTGTTTCTGTTAAGAGTGAAGAGGAAACCTTGTTTGATTAGACTCATTGTAAAAAAGATTCCAGTGAATCTCTTGCCTGCTGTCTTTGCAGTTGCCTCTAAGGGTCACGAGGCAGGGCGGCGTCCTCTCTCAGTGCCACTGTGACCTGGCAGCACCTCTTTTGCATATTATTGACCTAGAGAGAGAGGTCAATTGTAATTCGGAGCTGCACAGTCGGAAAATTTGTAGCAACAGAGAATTATAGGCGCTCTAGGCATTCGATGAATCTTCTCCACCTTGCTGTGGGGTTAATTCAGGGGAGCAGTGGGGAGTGTGCTGGGAGTGAGATTAGAGGGAGGACTCCCTGGAGGCTGGCCCTGCGCCCTGGAGGCCAGCATGGCCCTGGTGCTGGCTACATCCTCTGGGGCTCTTCCTCATCTGTCTGCAGAGGAGGCAGCTGTGGAGCGAGGGTGTGTACGGGAGCAGGATGGGCTGCACAGAAGCCTTTCCGGGGGTGCCTGTGGTTTGCAGGGGCCTGGCTGCAGCTGCCCTGTGTGATCTCTGTCCCCGTCTTCTCCCGGCTTCCTTGGGTCCTGTGTGCCCAACTTGGCACTTCAAGATTTGCTCCCTGGCAACTGTTGCCTTTCCCAGAAGAGAAGTCCCTGGAACCAGGACCAGCCTGCTGTCACCTGCCTGCTGCTCCTGCCCCACCAGAACCATCCTGAGTCCAAACTGGCTGAGAGTCAAGGGGGTGTTCAGGGCCTCCAGGAGCTCTGGGAGAGTCTAGGATGCTCTAGATCCTTGGGCTCATGGGGCAGTAGAGTGGGGGGCTGTGGTCCTGGGCACCCTCTGGAGAGACCGCTCTGGTGTCAGCCAAGTGGCGGGCACCTTCTGGGCTTGGGGGCGGGGCTTCTCACGATGGCTCAGGGAGGTCCAGACAGCCCCCTTGTCTAGGTGCGCACCTGGAGTCCTTTCCTGCGTGACTTGCAAACAGGCCTTGCAGGGCTCTAGTGTATCAGCTCCCGGACTGCAGGCAGCAGCAAACTCTGCCGTGTGGTACTGCTTCTCATGGACAGGAGACCACCAGGCTCCTTCCAGGAGGGTGAGGTCTCTGCAGCGGGAGCATCCAGGCCTGGAACTCGA
This sequence comes from Homo sapiens, assembly GCF_000001405.40. Classification (NCBI taxonomy): domain Eukaryota; kingdom Metazoa; phylum Chordata; class Mammalia; order Primates; family Hominidae; genus Homo; species Homo sapiens. The sequence continues at coordinate 105,329,867 of NC_000014.9, forward strand.
GCTGTGGTGTGGTGGTGCCAGCCCAGGAGCCAAGCACAGCCAGGAGATGAAACCCATCCCTGTGGTCTGCACGTCCATGCCAGGGCCGAGCCCCCAGCTGGGATGCCCTGGGAGGGTGCAGGGTGGGCTCTGGATGCCTGCTGGGGGATTTCAGTGAGAACCAGGAAGGGTTGAGCCAGAGCCTCCGAGAAGCCTGGGGTCCATGTGTGGGAAGGAACGGGGACAGGGAGCCTCCGAGAAGCCTGGGGTCCGTGTGTGGGAAGGAACGGGGACAGGGAGCCTCCGAGAAGCCTGGGGTCCGTGTGTGGGACGGAACGGGGACAGGGAGCCTCCGAGAAGCCTGGGGTCCGTGTGTGGGACGGAACGGGGACAGGGAGCCTCCGAGAAGCCTGGGGTCCGTGTGTGGGACGGAATGGGGACAGGAGCCTCCGAGAAGCCTGGGGTCCGTGTGTGGGAAGGAACGGGGACAGGAGCCTCCAAGAAGCCTGGGGTCCGTGTGTCCGTAGGAACGGGGGACAGGAGGTTGTGAAGGGCGTGTGGGTTCCGGGAGGCTCACTATAGTGATGTCCTGCCTTAGACGAGGTCACACAGGGGAAGGTTACTGTGCCGCAGAGTTTTCTTTCCGAGCACTCAATGCTCACCTCCTGGGAGGGAGTGGGGCCGCAGCCAGCCCTGACCCAGCTGGGTGTGTGGCCGCTCTCTGGACCCCCGGTCCCAGGGTGGCAGCTAGTGCAGCCTAGGCCACACCAGCATGACCCCTCGCCCCTGTCTCCACGGAGCACCGTGGGACTCTGGCATCAGAATCCTGGGGCCCCACCCAACACCCACGCATTTCCTGTCTTTTCTCAGGCAATCGCCATGGTACCCAGGGCTGGCCTTGTTTCAGCTTCCTGACGAGTGCCCTGTGGTCAGTCATTTCTGTCCTCGCCTTTACCTCAAATCCTGCTTTTTGCCTTAAGTGCGTTCCCAATTCCATCTCTGTGCCAGCTGTGCCCCATGCAGCCTCTACCGGCATCTCACGTGATGTCAACCTTCTGGGTCCTTGGGGCCTAGCCTTGCTCTGGTGAACGGCTTTGTTGGATGCTGGGGTTGGCATTTTTTTTTTTTTTGAGACAGAGTCATCCTGTTGCCCAGGCTGGAGTGCAGTGGCACAATCTCGGCTCACTGCAACCTTGCCTCCAGGGTTCAGGTGATTCTCCTGCCTCAGCCTCCCGAGTAGCTGGGATTACAGGCATGCACCGTCACACCCAGCTAATTTTTGTATTTTTAGTAGAGACGGGGTTTCACCGTGTTGGCCAGGCTGGTCTCAAACTCCTGACCTCAGGTGATCTGCCTGCCTCGGCCTCCCAAAGTGCTGGGATTACAGGCATGAGCCACCGTGCCCAGCCTGGGTTGGCTTTTAACTGGCAAGTTTAGTCTGTGTTTCTGTGCGATGATATAGTTGCATGTATTCCTGTCATTTTGATCATTTTGATTGTGTTTATTACGTATTTCCTCTCCTAAGTTTTGTTATTTCCTCCTCGGAAATTAAGGAAGGATCAAGACTGATTGAATTTATTTGTATTTTTGAGACAGGTTCTCACTCTGTTGCTCAGGCTAGAGTGCAGTGGCATGATCATAGCTCCCTGCAGCCTCAAACTCTGGGGCTCGAGTCATCCTCCCATTTCAGCCTCCTAAAGTGCTGGGATTAACAGGCACGAACCATTGTGCCTGGCCTGAGTTTTATGTATTACCCACTCCAGGAAATCACTGTAGTCCTTTTAACTGTTACTGATTTGCTTAAAATGTGAAAGGCCTGTTGACATTTAAGGATAGTCAACAACCCTCCCACCCTCCAAAGGAAGGAGAGCTGAAATGCAGGAGAAACAGCAATGCCTTTGATGAGTATGGCTTTGCTGCTACTTTGCTCACCTGTGGCCCTGCCTTTCCCAAGGATAGTTTTTGTTTTCCTGGAGCACATCCTTCAGAAGCTCTTTCAGTCTTTCAGTGCCTGAAGATGGCGTTTTTGTCCCCCTCATACTTGGTGATCACAGAGTTCTTCTAGGTTGACAGTTTTGTCTCCTCGGTACTTTGACGATTGTTTTATTGTCTTCTGGCCTCTGTTGTGGTTTTGAGGAGTCTGCGATCAGCCTGCTCCTTGTTCCTTGTGGGACACATGTGTGATCTGTGGTTGCTTTTAGCGTTTTTATTTTGATTTGGTGCGGATTTGTTATCAACATTGCTTTTGATCCTCCTTGGGACTTACTGAATATGAGCATCTCTCTTCTTGTTTTGGAAGAATCCTCAGTCAGACATTGCATCTCCTTCCTTGGGTGGAAGCTGCTCAGTCACTGTCCTGTGCCTTGCCGTGGGGCTGCCTGTGCCTCTGTGCCTGCTTCTCCTTCCATGGGGAGCCCCTCCCAGCCCCTCACTGGCGCTGGGAAGCACAGTGGTCCTCCCCTCTGTGGGCTGTGTTGAGAAATGTTGCTGGCTAGTCCCAGACCCACAACACGGAGCACGGGGGTTTTGCCTGGTGCCCGTGATATCAGTGGGGAGTGAGAGGAGCAGGTGGCCCCCTCGGCTGTGTTCAGGGTGTGCCTGTGTGGCCGACCACCTCCAGGACTGAGGCCACACAGGAAGCAGTTGGGATTGTGAAAACCCCCATGGGAAGCTGTGCTGATCCTCCCCTGAGCCTGTGACAGCTGAGGGCACAGGCAATGGTGGGGCTCGGTGCCTGGGGCTGAGTTGGGAAGGTTTGGTGTCTGACCCACTTCTTCCCAAGTGGGAGCTCCCTCCTCGGGCACTGCATGGCTTCTCTGCGGGGCCTCTGCCTGGTCCTCTCGTGGGCGGTCCAAGACCTGGAGCCCAGGAGGTGGATTCTGAGGTCTGAGTCCCCCGCAGGACAGCAGTTCCATCCTCTGGTCCCTCTCCTGCCCCCAGGGGCCAGTAGGTTACAGACACCTTCCTGAAACTCCCTGGAGGGGAGCAGCCTTGATTCCTAAACAAGAAGTTGGTCCTAAGTGCATCCTCTTGATGTGGGGCAGAGAAGAAATCTGAGACAGTCTCATGCCCCCACCGCCATCGTCCCCCCACTTTTTTGTGGGGGTGCCCAATCTGTGCTCTGCCCCCTCCCCAGGCTCCGCTCCTGTGGGCTGCGTCGTGGTTTCTCCTCTCTGTGGGACGTGTGCTGGGCCCCTGGGGGTGGATGCAGACCGAGCCTGGGCCCATGTAGACCAACTGGCGTGGGTGTGAGAGAGAGAGACGCATACCCACTCAGGCACATACACGTGCACACACACACCCATGCACGCGTGTGCACACACACCCTGGCCCTGTTCCCTACCAGTCCCCACCCCCTCCTGCTGCATGTGCTCCTGGTTCCCTCTCTTCACCTGACAGCTGGAGTCATCCTCCTGCCCACAGCCGTGCCCTGTGCAGAGCAGGTGCTGGTTCTGCCCTCCCCTGGCCTGCCCCAGGCGGGGACACTACACTGGGAAGCTGCCCCGTTGCAGGCGTTCCCATGGCGCCACTGCTGTGTTAGCTGCCTGCAGCACAGGCCGGCCAGTCCTGGGGTGCTGGACAGACCCTCCTGGAAGCCAGTCCCTGGCCGTCCTGTCCTGCTGGGGGCACAGTGTCTCGGCAGAAGGTTCTGGCTGCTCCCTGGGGTGCTGGCTTGTGTCACCTGGCTTTGCTGGGTCCCAGTGACATGCAGTCTGGGGATGTTCCTGGGACCCGTTGGGCTTGCGGTGGCCACTTGGGAAAGCTGAGCACTGAAAGTGCCAAAACCTGGGACACCTTCTTGCAGGCCCACTCTTCAGCCTTTGCCCCGTGGGCCATTGGGGAGGGAGGAGGTGGGAGGTTTTGGCAAAGCAGCCCAAAGGTCCACACAGACCCAGGGCTGGCAACCGGCCCGGCCTGTCACCCTTCTCACTGAGGGTCACAGCCTGTGGCCCATGGCAGGGCTGCCCAGGACAGGGGCTTGGCCCCGGAGGCCTGCAGTGTGAGGCGTGGCCCACAGGCCTTCCCAGAGGGGGTTCTGGGAGCCTCCCCCAGCTGTCACACGCACCTGCCTGTGCCTCACCCGGGCTAAAATAGCCCCTGCACAGAAACGCCCTTGCTGGGCAGGGCCCATTCCTGCTGGGAGACACCTGTCAGGGCCCTTCCTGCCTGGGGCCATATGGAGTGTCCAGCCTGGGGGTGGTCGTGGGGTGTCGGGGGCCTGGGCCTGGATCCACGATGCCCTGTCTGGTCTAGAGCCTGGCCTGGCTTCCCCTTGGCGTGACTGCCCACAGGCAGTGGCCGCCGTCTGCTCAGCTGCATCCTCCTGCGTTGGGCTCATCTGTCTGCCTTCCCCTGACACCTCCTCCTGCCAGACTCCAGGGCCAAGGGAGTGGGCCCCGGCTGCAGAGGCAGTGCCAGCTAGCTGAGTGGGTCAGGCCACAGACCCCACCTGACTCCAGGGCAGCGTGGCCAGGAGAGCATTGGAAGGAGAGAGCTGTTCCCACCTTGAGGCTGACGCAGACCAGACCTGGCTCTGTCCTGAGCAGCAGAAAGTATGTGCAGGGCTTCACCCTCTTCCCTCTGTCTGTGTAGAGCTCCACCTGAGGCCCAGTGTGTGCGTAGAGTCCCACCTGAGGCCCAGTGTCTACGTAGAGCTCCACCTGAGGCCCAATATGTGCGTAGAGCTCCACCTGAGGGCCAGTGCCTACGTAGAGCTCCACCTGAGGGCCAGTATGTGCGTAGAGCTCCACCTGAGGCCCAGTGTCTACATAGAGCTCCACCTGAGGGTCCAGTGTGTGGGTAGAGCTCCACCTGAGGGCCAGTGTCTGTGTAGAGCTCCACCTGAGGGCCAGTGTGTGCTTGGTGCCCACAGCTGAGTTAGCCCAGGCTCGTGGTCATGCTCACAGGTGCACGTGGCCACACAAGTCACTGAGCACAGACCCAGATGGGATGCAGCTCATAACGTGCACTGCGGGGGGGAGCTGTGGCATCTTTTCCCAGAGCCCCTCTGGTCTGGCAGCCTCGGGAGTGTGTGCATGGTATGGGAGGTGGGAACAGAGCTGGGAGGGGCTCCCCTCCATGGGGTGGGGTTCCCCTCCAGCTGTTGGTGAGGCACACTGTACACCTGCACACCTGTGCCTGGGACTGTTGGGCTGGACGTGTAGGAACATGGAATGGCCCCTGGGCCTTCGGGTGACTGAGACAGAAGTACAGGCCCAGCAGGTCTGAGGACAGGGCCTCCTGATGACTGGACCCAGCCTGGACAATGGCCGGCAGCTCCCAGCCTTGCCACAGGCTGACTGGAATGCGTGGTGTGGTGGAGCCCAGCACTGAGGGCCGGACGTGTGTTTGCAGCATTGTTCTCACAGCCACCTCGGAGGCTTCCCTGCTCTGGGGCAGATGCCGTTGCTGGAGCCGTGGTGCTCCCAGAGGCACCCTGGGCTCAGCTCAGCCCCCATAGGCCAGTGCCTGGAGTGGCTGTGACGCTGTGGCCGGCGCCTGGCGTGGCTGTGACGCTGTGGCCGGCGCCTGGCGTGGCTCTGACGCTGTGGCCGGCGCCTGGCGTGGCTCTGACGCTGTGGCCGGCGCCTGGCGTGGCTCTGACGCTGTGGCCGGCGCCTGGCATGGCTGTGATGTGCTGACTCCGGCACCATCAGTTCCTTCCCCTATTCTGGGGCAGGTGGGGACCACCTCTTCACCCTCCCTCATGGGCAGGGCTGGCCTCTGCTGAGGTGGCCCCTCACTGGGCCCAGGCATGGAGACCCAGTGGTCCTAGCCCTCGGTGTAGTCTATCCATGAGGCACCTGGCTGAGCCTGTTCCTCTCACTCCACAGCAGCCTCCTTGGCCCTGACCACTGGCCAACGAGGACACTGAGAAGGCACCCTGACCTTCTGTCCTCATTAGCAGGGAGCAGCCATGTCCAGATAAGGCTGTACATCAGAGAAAGCTGAGTGAGGCTGGCAAGAGCTGGCAGCCGCCCTCGGCCGCCCGGGCGAGCCTTGGGACGGGCTGGGTGGTAAGTGCTGGTGATGCAGGAGCAGAGAGCCCCGTGGAACTCTCTCCATGAGGACGGCGGTGCCCTGGGGCCCAGCTACGAGGATGGCTGTGCAGGCACCTGGAGCCTGGGGATGGCAGGGCGTGGGCTGAGCATGTGGAGCACCAGCCTGTGACATTCCTCTGCCCAGGGGCAGCAGGGCACGGAGCGTGTGTGGCCAGCTGCCGCCACAGGCCCCCAGCTCCCACGCGGGCAGGCTCGCGACCGCACCAAGGGGGCAGCTCCTGGAGACAAAAGCTCCTCAGTTTTCCCTTCCAACAAAACACAGTCAGCAGGTTTGGGACCAGCTGCCTGGGGTCTTAACCATCTGTGCTCTGTGCGCGCCCCCACCCCCTTGCCTGCCTGGAGGAAAGTGGTGGGGTTGACATGCGCCTCGAGGGCCAGCCGGGCGCTGGTGCATTTCTCAGAAATCCGTGAAGTGCTCCCTTGTCCTGCTCGTGTTCTGTGCTGTCCTTGGGAGTGGCGCGGCCGCTTGCCAGGGCTGCAGAGTTGGCCACGCAGCCTCTCCAGGAGGCCTTGAGCCAAGCACAGGATGCAGCCCAGCAGTGGTGGCACCGTGGAGTGGCTGGGCGGAAGAGATCCTGGTCCACGCTGCTGTCTGGAGGGCAGGGTCCTCAGGTGACCAGAGTCCGTGCAGGAGCGAGTGAGGACAGGGCTGGGGCAGGCGGCAGGATGAGGCCGCCCAGAGCAACTCAGTGAGTGAATGAGTGAAAGCACGCACGCCCCATGCTCCAGCGGGGCCAGAGTGTGCTGTTGGGTGAGTCTGGCCTTCCTTCCTGGGGTTGTGGGCCCTACTTGTGGGAGGCCACTGTGGGGAGGGCGTCCTTGTAGAAGTGTTAATCAGAGTGAAAGCCAGTCCCTGTGCACTGCTGCTGGGAATGTAGCATGGTGCAGCTGTTGCGGGGAACAGGACGGCAGCCCCTCGGGAAATGAGACAGAGTTACCGTCAGAGTTACTGTGTGAGCTAGCAGTTGCACTTCTCAGTAGAACCCGGGAGCACTGACGCAGGGCCTCCAGGGGAGATCTCCACCCTGTGTTCACAGCAGCCTTACTCACGGTGACTGCGTGATGGACGCAGCCTGTATCCATCCTCGGACAAACAAGTCAGCACCATGTGGCCCTCCGCACCACCCAGCATCACTGGGCCCTCGGTCAGCACCGCGTGGCCCTCCACACTGTGGAATATTACTTAGCCCTGAAAAGGAAGGAAATGGACACAGGCTGCAACGTGGATGGAACTTGAGTATATTGTGCTGAGTGGAATAAGCCAGTCACAGGAGGACATGCACTGTATGATCCCATTTGTGTCAGGTCCCTAGAGTCATTGCATTCATAGGGACGGAGGTAGGATGGTGCAGCCTGGTGATGCCAGGGGCCGGGGAAGGTGGGAATGGGGAGTTGGGGTTGAATGGGTAGTTTCAGTTGCGCAAGGTGAAGAGAGTTCTCGGGATGGATGGCGGTGAGGGCTGCACAACAGCATCCACGCACGTAGTGCCACTGACCTGCACACTGAAAAATGGTTCAAACGGCAAGTTTTACGTTATATTTACCACAATAAAAAAGAGAAATAGACATCGTCAAGCTGTTCTCCAAAATAAGGCTGTCACCGTTTACCTTCCTACCAGAAAAAAACAGTTAAGTCCCAAAGCCAGGGGGAGCACCAGTGTTAACCTCCTGGGTTGGGGCTGGCTGAGCCCGTGGCTATGCCTCCCTGGGCTTAGGTGGCAACCCTGCGAGGAGCTTGGGCCTCTCGTCTTTTGGGTTCCTGTTCAAAATGGGAAGTGGTCTCCAAACCCCAGGGCCCACCTGAGCCCCCTGAGATGGGAACCTCTCCAGACCTGCCCCTGAGATCCTGTCCCACCCCTGGACAAGGGCCTCTGTGCCTCTGAACAAAACTGGGGGGCCTGGTGCAGAGTCCTAGCTCAGGCTTCCAGAAGTCAGTGGTTTGAAGGGGTGCCCACCCTTGCTCCGTTGGGACATAGGGACGCAGGTGCCTGTCTCAGCCCCCACATGTGCACCCCCAGGGGCAGCAGCGTCCCCTCCAGTCTCTGGTTTGCATCATGCACAGGAGTGGGTGGGTGGGAGTTTCAGTCTCCCAGAGAGCATACTGTTGGGCCATGCTGTCTCTGGCCTCCTCACCCATGGAGGTCCTGCCCCGCCCCCATCTGAGGCTGGGTGGCCGAGGGGTCTGTTCTCAGACTGGGGCCTGGCGCTGGCCCGGTTTCCTGGAGGAGGAAGCGGGGGAGTGACCTGCGGAGGACTTCCAGCCTCCCCTTCCGCCTGCTGTGGGCTGCATGGCGCTGGGGCTCTGCCCAGCCCTGGAGAGTGTTGGCTGCTCTCCTTCCAGCTGACATGGAAATGCCATGCAGGGCACGCACGTGGGGCACTTTCTGCTGAGTCAGGTTTCTCTGACCTTCCTGAAATGTCACTTGTTCTGTAACTCACAAAAACTGGGGTGCTGGGATATGGTGCCTTCCTTCTCCCGGAAGTCCCTGCCGAGGGGGGCGGTGGTGGGGCATTCCCAGGGGGTGTTTGTCCTTTGCTGTCTTTACTTTCCCACCTTGTTCCTTGGGCCTCCCCTGACCTATTGACCCTGCCACAGCTCGCTCACCCCAGGTCCCTGGGGGCTGTGCAGGATTCCGGGTCCTCCAGGGCCAGTGTGATCCTTGCTGGGTTCTCAGAGTGACCCTGGAGGGAGGTCCCCTGCCGACCCTCACCTCCCGTTCCCAGGTCATCTGCCCCAGGGCCAGGTGTCCATCCACCCTGACTGTGACCATGTGCCTGTGACCTGCGTGACTGACCCCTGCCCTTGGGTGCCCAGGCCTAGCAGTGCCCCATGCCACTGGGTCCCCAGGCATCTGCCAGGAAAGGACAGCTCTAAAGTGGCCAGGGCAGCAGGGGTCCTGATGTCTGTTGAAGGCCCTTGGAATTCCCTGGCTTCATTGTGCCATCTCCCCGCTCTTCTCCCTCCCTCCTGCCTCCTGTCTTCCTACTCTCTCCCCTCCTTCCACCCACCCAGCTGCTCTCCTCTCTGAGCCTGGCCCCACAACCAGAGGTGCTCACTCCTGCCTTCAACTGACTGCAGGTATCCAGGCATCTGGGCTGAGGGTGCCTCTGTGGCTTTGTTGACCAACCCAGGCTGACTTCAGAGGTGCTCTTCAGCCCCTGCTTTGCAAGTTCCTGGGGACCCGTGGCTGTCACTTTGGCCCCTTGATGTTTATGGTGGTTCCCGTAGCTAAGTGGATGCTGCCAAAGATGGAAAGTGGGGGACGCTATTCCACTGCCACTCAGAGCGAGACCAGGTGCTTCAAAAAGACTAGCAGGGTTGGGTGTGGTGGCTCATGCCTGTAACCCTAGCACTTTGGGAGGTCAAGGTGGGGGGACCACCTGAGGTCAGGAGTTTGAGATCAGCCTGGCCAACATGAGAAAAGCCCATCTCTACTGAAAATACAAAAATTAGCCGGGTGTGGTGGTATGCACCTGTAGTCTTAGCTACTTGGGAGGCTGAGGCGAAAGAATGGCTTGAACCCGGGGGCAGAGGTTGCAGTGAGCTGAGATCATGCCATTGCACTCCAGCCTGGGCAACAAGAGCAAAACTCTGTCTCTATAAAAAAAAAAAAAAAGGAAGAAAAAGAAAAGACCAGCAGGGCCAGGTGTGGTGGCTCATGCCTGCAATCCTAGCACTTTGGGAGGCTGAAGGGAGAGGATCTCCTGAGCACAGGGGTTCAAGGCTGCAGTGAGCCGTGATTGCACCACTACACTCTAGCCTAGGTGACAGAGCAAGATTCTGTCTCTATTAAAAAAAAAAAAAAAGGAATGGAGATGACAAAGAACAAGTCTTAATTGAATATTAACAAAAGCCAGAAGCTGATTGGAAAAGCTTAATAAAGTAGCAAACATGCCTGGCTAATTTTTGTATTTTTAGTAGAGAGGAGTTTCACCATGTTGGCCAGGCTGGTTTCAAACTCCTGACCTCAGGTGATCAGCCCTCCTCGGCCTCCCGAAGTCCTGGGATTACAGGCATGAGCCACCACATCCGGCCAATTTTTGTATTTTTTGTAGAGATGGGGTTTCACCATGTTGCCCAGGCTGGTCTTGAGCTCCTGGGCTCAGGTGATCCACCTGCCTTGGCCTCCCAAAGGGCTGCGATTCCAAGTGTGAGCCACCGCGTCTGGCTAAGGAGTATTTTCCTTAGCAGATACAAATTTATTTAAATTAGCTATGCTAGTTAAAACAATATGGAATTGGCAGAAGTATAAACATTGACTAATGGAATGTACCAGCAGAAACACATGCGATCGTAATGTGCTTCAGAAATGGCCTCATTCATCTGTGGGGAAAGGATATACTTCTGGGTAAATGGTTTGGTGATAACTGAACATTCATGTAGGAAATAAAATGCAATCACAACACACACAACTCCAAATGGATGGATAATCTCATTGTGAAAAAGAGGAAGGAACAAATGGGGGAGTGGGATGGATTAAAGCAGTGGTCCCCAACCTTTTTGCCGCCAGGGACCGGTTTTGTGGAAGACAGTTTTTCCACAGACGGTGATGGGAATGGTTTCCAGTGAAACTGTCCCACCTCCGATCATCAGCCATCAGATTCTCATAAGCAGCGTGCAGCCTGGATCCCTCGCGTGCACAGTTACAATAGGGTTCTTCCGGAGCTCAGGTGGGAATGCTCACTCCCTGGTGCTCATCTCCTGCTGTGCGGCCAGTTGCTAACAGGCCAGGAACCTGTCCTGGGGGTTGGGGACCTCTGGTCTACAGCACAGGTGACTTTTCTGTACCAGAGCTAGGAATGAAGGGCTGGCTGAGCTGGTGCTTCCTGCCACCTGTGTAGTGGTGCAGGTGTCCATGGTCCAGGGCTGGCCAGGGGCATCTCCTGTCCTGGCTTGGCTTCTGCCCCTGGGTCCGTGGTGGCTGCCTGGGACCTGCCCTTGCAGCCAGGGTGAAAGGAGTGGGCAGGGCCTGCTGCCTCTGCTCAGGGCCCCTAGTGGGGCTGCTTGCTCAGCACCCTTGCCCCGTCTCTGGCCACGTAGCCGTCACCCAGCTAGCATGGGGAGGCTCGCTACCAAGGGGTGGGGGGCTGGAGAACGGAGCTTGGAGACAGCTGGCAGTCTCGGCCACACATAGAGACACCCGCTCCTGAGACCTGCAGTGCCTGCAGAGGGGAAGAAACGGGGCTGGCGGGGAGAGCACACAGTGCGTTTCTGTGGTCAGGCCCCTTTATTTCTTCAAATAGATCCCAAGTGTAGAGAACATGTGCTCATTCTTGTTGGCAGGCCTGTGGGTTTTTGTGTCTCACTCTGAACTTTTCCTGTATGCCTCTCGCTTCTCTCTGTCAGAAAACAAAACAGAAGCCTCTATTCTCTGGGATTCGGATTCAAGTCGGCTCTTTTATTCACCTATTTCGAGCAGACACAATGAAAGAGGAAACAGATAACACTGTGGGTATTCAGCAAGTTGTCTTGGATGTGAACATTGAGTTTCCACTTGTCACTGTGATTTTATTTTATATTGAGTTGTTTTTAAAATATGCTTTGCTTCACTTTCGTTGCTGTTGAATCTATTACAGCTGCACGGTGTCCTGAACACAGTGGCAGGCTGGTGATGAATCGTCTTCTGTAGGTTTTCTGGTGTCTTTGTTATGATTCTCTCAGGGCCAAGTGTGGTGCACCTGGCCTGGGCAAACCTTTAGGCCTCGCTCTCAGAACCAACTGTGGATAATAAGCAAATAACATGTTTTGTTTATCTGCGCAGTTTCTGAATGCAAATGATTCTTTTTATTCCTTATTTTATTTATTTATGTTTTAGAGACAGAGTCTTGCCGTGTTGCCCAGGCTGGAGCTTTTTATTCTTCGTGTTTGCACAGTGGCTGTAGCTATGTGTAGTGACAGCAGAGACAGGCCTGAGAGGGGCAGCCACGTTCCCCCTGGGCAGGATCTGTCTGCTACGGGACCGCAAGCTGCGACTTTTTCCTTCTAAGTGTGCGGAGAGGAGCCCCTGCCTAGGGACGGGGAGCCGTAGCCTGCTGTTTTTGTGACAAGCATCTTGGGCGAGGGGGCACTGGGCTGTGCTGCATAGATGGTGAGCACTGGACTCACCCCCAGCCCCAAGTCAAACGAATGTAAGGAACGTGAGCTTCTGGAAACGAGCGTGGAAGCCTGAGTGGTGAGGAAGGGAAATCTTGCAGTACCTGCACACTCCCCAAATGCCTCTTGTGGGTTTGCAGTACCTGCGCACTCCCCAAATGCCTCTTGTGGATTTGTTTGTTTGTTTGTTTACAATTAGTTCATCCACAGCAGGATCCAAGCTGCTGCCTGTGTGTGTGTGTGTGTGTGTGTGTGTGTGTGTGTGTGTGTCTATGTGTGAGAGAGAGAGAGACAGGGTCCTCTGTCACCCAGGCTGAGTGTAGTGGTGCAATCACAGCTGACTGCAGCCTCCAACTCCTGGGCTCAGGTGATCCTCCCACCTCAGCCTCCCAAGTAGCTGGGACTGCAGGTGCGCCCCACCAAGCCCAGCTAATTTTTGTATTTTTTTGTAGAGACAGGGTTTCGCCATGTTGGCCAGGCTGGTCTCGAACTCCTGGCCTCAAGTGATCCACCCGCCTCGGCCTCCCACAGTGCTGGGATTACAGGCATGATTGTGCCCAGCCACAGTAGAGCTTCTTGTTTGCAGTTGGTTGGTGTGTGTCTTGTGGCTGTCTTTAATAAAACAAAAACTTTGCAAGTATCGTCTGGTAGGCCAGGCGCAGTGGCTCACGCCTGTAATCCTAGCACTTCAGGAGGCCGAGGTGGGCGGGTCACTTGAGGTCAGGAGTTCAAAACCAGCCTGGCCGATATGGTGAAACCCCATCTCTAGTAAAAATATAAAAAATTAGCTGGGTGTGGTGGTGCACGCCTGTAGTCCCAGCTACTCAGGAGGCTGAGGCAGGTGAATTGCTTGAACCCGGGAGGCGGAGGTTGCAGTGAGCCAAGATCGCACCACTGCACTCCAGCCTGGGTGACAGCAGGACTCTGTCTTAAAAAAAAAAAAAAAAAAAGACAGTATTGTTATGGTAAAGGTTCACCCCTCACACCTTTTTTCGTATGCAGCTCTGAGCTTAACATCCACCATACAACCAGGCACAGAACACTGGGCAGTCCACCCAAAACAGTCCCCAGCAGCCACCCTCCCTACTGACCTGGCCTTGTGCCCCCAGCTCTGCCTTTTCCAGAGTGCCATAGAGATGGACAAAAATGGTGTGTGCCCTCTTGACACGGGCGTCTCTCACTCAACACGATGCCTTCCAGATCCATCCTATCACGTATCGATCTGTTCCTAGCTGTTGCTGAATAGTACCAAAATGTCCTTGTCTTTGTGTGAAGGACATCGGGGTTTCCAGTGGGTGGCAGTTATGAATAGAGCTGCTGTGAATGTGCATTAGGGATCTGTGTAGGGACATATGCTTTCATTTCCCTTGGACCAATTCCAAGGGGTAGGATTGCTGGGTCCTGTATGTTTAACTTTGTAAGAAACTGCCAAACTGCTTTCCAGTGACTCTGCCATGTGGCGTTCTGCACGTTCAGAGTATATGGAAGTCCCAGTGGTTTTGCTTCCTCGCCAGCATTTGGTATTAGCTTTTTTTATTTTTCATGTTTTTTAAGCCATTCTAATAGGTGTAGTTGGTATCTCGTTTGGTTTTAATTTGCATTTCCCTAATAACTAATAATTTTGAGCATCTTTTCATGTGCTTATTTGCTATCAATGTATCTTTTCTGGTGAAACGTCTGTTCAAATATTTTGCTCACTTTTTTTTTTTTTTGAGATGGAGTCTTGCTCTGTCACCCAGGCTAGAGTGCAGTGGCGCGACCTCAGCTCACTGCAACCTTTACCTCCCTGGTTCAAGCAATTCCCCTGCCTCAGCCTTCCGAGTAGCTGGGACTACAGGCTTTTCTCACTTTTTATTAGGTTGTTTGTTTTCATATTGTTGAGTTCTGAGAGTTCATATATTTATATATTCTGGATAAAATTTTTGTCGAATGTGTGATCTGTGGCCAGGTGTGGTGGCTCATGCCTATAATCCCAGCACTTTGGGAGGCTGAGGTGGGCAGATCACTCGAGGCCAGGAGTTTGAGACCAGGCCTGGCCTACATGTAGCTGGGACTACAGATGTGTGCTGCCGTACTTGGCTAATTTTTATACTTTTTGTAGAGACAGGGTCTCCCTGTGTACCCAGGCTGGTCTCAAACTCCTGGGCTCAAGTGATCCACCCACCTCAGCTTCCCGAAGTGTTGGGATTACAGGCATGAGCCACCCTTCCCTGCCTCAACTTTTAATATATGGTTGAATTTGCCTGGAAGTTTTTTTTTGTTTTGTTTTGTTTTTGGAAGATTTAATTAATTAATTGATTTATTTTTGAGACAGAGTCTCACTCTGTCCCCCAGGCTGGCGTGCAGTGATACGATCTCGGCTCACTACAACCTCTGCCTCCCCAGTTCAAGTGATTCTCCCACACCCGGCCCAGAAAATTTAACAATTAATTCAATTTATTTAATAGTTGTAGGACTATACCAGCTATCTATTTCATCGTGGGGAGTTTTAGTAGTTTGTGGCTTTCTAGGGAAATGAAAATTGGTACATTTTATCAAAGTAGTCAAATTTTTGTTCATGAAGTTGTTTATAGTATTTCCCAGTAGTCTGTAAGGTCTGTAGTGCTTTCCTTCTTTTACTTCTGATAATGGCAACTTTTGTCTACTTTCTTCTTTGTTTGGGTAGAGGTTTTATGAATTTTATTGATCTTCCCAAAGAACTAGCATTTGGTTTTATTTTATTGTTTATCTATTTTCAGTTTAGTTGTTCCTCTTTATCATTATAATTTCCTTCCTTTTGCTTACTTGGGGTTTAATATGTTCTTCTAGTTTCTTAAGATGGAACCTTAGGGCTGGGCGCAGTGGCCCAGTAATCCCAGCACTTTGGGAGGCCGAGGTGGGTGGATCACCTGAGGTCAGGAGTTCGAGACCAGCCTGGCCAACATGGTGAAATCGTGTCTCCACCAAAAATATAAAAAATTAGCTGGGCGTGGTAGTGCACACCTGTAATCCCAGCTGCTTGGGAGGCTGAGGCATGAGAATCGTTTGAACCCAGGAGGTGGAGGTTGCAGTGAGCCGAGATCACACCACTGCACTCCAGCCTGGGCAACACAGTGTGACTCCATCTCAAAAAAGATGGAATCTGGCTGGGCGCAGTGGCTCAACGCCTGTAATCCCAGCACTTTGGGAGGCCAAGGCAGGCGGATCACGAGGTCGGGAGATTGAGACCATCCTGCCTAACACGGTGAAACCCCGTCTCCACTAAAAATACAAAAAATTAGCTGGGTGTGATGTCGGGCGCCTGTAGTCCCAGCTACTCGGGAGGCTGAGGCAGGACAATAGCGTGAACCCAGGAGGCGGAGCTTGCAGTGAGCTGAGATCACGCCACCGCACTCCAGCCTGGGCAACAGAGCGAGACTCCGTCTTGAGAAAAAAAAAAATGGAATCTTTAGATTGTGTATTTGAATCTTTTTTCTTTTCTGACATAAGCACTTAATGCTATAAATTCTCATTTCAGAACGGCTTTAGCTGCACCTGGCAGATTGACGTGCTGCGTTTTCATTTACATTCCATTCAGAGTGTTCTCTGATTTCCTTTGAGACTTCCTTTGATCCATAGGTTTTTGTTTTTTAGTTTCCCAAGCATCCCAAGAGGATTTCCCCGCCATCTTTCTGTGATAGATTGCTAGTCTAACGCCATTTTGGTCAGAGAACGTATTCTTTGTATGATATCAGCTCTTTTGTATTTGTGAAGGATTTGTGGTGTGACCCAGCCTATGGTCTATCTTGGTTCATATCACCTCTCTTAGTCTCTCTCCTCTGTCTTTCTTCCTCTTGCATTGTGTTGAGTAAGAGAGAGTCTGTGGGAATCCGGGCAGCCCCAGTGGAGTGGGGTGGAACCAGGACGAGGGTCCCTGCTGGAGGAGCGCCCCCTCAGGCCAGGCCCTTCCGCGTTTCTGCCAAGTCCTAGGAGACTCTGACTTAATGCCTGACTTATTTTGTGATATACTGAGTTATGAGAATGACTTTAAAGCTCACAGGTGGCCTCAGAGTGCACCTTGTGCTCACAAACACTGACGGGCGACAGTGGACAGTCTGACTGCAGCTCGGGGAATGAGTTGAAGGACTCTGACAGAGATGTCTGTAGTAGGCAGGCTTGTCACACTCATTGTTTAAGCTCCATGCCTGTTTACCTAAAAAGCTGGACTTAAATACATCGAACTTGGAACTCAGAAAAATAAAACATCTTCTGACCTGGGTAGGTCCGTCTTCCAGTGTTGGAAAGCAGACTCATTTCCGGGTTAGTCCTGTGCTGCTTTTTGACCTACACTGACCCGATCTTGTTTGGAACAGGCCGCCCTGTGCATGATTTGGTCCCATGCAGAATCACACAGCCCGGTTGGTGACTTTGATGGCTGTCAGGCACTGCTCGCGTCTGCAGCCCTGTCTGCAGAGAGCACCCCGTGGCCCTGCATGCACGGCTCCCCCACCCCCGCCCACACAACATCCCCCCCACCGCCTGCACGGCTCCCCCACCCACACCCGCACAACTTCCCCCCCACCCCCTGCACAGTTCCCCCACTCCCACGCGCACGACTTCCCCCCCTACCCCCTGCACGGCTCCCCCACCCCCACCCGCACGGCATCACCCCCACCGCCTGCACGGCTCCCCCACCCCCACCCGCACGGCATCACCCCCACCGCCTGCACGGCTCCCCCACCCCCACCCGCACAACTTCCCCCCCACCCCCTGCACGGCTCCCCCACCCCCACCCCCACGCGCATGACTTTCCCCCCACCCCCTGCACGGCTCCCCCACTCCCACGCGCATGACTTCCCCCCCACCCCCTGCACGGCTCCCCCACTCCCACGCGCATGACTTCCCCCCCACCCCCTGCACGGCTCCCCCACCCCCACCCCCACCCGCACGGCATCACCCCCTACCCCCTGCACGGCTCCCCCACCCCCACCTGCACAGCATCCCCCCACCACTGCATGGCTCCCCCACCTCTGCCCACACAGCTTCCCTACCCCCGCCTGCACGGCTCCCCCACTGCCTGTTGTCCGCTGTCCCCGTTGCACCTCCCACCTGCTGCCCTGCTGTCAAGTCAGGCGCGTCCCACCCAGAGTGCTCTGGTGTCTGCCCCTTGGCTTCTCTCAGCAGCTCAGTGGAGTGTAGACAGTGTAGTAGATCATCACCTGAGCAGCCAGGATGGGAGTGGGGTCTCTGTGGTCTCCATTTTACAAATGGGTTGACAGGTGCTCAGGAAGCCCTGTGATGTCCTGAGGCCGCCCAGGCAGTCATACACAGGCTGTACCCATCCAGTGCTCCCGTTGCCTGGGGGCAGGGATGTGTGCTGGAAGGGCCTGGGACTGCCTTCCCACCGCCATGTCCACACCCAATGCCCAGGGGTGGAGACGGAAGCACGTGGCGGCCACTGTGGCACTGGTGGGTGGCTGCGTTCCATGGCCTGACTGTGTCTGGCGCCTGTTCTGGTGTTTTACATTCATACTTTGAGGGCCAAGCACCAGCCCAGGAGGTGGGTGCCACAAGTCCAGACTTCCCCAAGGGAAAGTGTCCCCAGCACAGACTCAGCCACTCAGAACTTGTTGGTCTTAGAGCCTGAAGCCGGGCAGGGCAGACAGTGCCATCCCTATCTGGATGGTGGTGCCTTCACCCTTCTGCTGTCCTGAGCAAGAAGAAAAATGAGCCAAGCTTCAAAGAGAGCTGTGCCAAAGTTTCCGGAAAGCTTGCCAGTGTGGGTGTTGCACCCCACACACCTTCAGGCATGGGTGGGTGGTGTGGGCATCTTCACTGGATGGATTTGGAGCCCTGGCGCGTGTACGGCAGATGCCCCGGGGAGATGGCATGTTCACACGGGGCAGCACTAGGCAGAGTGGAGGGTAGGGTCTACACCCCTCCACTCCTCAGCAACAGAGCCCTGGACACTGGGTGTGTCCTTCAGACTGTCCCTGGCGTCTCCAGCACTCCTGTGGCCTCAGGACGGAATGATGGAGGTGAAATGAACAGAAGGAAGGTTGGGGGAAAGCGTATCCCAGCTATGGGCAGGGGGTCCTGGGGTGGGCAGGATTTGGGGCGGCTGGGCCTGGGGCTGGATAGGGCCGCGGGAGAGGGGAGGCCTGTGCTCTCACAGCTGGGAGCTGGCTCAGGACTCTCAGATCTTCTCTTTGTGGCCTGTCATCCCTCCTACCTGCCTGTCCACAGGCCCACACTGAGTGAGTTCCATGGGAGGGAGGCTCACCCTCAGGGGCCTTCAGGAGATGGGACCTCTGGCCCGGCAGCCAACGGATGCTGAGGGGTGCCCACCATGTGCAGGGACAGCTGGGGTGATGTCTTGGAGCCCTGTGAGGTCCTGGGGCCGCCCAGGCAGTCACACCCCGCCCTGCACCCCAGGGTGCAGGCTCCCGGGGTGACACAGTGCTGGGACGGCACAGGGCCGCGTCCTGAGGAGAGGGCGGAGCCCCGAGGCTGAGCTGTGCCTTGCCTCACAGGTTGTGCAGCCTGACTCTGAAGAAGCTGGTGGTCTTCAAGGAGCTGGAGAAGGAGCTGATCTCCGTGGTGATCGCTGTCAAGATGCAGGTGAGGCCGCTTGTGACCCCGGCTGTGGCTGGGTGCTGTGTAGGCTTTCCATGTGCCTGGGAGACGAGTCAGGCGGTGCGCTACTGTGGGGCCTTGTGCCAAAACAGCGGGCAGCCCATGCCATCTCCGGGAGCCCGGGGGGCTGGGAATGACAGGATGCTCCTGGGTCCAGTCCTGTCCCGCACAAGGGAGGCAGGCCCGGCCTTCTGGGATGTGGAGGTCACATGCATGGGGCCTTCCCAGGGCAGAGCTGCCCTCGAGTCACCTCACAGTGATGGACGGGCCCCAAGCACCTGGAGCCAGGGCTTCCCTGCTGCACTCAGCACCCACTTCCTGCCCACTTTTTGTGGGGTGGAGGGCGTCGGTGGGAGAGGGGAGCAGGGCACTCTGGGAGGCGAGGGCCTAGCCAGAACTCCCAGCCCCTGGTGCCAGGGCCTCTCTCCTGACCCTAGTGGGTCCTGTGACCTCTCGAAGGCTTTGAACAAGTAGCGGTTCCAGAGGGGTCATGCTGGTGTCTTCCCCATGCCTGGCCCAGGCCCCGCCCCCTCCTTGGGGTAGAGCTGCCATGACCCTTGCAGCATGGCCTTTGCCCAGTGGCCCAGACAGGGAGGTGTCCCCGCCAACTGTCAGGGCCACCCCTGCCCTTTCAGGGTCATACGGTTCCAGGTGTGTGGCCTGTATAGGGCCACCGCCAGCGGGCTCTCCCTAGCCGGCACCACTCATGGGCAAGTCTCACCCATGTCCTCAGCATACAGGAGTGTCCTTCTGTGTGGCCGTCCAGCGTGACAGGGTGGGGTCTCAGTGGCTGTTGTGCTCCTGACCCCAGCCCATCAGCTCCTCGAGGATGGGGCCCTGCCCTTGGAGCCCATGTCCAAGGCCCCACACAGGTCCCTGCAGCTGGCCGGATTCTTGACACCTGCTGTGGCTCTGACACGGGGTCTCCGGGTCTCCCCGACCTGCAGAGTAGCACCTGAGCCTCGGCCAGTGTGGCTGAGGTCACCAGCCAAGCACTGGGTCTTGAGTGCGAGGAGGCCTGAGGCTTGTTGTCTGTCCCAGTCAATTGCCACTATGTGAAACCTACTGCATCTTAAATAAACGTCTGGAGAAACCCTTTTCCTCGCTGAACATGCTCGTGGATTAGCAGCAGCCTACATCTGCGGCGTGTGCTGGTGGCCAGGTTCCCCGGGTGGTGGGGCCTTGCCCCAGGAACTTCCAGGAGCGTGTGGCTAATAGCAGGACCCCAAGAACTTCCAGGAGTGCGTGGCTAATGCAGGACCCGGAGAACTTCCAGGAGAGCGTGGCTAATAGCAGGACCCCGAGAACTTCCAGGAGAGCGTGGCTAATGCAGGACCCCGAGAACTTCCAGGAGAGCGTGGCTAATAGCAGGACCCCGAGAACTTCCGGGAGCGCGTGGCTAATAGCAGGACCCCGAGAACTTCCGGGAGCGCGTGGCTAATAGCAGGACCCCAAGAACTTCCAGGAGTGCGTGGCTGATAGCAGGATGGAAGCGTCTCTCCGCCTGTCCTGCCCATGGGTGTGGCCATGCCCAGGGTGCCCAGTACCTGCTGCAGTCTGGCTGCGGGTCGTCCCTGGGGAACAGGGAGCTCTCTGTGGGCCATTGCCACCAGGCCGTGAGGCTGTGTCTGGACCTCTTGGCTTGGGGGGCAGGGGTCAGGGTCTCATTGGGTCTTCAGAGCAATGCAGAAAGGCATGAAGGCAAGAGTCGACCCCTCACTGACTTCTGAGTCTGGTGCTGTTGACCTCTAACCTCTGGCATGGGGCCCCACCCCACACTGACCCTGTTCCTTGGCCCCATTCCTTCCTCTGCCTGTCTCTGGTCCTGCCCCAGCCTGTGTCTTGACCGAGAGCTTGGCCCCAGGGCCCCTCAGAGCCCCACCTCTCCAGCCCCTCTGTGTAGCGCATGGACTGGCTGCCCATGCCCTCCCTGCCCACCCCAGCTCAGCAGCCACGTGGCCCTTGGCCTCCCTTGATCACCCCAGCTCCTCATCTGCTTCTCTTGGGGTGTCCTCTCCGCCCAGGCCCCCTGTGGGGGAAGCAGCCAGCCTGGCCCCGCAGCCCCACCTGCCCCTCAGCCTTCTCTGGCGTGCACCTTCGCCTCACTGGCTGGTGGCACACACTGTCCTTTTCCCGACACAGCTGGGTCCCTGCAGGTCCTCTGAGGGGGGAATGCTAAGAGGGACCCGACGCAGAGCACATTTGCAGGGAAACATCTCTGAAGGGTCAAGGGGAGGAGCAGGGAGAGTCCAGACCACAACGCAGGGGCAGCTGGGGAGAGGAGAGGGGACAGGAGGGCTGGCCGAGGAGAGCCGCGCTGCCTCTTGCCACGCTGCACGTGAGGCCCCAGCACAAGGGGAGGACCAGAGTCCGCCATGGACGTCTCATGGAGCCCGAGTACGGCCATGCGGGCCGCCCGCACCTGTCCTGAGGCCCCGCTGCTCCCACCCGAACCTGGGCTGGCCCCGGGCTCCCGTTGTCTGTCCTGGACCCCCGCCCGCCCTCCAGCCACCTGGCACCTCTCATCCACTGTGTCCCGCGCGCCGGCCTCCGGGAACCTTGTGCCTGGGACCCCGCAGCGGCTGCTTGTTTCTCGGGGCACGAGGTCCCCAAGCTCATCCTTGTTGGGATGGTCCCATTTAAAACAGCACTGCGATAAGCACGTTCAATCCATTAGGAATCTATTTTGATATAAAGTTTGCGGTTGGGGTCCTGTTGTCTTTCACGCAAATGACTCGTTATCCATTTAGCAGGTGCGTGTGATGTCTCCTGCTGGCCTGAAGCTCACTGGGTATGAACTGTGTTTTCAGGTGCTCATGCATTTCCTGCACCTACATCTAGGCTTCTACTACCCTCATTTTTGTGACAGCATCTCCGTATTTTAAGTATTGTATCTCTGTATGTTTTACTTTCTGAGAGGACCAGTCAGGCCTGATCATTCTTCTTTTTAGAAAATGCTTTAGGCCAGGTGCAGTGGCTCATGCCTAATCCCAGCACTGTGGGAGGCCGAGGAGGGTGGATTGCTTGAACTCAGGAGTTGGAGACCAGTCTGGGCAACATGACTAATCCTTGTCTCTTAACAAAATACAAAAATTATTGTATATTTTTTTGTGGTGGTACATGCCTGTAGTCCCAGGTGCTAGGGAGGCTGAGGCTGGAGGATTGCCTGAGCCTAGGAGGTCAAGGCTGTAGTGAGTTGAGATCGAGCCACTGCCCCACAGCCTGGGTGACAGAGACCCTGTCTCAAAAAATAAAAACAAAAAATAAAAAAATGCTTTAAGCCAAGCATGGAGGCACATGCCTGTAAGGCTGAGCTACTTAGGAGGCTGAGGCAGGAGGATTGCTTGAGCCCGGGAGCTCAAGTCCAGCCTGAGCAACACAGCGAGACCTGTCTCTCAAAACCAAAACCAGAAGAGGCTTGGTGCCTCCAGATTTGTTCTGCCAGACAGACTTGGGCAGCGCAGTCAGGTGCTGCTGCACCTGGCCGTGGAATCTGTTTTGTGATCGCGTTAACTTCAGCAGGAGCCGCTCCTGGTTTCTCTCTCATGTCTTAGGGCAGATTCCTGGAGGTGGAACCTGTGGGCCGAAGGGTCTCCATGTTTTTAAGGTTCTTGGGAAAGATGCCAGGGCACCTCTGAGAATTACCCCAGCCTGTGCCTACCACCCCCAGACTGCAGGGCTGCAATCCTGCCAGTTTTAGAGTGCAGGAGTCACGGTGTCTTTGCCTGGTTTCCTGCTGATATGCAGTCCTTTGAGCTAGAACAGGTCTTGCTTAATCACAGGGCTCCAAACGAATCCTGCGGTCCCATGAGATTGTGCTGCCCCCCAGTGGACAAGTGGAGACAGACCTGGCCCTGACCTTCTCCTTGCAGGTGAGTCTTTCACCAGTGGTGACGACACCCTCATCACTGTCCCCTGGGGAGACGGGCCCCCCTCATCACTGTCCCCTGGGGAGACGGGCCCCCCTCATCACTGTCCCCTGGGGTGATGGGCCCCCCTCATCAGTGTCCCCTGGGGAGACGGGCACGCCTCATCACCGTCCCCTGGGGAGACGGGCACCCCTCATCACCGTCCCCTGGGGCGACGGGCCCCGTCATCCCTGTCCCCTGGGGTGACGGGCCCCCCCATCACTATCCCCTGGGGTGACGGGCACCCCCATCACTGTACCCTGGGGAGACAGGCCCTCCCCATCACTGTTCCCTGGGGAGACGGGCCCCCCCATCACTGTCCCCTGGGGAGACGGGCCCCCCCATCAGTGTCCCCTGGGGAGACGGGCACGCCTCATCACTGTCCCCTGGGGTGACGGGCCCCCTCATCACTGTCCCCTGGGGAGATGGGCCCCCCTCATCAGTGTCCCCTGGGGAGACGGGCACCCCTCATCACTGTCCCCTGGGGTGACGGGCCCCCTCATCACTGTCCCCTGGGGAGACGGGCACCCCCATCACTGTCCCCTGGGGAGACGGGCACCCCCATCACTGTCCCCTGGGGTGACAGGCCCCCCCCATCACTGTCCCCTGGGGTGACGGGCACCCCCTCATCACTGTCCCCTGGGGAGACGGGCACCCCCATCACTGTCCCCTGGGGTGACGGGCCCCCCCAATCACTGTCCCCTGGGGTGATGGGCACCCCCTCATCACTGTCCCCTGGGGAGACGGGCACCCCCATCGCTGTCCCCTGGGGTGACGGGCCCCCCCATCACTGTCCCCTGGGGTGATGGGCCCCCTCGTCACTGTCCCCTGGGGAGACGGGCGCCCTCATCACTGTCCCCTGGGGTGATGGCCCCCCCTCATCACTGTCCCCTGGGGTGACGGCCCCCCCTCATCACTGTCCCCTGGGGTGATGGGCCCCCTCATCACTGTCCCCTGGGGTGAGAGCATTTGTCTCATCATTGCCATCAGTGTCCTGCGTTACTGCAGATCTTCTGTTGATTATGGTTTATTCTTAAATGATTAGAAGATTTGTATTTGTTTATTAGGTTGAGTTTTTCTTTGTTTTTTCTTTGTTTTTTGTTTGTTTGTTTGTTTTTGAGATGGAGTCTCTCCTTGTCACCCAGGCTGGTGCAGTCTTGGCTCACTGCAACCTCCACCTCCCGAGTTCAAGCGATTCTCCTGCTTCAGCCTCCCGAGCAGCTGGGATTACAGGCATGTGCCACCACGCCCGGCTATTTTTCGTATCTTTAGTTGAGACGGGGTTTCACCATGTCGGCCAGGCTGGTCTCGAACTCCTGACTGCATGATCTGCCTGCCTCGGCCTCTCAAAGTGCTGGGATTACAGGCGTGGGACACCATGCCCAGCCTAGTTTTTCATTCCTTATCTATGATAAAGAGAATATAAGGCCGGGTGTGGTGGCTCATGCCTGTAATCCCAGCACTTCGGGAGGCCGAGGTAGGTGGCAGGAGAATCGCTTGAACCCGGGAGGTGGAGGTTGGTTGCAGTGAGCTGAGATCATGCCATAGCACTCCAGCCTGGGGGACAGAGTGAGACTCCATCTCAAAAAAAAGAGAGAATATAATAACGAGGGCAAAAAAACACTTACTGAGTCAAGGCTATTTTGCTCTTCTATTTAAAAAGATAGGGGAAACTCAGAGTTCACAAGCAATCCCAGCTCTTCGGGAGGCTGAGGCAGGAGGATTGCTTGAACCCAGGAGGTGGAGGTGACAGTGAGCCCGGCTAATTTTTGTATTTTTGTAGAGATGGGGTTTTGCCATGTTGGCTAGGGTGGTCTCGAACTCCCTACCTCAGGTGATCCGCCCAGCTTGGCCTCCCAAAGTGCCGGGATTACAGGTGTGAGCCACCGCGCCTGGCCCAATGCTCCATGGTTCAGTGGGTTTTGATAGGCATGCTCAGGCATGTCAGCACCACCGCAGTTAGGGTGGTGAACAGCCCCATTTTCCCCTAAGTATTTAAACTGATTTTTATTTGTGAACTCTGAGTGTCTAAGAGATACCTGTGAACATCAGCTTGCTGGAGCCCTGCTGGACAGGGAGCCTGTGGTGAGACGTGCAGGCGAGTTGGGTGAACAGGGGGCCTCGGAGGGAGAGCCCTCCCCGCCCTGTGTGCCCCTCGCGGAAAAGCGTCCTGGGTCCCACCTTGCTGATTGCCTCAGGCACATGAGCCGCCACACTGTTTCCGAGTGTCCACAGGCGCGCTCGGCCATCCCGGACACTGCAGCACATAGTCCTTGTCCACCTGCCATGGCTGTTAGCGTGGCGCGGAGCCCTCAGGGCCTGAGCTCTGGCGACTGGCTCACTCTTGATTGTGTTGGGTAAAGGATGGGCTCTGGGGACCGGCATGCCACTGGGATGAACTTGGGGGCCCGTCTGTGGGTGCCCTTCCGATCTCATGGGCAGCAGGTTGGCCTGGTCGCAGGCTGCAGGGTGGCTGGGCCGTCAGAGGCCGTGATGCTGCCTGGGGCCCCGGTGCACCCTCAGCTGCCACTCGCACTTGTGCCCACAGTATCCTCACTTCTTGAAGAGGGAAGGCAACAAGCTTCAGATCATGCTGCAGCGCAGAAAGCGCTACAAGAACAGAACCATCCTGGGCTACAAGACGCTGGCCGCGGGCTCCATCAGCATGGCTGAGGTGAGTGCTCCGTCTGGCGTGGCCTGCGTCGGGCTGGCCACCTGGGTGCCAGAGCATTCGCCCGTGGGAGATGGAGATGTCTCTCCCGGGTCCAGATGTCCAGGGATCAGGTGAAAATGATGAGAGGAGCCTGGGCGGCCGGGCTCCGCCATAAGGGCCAGGTGCGGCCCCAGGTGGTGCTTCCTCTCTGACCTTCCCTTGCCGCCTAGCATGGCTCCCCGCATGCCTGCAGCCGCGCGCACTCCCCTCTAACGAGCCTGTCCTGCCCTTCAGTGGAGGCTGGGTTTTGGGTCAGGCTGCTCTGGAGTCCTTCCCATGGAGGAATCGCTGCTGTCCCCACACCACGGGTGCGTCCTGTGATGGGTTCGTGTCTGCATCCTGCTCAGCACGTGCTCTGGCCCAGGATTGGCTGAGCAGGAGCAGGACAGGTGTCAGTTCTGTGAAGGGGCTAGCGACAATACCCGAGCAGGGCGGGGGCAGCACCCAGAGGTCAGAGGGGTGGCTGGAGTTCCCTGGAGGGGAAAGAAGGGGAAGTACCTCAAAAGGAAAAGAAACAGCCAAGCAGCAGCCCACCTTGCTCCAGAGAACCCAGCGTTCCAAGGAGGCTGCAGTAGGGCGTGGGGGCCTGGGAGAAGACACCCCAGGCTGAGGCCTCGGACTTTCTCATGGACCCTTTCGGGGCTGCAAGATTGGCTCTGGGAGAAGGGGCAGCCCAGGGCCCCAGACCAGTTTGTCTCTTTTGCTTCAGAACTTTCCCCATCGTGGGGTTGTGTTCAGGGGTCCAGGGGCTGCGGGCGTGAGTGGTGCTTGGGGCATGTGAAGCTGGGTTGCTGCCTGCCTGGGGCCTGGGAAGGTCAGCCAGCGCAGCCCCTCATTGGGAGCCGGAGATGCCAGAGCCCCCCAGCCCCTCTTCTTCCCACTTTGTCCCCCTGCTCCTGGGGCTTGGGGCTGGGACAGTGGGGGTGCCCACTTGTAGCTGGTTCCCCCACACCCCCAGGCCCAGCCTGCAGGCCTCCTGTCTCCCAGGTCAAGCGCTAGGTCCCCCAGATCCTCACACACCCCCACTTACGCATCCAGGACAAGTGCCAAGTACTACTCTGGGCTCAGCCCTCCCTGCTACCCCAGGAGATGGGAGCGTGGAGGGTACAGGAAGCAGCAGTGGCGTCCCGAGGCCTCGCTTCTCCGTGCCGCCGCAGGGCCTCAGACAAGCTTTGCAGTCTTCCCGATTCCTTCGGCAAACCACGGACAGCACGGGTGGACCGGGCCTCCAGGCTGCACTTCCCAGGGCCCTGGGACCCCTCTGGTGGCCTGGAGCTGCCCATCATCCCAGCCTCCCTCCTGCAGGCTGAGCGATGGGTGAACAGGTAGCTCAGGGATGCTCTCTGGGCTGTGAGAGCCTCCTGGGAGCCACCGCTTGCTTCCTGTGGAGCAGGAGGGTCCAGGCACTGTGGGGAGGTCATGCAGGCTCTGTTTCCCATTAGCCATGCAGGCGAGGTCCTGCTGATCCCTGCCGGTCCCTGTGTTTCCCATTAGCCATGCAGGCGAGGTCCTGCTGATCCCTGCCGGTCCCTGTGTTTCCCATTAGCCATGCAGGCGAGGTCCTGCTGATCCCTGCCGGTCCCTGTGTTTCCCATTAGCCATGCAGGCGATGTCCTGCTGATCCCTGCCGGTCCCTGTGTTTCCCATTAGCCATTCAGGCGATGTCCTGCTGATCCCTGCTGGTCCCTGTGTTTCCCATTAGCCATGCAGGCGATGTCCTGCTGATCCCTGCCGGTCCCTGTGTTTCCCATTAGCCATGCAGGCGATGTCCTGCTGATCCCTGCTGGTCCCTGTGTAGCCATGCAGGTGATGTCCTGCTGATCCCTGCCGGTCCCTGTGAGCTCCTGCCCCAGGCTGCTCCGCCCACATCTCTCAGTCTGCACCCCAGTGCCCCAGGCGGCTCCTCCCAGCCCCTCTCAGCACTGGTGCTTCTGTGTTTGACGTCCTTGCCCTGAATGCTGGCCTCTGCTCCCAGGCCCCTCCCTCACCTGTCCTCCCAGCCTTGGGCTGTCCCCTCCTGATCCCCGGGGAGAGGCTGGAGCAACCTTCCCCCACCCCAGGTCACACCAGCCACATCGTCTGCTGCTTGAAATCCCATCATCTGTTCTTCACTCTTGGCAGAAAAGCCCCACCCCTGGATGTAGTTCCAGTGCCCTGCCCCTGAGCCTGTGGCCCCCACCCCAAGGCTCCCTCGCCCTGCACCTGTGGCTTCCAAAGCCGAGGTCATCTGACTGCTCCTCGCTCTCCCCTCCAGCATCTCCTCCAGGCCCTCGGGGCATCCTTCCACCTTCCACTGGCAGCCTGGTCCCAGAACCTAGTTGGGTCCTCCCATGTGTCCCCGAGCACCAGGGCGGTTCATGGGCTCCCTGTGTCCTGCCACCTTTTGGGGCTGGTTCCCACCTGTGAGCGTTGCTGGCTTGTTGAGAGTATGAGCACGGGAGATTGCGGAGGCGGGACAGCCCCGAGGGCACAGACGGACACAGGTGGCAGAGGTGGGGGGCTCTCACCAGCTGGGCTCAGGCAGCTGTGCCATGGGGGCTTGCTGGCTCCGAGACTGCACGCCTGAGACGGGGGTGAGGGCATGGGTGCTGCCATAGGGACTGTCGTGAGAGTGGGGTGTCGGTGAGGCTGGCGCCATGCATTTGAGAGTAGTGCTCGGCGGTGGGGAAGGGTCCTTGAGGGCACAGGGTGGGGTGAGGCGGGCTGTTGGGCGGACTCGAGGCCAGGGCTGAGAGTGTGGTGGGAGAGGATGTGGGGGGCACCTGCCCAGGACCTCCAGGCTGTGGGGAGACCAGGAGGCGATGGCTGTGGGGACACAGGTGTCATCTCCCTTCAAATGGGTGCACACGCAGGGGGCAGGAGGGGCTGGGAGCAGCCTGGGCCCCTGCCACACCATAGCTCTGCCCTCACCTGGCACTCATTCTGTGTGAGCTGAGGCCCAGAGCCCTGGACTTACTCTGAGGCTGAGGAAGTGGAGTCCAAGGTGGCCCAGGGTAGGGGCCGGGCCTCATGGGTGCCAGGAGCTGGACGCCGGCGTGGGGTGGCTTAGGTCTGCAGGCTGACCAGCAGTTCTGGCTGGGACCATCAGGAGTGACCGCAGCCCCAGGGCCTGCTGGGCACGCGCCTCTGCCTGCCACTTCTCAGGAAGCTTGAGCTGACTGCAGGTGGTCCCTCTCAGAGGCAGCTCCGCAGAGGCAGGTGTGCGGTGGGGGCAGACGTGGGGCCTTCTCCTGTGGTGTGGCTCTCAGAACTCACCCCAGCACCCGTAGAGGGAGTGTGTAGGGGTGGGCGTTCGTGTGGCCAGACCACCCTGGGGCTGCAGCCTGGGAGACGCAGGCATGCCAGCTGGTGGCCATTGTCTGAGGCTGGGGCCTGTGGGCTCCCCGACAAGACAGGAAGGTTGACAGACCCATGACCAGGCGAAGGGGTGACCTGGGAGTGCGGTGGTGGCTGAGGGAGCAGCCATGCTTCTTTGCACAGCCGGACTCCTCTTGTGGCCTCGCCACAAGCTGCACATGCCACTGGGGCCAGGTCCAGCCCAAGGGGACCTGTGAGGGGCGGGCGGCTCATGGTGGGACACAGGAAGACCTCAGGGTAAGGACAGCGCGGGAGCGTCACCCTGACCGTTTGCATGCTGGATTCCCTTTAGTTTCTCTCTATGAGTGTCTGCACAGCCACAGGCTGCTGATGACAGCCCAGTCAGGTGTGGGCTGCATATCAATGGGTGGCCCCGTGAGAATATGATGGCACTGGACACTTCCTATCTCCTGATGACATGGTAGCCATCGTAACACCATAGCACAGTTACTTTATTCCTGTGTGAACTCAGTGTGGCCCAGGTGTCCAGGGCCTGGTCACACACACGTCCATCCCTACACGGCGGTGCATGGCGACCTCCCAGGCCTTCGCATCCACACACACGTCCACCCCTACGCGGCGGTGCGTGGTGACCTCCCAGGCCTTCGCATTACTCACTCACCCACCAGCTTGTCCAGAGCCACCTCCAGCCCCGCAGGCTCTGCCATCGTCAGTGCCCTATTCACAGGCACCACTTAATGTCTTTTATACTTTATTTTTACTGTGCTTTTTTTTTTTTGCTTTTTATTTTTAAATTTTTTTCGTGATGTGGTTTCACTTTTATAGTGCAGTGGCGCGATCTCAGTTCACTGCAACCTCCACCTCCCGGGTTCAAGTGATTCTCCTTCCTCCGCCTCCCGAGTGGTTGGGATTACAGGTGCTCATCACCACACCCAACTAATTTTTTTATTTTTAGTGGAGACAGGGTTTCACCCTGTTGTCCAGGCTGGTCTTGAACTCCTGACCTCAAGTGATCTGTCTATCTGGGCCTCCCAAAGTGTTGGTATTTCTTTCTTTTTTTTTTTTTTTTTTTTTTGAGACAGAATCTCGCTCTGTCGCCCAGGCTGGAGTGCAGTGCCGCAATCTCAGCTCACTGCAACCTCCACCTCCCAGGTTCACGCCATTCTCCTGCCTCAGCCTCCCGAGTAGCTGGGACTACAGGCGCCCGCCACTACGCCTGGCTAATTTTCTGTATTTTTAGTAGAGACGGGGTTTCACCGTGTTAGCCAAGATGGTCTCGATCTCCTGACCTCGCGATCCGCCCACCTTGGTCTCCCAAAGTGCTGGGATTACAGGCGTGAGCCACTGTACCCGGCCAAGTGTTGGTATTTCAAGCATGAGCCACCGTGCCCAGCCTACTTTTTCTGTGTTTAAATGTGTTTAGACACATAAATACTTACCATCTGTAACAATTGCCTACAGTATTCAGTACAGTAACATGCTTTACAGGTCTGTGGCCTAGGAGCAGGAGGCTGTCTCTCATATAGGCTGACCTTGAAGATATTGTGTGTTCAGTTCTAGGCCACCCCAATAAAAACGGATATTGAAATAAAGTGAGTCACACAAATTTCGTGGTTTTTCAGTGCATATAAAAGTTATGTTTACACTGTACTGTAGTCTGTTAAGTGTGCAATAGCATTACGTCAAAAAATATATACATACATTAATTTTAAAATATTGCTAAAGCTGGGTGCGGTGGCTCATGCCTGTAATCCCAGCACTTTGGGAGGCCAAGGCGGGCGTATCACCTGAGGTCAGGTGTTCGAAACCAGCCTGGCCAATATGGTGAAATGTCGTCTCTACTAAAAATACAAAAAAAAATTAGCCGGGCGTCGTGGCTCACACCTGTAATCCCAGCTACTAGGGAGGGGAGGCAGGAGAATCACTTTAACCCGGGAGGCGGAGGTTGCAGTGAGCCGAGATCACGCCACTGCATTCTAGCCTGGGTGACAGAGTAAGACTTCCTCTCAAAAAAAAAAAAAAAAGAAAAGAAAAAGCTAACAATCATCTGAGCCTTCGGGGAGTTGTAACCCTTTGGCTGGTGGGGGTCCTTAGTGTGGGTGGGTGCTGACCGGTCAGAGTGTTGGTTGCTGAAGGCTAGGGTGCCTGTGGCAATTTCTTAAATAAAACAAGAAAGAAGTTTCCTGCATACTTGACTCTTCTTTTCGCAGAATAGTTCCCTGTCGCATGCGGTGCTGTTTGGTACCATGTTACCCACCATTATTTCAGAATTGGGGTCAGTCCTCTCAAACCCCGTTGCTGCGTTACTAACCGAGACGGTGGACTCTCCCAAGTCCTGTGTTGTCACTCCGCAGTGTTCACAGCATCCTCACCAGGAGCAGATTCCATCTTAAGAAACCACTTTCGTTGCTCATCCATGAGAAGCCACTTCTTATCAGCTGAAGTTTCTTCATGAGACTGCAGCAATTCAGTCAGTCCTCAGGCTCTGCTTCTAATCCCAGTCCTCTTGCTATTTCCACCACATGTGCACTTCCTTCCTGCACTGAAGCCTTGAGCCCTCAAAGTCATCCACGAGAGAGTTGGAATCCACTTCTCCCAAATTCCTGTCAATGCTGATATCTCAACTTTTTCCCATGAATCACAGATGTTCTTCATGGCATCAAGAATGGTGAATCCAGGCCACGCGCAGTGGCTCACACCTGTCATCCCAGCACTTTGGGAGGCCAAGGTGGGCGGATCATTTGAGGTCAGGAGTTCTAAACCAGCCTGGCCAATATGGTGAAACGCTGTCTCTGCTAAAAATACAAAAAAAGAAAAAAAGGCTGGGCACGGTGGCTCACACCTGTAATCCCAGCACTTTGGCAGGCCAGGGCGGGTGGATTACCTGAGGTCAGGAGTTTGAGACCAGCCTGGCCAACATGGTGAAACCTTGTCTCTACTAAAAGTACAACAATTAGCCAGGTGTGGTAGAGGACACCTGTAATTCCAGCTACTCAGTAGGCTGAGACAGAAGAATCGGTTGAACCTGGGAGGCGGAGGTTGCAGTGAGCTGAGATTGCACCAGTGCATTCCAGCCTGGGTGACAAGAGTGAGACTCCGTCTCAAAACAAACAAACAAACAAAAAAATTAGTGGGCCGGGTGCAATGGCTCACGCCGGTAATCCCAGCACTTTGGGAGGCCAAGGCGGGCAGGTCACCTGAGGTCGGGAGCTCGAGACCAGCCTGACCAACATGGAGAAACCCCGTCTCTACTAAAAAT
Source organism: Homo sapiens (assembly GCF_000001405.40). NCBI lineage: Eukaryota > Metazoa > Chordata > Mammalia > Primates > Hominidae > Homo > Homo sapiens. Next base: position 105,361,794 of record NC_000014.9, read on the forward strand.
ACAAAATTAGCTGGGTGTGGTGGCACATGCCTGTAATTCCAGCTACTCAGGAGGCTGAGGCAGGAGAATCGCTTGAACCCAGGAGGCGGAAATTGCAATGAGCCAAGATCACGACATTGCACTCCAGCCTGGGCGCCAAGAGTGAGACTTCATCTCAAACAAACAAACAAAAAAAACGAATTAGTGGAGTGTGGTGGCAGGCACCTAAAGTCCCAGCTACTCGGGAGGCTGAGGCAGGAGAATTGCTTGAACCTGGGAAGTGGAGGTTGTAGTGAGCGAGATCGCACCATTGCACTCCAGCCTGGGCAACAAGAGTTAGAATCTGTCTCAAAAAAAAAGAATGGGCCAGGTGTGGTGGCTCACGCCTGTCATCCCAGCACTTTGGGAGGCCACGGTGGGCGGATCACGAGGTCAGGAGATCAAGACCATCCTGGCTAACACAGTGAAACACCGTCTCTACTGAAAATATAAAAAATTAGCTGGGCGTGGTGGCGGGCGCCTGTAGTCCCAGCTACTCGGGAGGCTGAGGCAGGAGAATGGTGTGAACCTGGAGGTGGAGCTTGCAGTGAGCCGAGATCGCGCCACTGCACTCCAGCCTGGGCGACAGAGCGAGACTCCGTCTCAAAAAAAAAAAAAAGAAAAGAAAAAAAAAGAATGGTGAGTCATTTCCAGGGGGTTTCCAATTTACCTTGCCCAGATCCATCAGAGGAATCACTGTCTATGGCAGCTATAGCCTTATGAATGAAATACATTTTTTTTAAATAATAAGACTTGAGGCCAGGCGCAGTGGCTCACACCTGTAATCCCAGCACTTTGGGAGGTCAAGGCAGGTGGATCATCTGAGGTCAGGAGTTCAAGACCAGCCTGACCAACATGTTGAAATGCCATCTCTGCTAAAAATATAAAAATTAGCCAGGCGTGGTGGCGGGCCCCTGTAATCCCAGCTACTCAGGAGGCTGAGGCAGGAGAATCGCTTGAACCTGGGAGGCAGAGGTTGTAGTGAGCCAAGATCGCGTCATTGCACTCCAGCCTGGGCAACAGAGCGAAACTCCAACTCAAATAATAATAAGACTTGAAAGTTGAAATGACTCCTTGATGCATGGGCTGCCTGATGGATGTCGTGTGAGCAGCCATGAAAACAACATTCGTCTCCTGCGAGTCTCCAGCAGAGCTCTTGGGTGACCAGGTCATGTCAATGAGCAGTCATATTTTGAAAGGAACCTTTTTTTTCCCAAGCAATAGGTCTCATAGTGGGCTTAAAACATTCAGCCAATTGTGCTGTAAACAGATGTGCTGTCATCCAGGCTTTGTTGTTCCATTTTCAGAACACAGACAGTCGACTTTGCATAATTCTTAAGGGCCCTAGGATTTCAGGAATGGTAAATGAGCACTGGCTTCAACTTAAAGTCACCAGCTGCCTTCACTCCTAACAAGAGAGGCAGCCTGTCCTTTGAAGCTTTGAGGCCAGGCATCGACTTCTCCTCTCTAGCTATGAAAGTCCTAGATGGCATCTTCTTCCAATGGAAGGCTGTGTCTTCTACGTTGAAAATCTGTTGTTTAGTGTTAGCCACCTTCGTCAAGATCTGAACTAGACCTTCTAGAGAACTCGCTGCAGCTTCTCCGTCAGCACTTGCCGCTTCACCTTGCATTTCTGTTATGGAGACGGCTGCTTTACTAAAACCTCATGAACCAACTTCTGCCAGCTCCAAACTTCTTCTGCAGCCTCCTCGCCTCTCTCAGCCTTCACAGAGGTGAAGGGAGTCAGGGCCTTGCTCCGGATGAGGCTTTGGCTTAAAGGAGTGTTGTCTGGTTCAATCTTCATCCCGGCCACTCACTCTCTCCACACCGTCACTGAGGCTGCTCTGCTGATTCTCCTTCCTGTGTTCGCTGGAGCAGCGATTTTCCTTTCCCTCAGGAGCTTTCTCTTTGCATTCACTGCTTGGTGATTTAGTATAAGGGGCCTCGCCCTCACCCTGTCTCGGCTCTGACGTGCCTTCTTCACTAAACTCAGTCATTTCTAGGTTCTCATTGAAAGAGATGTGCAACCCCTCCTTTCACTTGAACACTTAGGGGCCCGTAGAGTTAGTAATTGGCCTAATTTCCATATTATTGTGTCTCGGAAGAGAGAGGCCACAGGAGAGACAGACATGGGAATGGCCGGTGGGCTGAGCAGTCAGACGCACACACCTACTGATTAAGTTCACTGTCTTACATGGGTGATGTTCGTGGTGCCCCAGAGCAGTTGTGATAGTCACACCGTAGCTCACTGATCACAGATCACCATACAGATATAATAATAGTGAAGAAGTTTGAAATATTGGGAGAATTACCAAAATGTGACACAGACACCAAGTGAACACGTGCTGTTGGAAAAGTGGCGCTGATAGACTTGCTTGATGCAGGGTTGCCAAAAGCCTTCACTGTAAAAAACAGAAGATCAGCAAAGTGCAGCAGAGCAGAGTGAGGGCTGCAGCCCGGGTGCGCGGTGGGCGGCGGCCTGCGGGTGTGGTGGGCGTCCCGGGTGCGCGGTGGGCGGCGGCCCGGGGGTGTGGTGGGCGGTGTCCCGGGTGCACGGTGGGCGTCCCGGGTGCGCGGTGGGCGGTGTCCCGGGTGCGCGGTGGGCGGTGTCCCGGGTGCGCGGTGGGCGGCGTCCCGGGTGCGCGGTGGGCGGCGTCCCGGGTGCGCGGTGGGTGGCGGCCCGGGTGCGCGGTGGGCGGTGGCCTGGGTGCGCGGTGGGCGGCACCATCCAGGCTTGCTGCGATGTTGGCAAGAGGACGAGGTCTCCTCACCATGCATGTCTCAGAACATACCTCTGTCGTTACGTGGTGCATGACTGTTTTTGTAAAATTTTTATTGTAGTATTTGTACAATTAAGTGTGACATCCTGAGCAATTTTCTTTTCTTTTTTTTTTTTTTTTTTTGAGACGGGGTCTTACTTTGCCACCCAGGCTGGAGTGCAGTGGTGTGATCTTGGCTCACTGCAGCCTCAAGCCCCTGGGCCCAAGCAGTCCTCCCACCTCAGTCCTCAAGTAGCTGGGACTACAGGTGCGCACCACCATGCCCAGCTAATTTTTTATACTTTTTGTAGAGATAAGAGTTTCGCCATGTTGCCCAGGCTGGTCTCAAACTCCTGAGCTCAAGCCATCCACCTGCCTCAACCTCCCAAAGTGTTAGGATTACAGGCGTGAACCATTATGCCCGGCCTCAATTTTCCTAGTCACTAAAATCTATTTGAAAATGGAAGAGGGAGGAGCCTGTCAGGGTCAGGGGTGGAGGGAGCTGGGCCCTGGGGCCACCCTCCCTGGTGAGGCAGCTCCAGCCCTTTGCTGAGGATTGCAGAGCATCCACAGAGCATCTGCTGGACTAACCCGGGAGGGTGGTCTCAGGGTCAGCAGGGGCAGGAGTGGGAATGGCCACAGTCCAGGACAGTGACCTGCCGGCCAGCATCACCCCAGGGGAGTGCCCAGCTCAGGGGTGGCTGGCCCCTTGGCAGGAGGACGCACGCCCCAAGGAGCACTGTCAGGAGGAGAGGAACATGCAGCCTGGAGTGTCGGGGCCTGGGACTTCCAGGGCCTGCAGATATCAAAATAGTGTTCACATATAGGTCGACCACAGGCTGAGTGGAGCGGGGGCTAATCAACAACCCGCCCCTGGCCCGCTGCGGGCCCAGCAGAGCATTCCCACTACAGCCAGCTCCAGGGATCCCGGCAAAAGCATCTTTGATAAGAGGCCCCATTCCTTCCTGCCCTCCCACCTGAAGGAGGAAGCGAGCAGGGTTTTCTTAGGAGAAAAAGGGCCCAGACCCCTCTGAGCCCCGTGGAGGTTGGTATGAGCAGGTGCAGCACCACCTGAGCCCCACCTTGATTCCTCCGGGACCCCAGCCCGGCAGCCCCCTCCCCTCTGAGCTCATTTTACTGGGATCCCCAGCAAGGGCTCAGCATTTCTGACCGAGGGCTTCTGAGCTTCCAGGTTCTCACCCCTGTGTGACACTGAGACCCTGCCACATCAGATGCCACTCTGAGAAGGCGACTCAGGGTGCTGGGGGCCTGGACAACAGCAGCCTCCAAGTACGTGAAGCTGCGTGTGCCCCGGCGAGTTGTGGGCACGAGGGCGTCAGCAGTGGGTGCGAGTGTTGGCAGAAGCTGCCAGCTGCCCTTCGTCATTTTCTGAAATGAAGATGAGGGCAAATGTAAACTTTTAAACATTTTTTTACCTTGATTAATTGAAGAATTAGCAGCCCAAATCAGGACCCCACAATCAAAATAAATCTGGTCGGCTGGGCGTGGTGGCTCACGCCTGTAATCCCAGCACTTTGGGAGGCCGAGGCAGGCAGATCATTTGAGGTCAGGAGTTTGAGACCATCCTGGCCAACATGGTGAAACTGTTTCTACTAAAAATACAAAACTTAGCTGGGCGTGCTGGCAGATGCCTGTAATCCCAGGTACTTGGGAAGCTGAGGCAGGAGAATCACTTGAACCCAGGAGGCGGAGGTTGCAGTGAGCCAAGATCGCACCATTGCACACCAGCCTGGGCCACAGAATGAGACTCCGTCTCAAAAAAGTAATAAATAAATAAATCTGGTCTATAAAATCCTAACATCTGGATGTGAACCGATAGCCCCAAAAGGCGGCTTCTAGAGCACAGCTGGCCCCAAGGCTGTGAGTGTCTGAGAGTTGTCGTCATGGCGTGTGGTTCTGAGGCTGGCGTGGGGCACGGCGGGGCTGTGCCTGGGTACAGGTCGTGGCTGCAGGAGGGGCCGGGGCTTGTTCTGCAGCTCCGTGGTTTGAGTGCCTCACAACAGAGGAGCTGGACCTGGCCTGTGAGCCAGGCCTGGTGGGTGTCTCCTGCTGCTGGAGATTCCGGCCTGGCTGAGAGTGCTGGGCTCCTCCTTGGTCCCCCACAGACACTGGTCCCTGGGCATTGGCTCCTGTGGGTTGGGCAGCCGGCTTCACACACTGCTTTGCTGCTGCTGAGCTCTTGGGTGGGTGGAGGGTGGAGGCAGGGTTGGAGCAGGGGGCCAGGATCTTCCTGGGTGGCACTGCATGGACAGCAGTCGTGCCTGAGATCAGGAGGGCCGCGGACACCCCTGTCTGTCCATCTCAGTCCCTCGTGACTGTGCCTGGCACTGGCCTCTCCAGCACAGCCCAGTGCCCTCTGCTTATGGCCCGTTCGTGAAAGCTCCCACGTGTTCCTCTCGTCTGTCCGCCTGGCTCCTGTGTCCTCCTCTCGTATCTGTCCCCTCTCCCCAGTGGCCACGTTTCCTGTCCACTGGATGCTCCCTGCCCTGTGGCTGCCCTGCTGAGGGTCCCCCTTGCTGTCACTGAGAGAGAAAGCCCTTCAGAAACCCCAGCCCACACATCAGGGCACCGGGGCTCCTTCCCGTCGTGCTGCTTTCTAGAACCGTGCCCCTGGCCTGCAGGTGATGCAACACCCGTCTGAAGGTGGCCAGGTGCTGAGCCTCTGCAGCAGCATCAAGGAGGCCCCCGTCAAGGCGGCCGAGATCTGGATCGCCTCCCTGTCCAGCCAGCCCATTGACCACGAAGACAGCACCATGCAGGCCGGCCCCAAGGCCAAGTCCACGGGTGAGTGTGGTGCCAGCCCGCTCCTGCCCCTGCTGTGGGGAGGCCCTGCCTTCCAGCCATGGCACATCGGGTGGCAGAAACTGTCCAGCCTGGCTTAAGGAGTTGGGGGTCCGGAGCACGTGTCAGTTGCTCTCCTGTCTGGAAGCCACAGCAGAGGTGCGCGCTGTTGTAGGGTCCGGGCTGCCACAGGTCCCTGTTCTGCCCCCGTGGCTGCAGCTCCTTGGTCAAGAGGCCTGAGTCCTGAGTGTCCTCAAAAAGGAGGTGTGGGGTCGCACTGTGATGCCCTTGCTGGTCTGGGTGCAGGGCCCGCCATGGGCAGGTGCCACAGCTGCCGCCACCCCAGTGGGGTCACCAGGGCCTCCCCTACTCCTCAGGCGGGGGAGACCCAGTCGGTGCAAATCCAGGCTGAAATGCCAGCTGGCAGGAGGGGCCGTGGAGGCCGGAGCAGTTCATGTGGCCCCCTTTGCCCTCCCTGCCCCTCCCCACTTCCTGCCAACCCCGACCTGGACCGTTGCCAGTGGACTTGGGGGACTCGGGGGCTCGGGGCCACGGCACCTGTGTCTGGAGCCCCTCTGTCCTGCATGGATCCACCTCCTCGCTGCCCCCACTCTGTGTCCAGGGAAGCCTGGGGGTGGTCACTGCCTGGTTTCCCGGGTGGAATCTCACGGCACCCTCCCTTCTGTCTGTTCATTCCGCAGATAACTACTCCGAGGAGGAGTATGAGAGCTTCTCCTCCGAGCAGGAGGCCAGTGACGACGCCGTGCAGGGGCAGGTGACCTGGGGCCGGGGCTCCGCGCCCTCTCCTGGCTCACACCGGGTGTCCTGGGGTCTGTGGGGTCCTCACCAGCTGTCACCAGGGCCTCGTGAGGGTGGGTGAGCCACGGGCCTGGCCCCTGGTTGGCCGCCCATCTCTCGTCTCCCGACCCCAGGGGCCCGAGTTTATGCTCAGGTGGCTCTGAGAGTCTTGGGACACAGGTGGGCTCTCAGTGCCGGGCCTCTCCCATCGCCCACGCTGAGGCTGGCAGGGTCCTGCCAGCACTATGCAGGCTGCCGTGGCCTCAGCCACTGCATATGTCTCTGCAGGACTTGGACGAGGACGACTTTGACGTGGGGAAGCCGAAGAAGCAGCGGAGATCGATTGTAAGAACGACGTCCATGACCAGGGTTGGTGGAGACTGCTTCTATGAATGCTGGGGAAGGCGAGGGTCGGGGAGGACGCTGGGAGCCTGGGCGTGGGGGGGACACGGGCGTGGGAAGTGAGATCTCACCCCAGGTCACAGCAGCATGTCCCGTGGCAGACCCCCTGATTGCCAGTCTCCTGCCGGGTGCCACTGTCTCCCC